>NC_000011.10:53986955-54342399 GCF_000001405.40 Homo sapiens | reverse complement strand
TCCATCTAGTTTTTATGTGAAGATTTTCCTTTTCCACCACAGGCCTCAAAGCCCTCCAAATGTCCACTTGCAGATTCTAGAATAAGAGGGTTTCAGAGCTGCTCTGTCAAGAGGAAAGTTCAATTCCTGAAGTGGAACACAAACATCACAAAGCAGTTTCTGAGAATGCTCCTGTTTAGTTTTTCTGTGAAGATGAACCCGTTTCCAACGAAATCTTCACAGAGGTCCACATATCCACTTGCAGAATCCAAAGAAAGAGAGTTTCAAAACTGCTCCATCAACAGGATTGTTCACCTCTGTGAGTTGAATGCAGTCATCACAGGAAACATTCTGAGAATGCTTCTGTCTAGGTTTGATGTGAAGATATACCCGTTTCGAAGGAAGGCCACAAAGTGGTCCAAATATCCACTTGCAGATTCTACAAAAAGAGTGTTTGAAAGCTGAACTATGAAAGCAAGGTTCAACTCTGTGAGTTGAATGCAAACATCACAAAGAAGTTTCTCAGAATGCTTCCATGTAGTTCTGGGAAGTTTATCCCGTTTCCAACGAAATCCTCAGAGAGGTCCAAATATCCACTTGCAGATTCTACAGAAAGTGTGTTTGGAAACTGCTCCATCTAAAGGAATGTTCAGCTCTGTTAGTTCAATCCAATGATCACTAAGAATTGTCTGTGAATGCTTCCGTTTGGTTTTTAGATGATGTTATTTCCTTTACTACAGTAGGCCTCAAAGCAGTCCAAATCTCCAATCGCAGATTCTACAAAAAGATTGTTTACAACCTGCTCTATCTATAGGAATGTTCAACTCTGTGAGTCGAATGCAATCATCACAAAGTAGTTTCTGAGAATGCTTCCATCTAGTTTTTATGGGAAGATTTTCCTTTTCCACCACAGGCCTCAAAGCCCTCCAAATGTCCACTTGCAGATTCTAGAAAAAGAGGGTTTCAGAGCTGCTCTGTCAAGAGGAAAGTTCAATTCTTGAAGTGGAACACAAACATCACAAAGCAGTTTCTGAGAATGCTCCTGTTTAGTTTTTCTGTGAAGATGAACCCGTTTCCAACGAAATCTTCACAGAGGTCCCCATATCCACTTGCAGAATCCAAAGAAAGAGAGTTTCAAAACTGCTCCATCAGCAGGATTGTTCACCTCTGTGAGTTGAATGCAGTCATCACAGGAAACATTCTGAGAATGCTTCTGTCTAGGTTTGATGTGAAGATATACCCTTTTCAAAGGAAGGCCACAAAGTGGTCCAAATATCCACTTGCAGATTCTACAAAAAGAGTGTTTGAAAGCTGAACTATGAAAGCAAGGTTCAACTCTGTGAGTTGAATGCAAACATCACAAAGAAGTTTCTCACAATGCTTCCGTGTAGTTCTGGGAAGTTTAGCCCGTTTCCAACGAAATCCTCAGAGAGGTCCAAATATCCACTTGCAGATTCTACAGAAAGTGTGTTTGGAAACTACGCCATCTAAAGGAATGTTCAGCTCTGTTAGTTCAATGCAATGATCACTAAGAATTGTCTGTGAATGCTTCCGTTTGGTTTTTAGATGAAGTTATTTCCTTTACTACAGTAGGCCTCAAAGCAGTCCAAATCTCCAATCGCAGATTCTACAAAAAGATTGTTTACAACCTGCTCTATCTATAGGAATGTTCAACTCTGTGAGTCGAATGCAATCATCACAAAGTAGTTTCTGAGAATGCTTCCATCTAGTTTTTATGTGAAGATTTTCCTTTTCCACCAAAGGCCTCAAAGCCCTCCAAATGTCCACTTGCAGATTCTAGAAAAAGAGGGTTTCAGAGCTGCTCTGTCAAGAGGAAAGTTCAATTCCTGAAGTGGAACACAAACATCACAAAGCAGTTTCTGAGAATGCTTCTGTTTAGTTTTTCTGTGAAGATGAACCCGTTTCCAACGAAATCTTCACAGAGGTCCACATATCCACTTGCAGAATCCAAAGAAAGAGAGTTTCAAAACTGCTCCATCAACAGGATTGTTCACCTCTGTGAGTTCAATGCAGTCATCACAGGAAACATTCTGAGAATGCTTATCTGTCTAGGTTTGATGTGAAGATATACCCGTTTCGAAGGAAGGCCACAAAGTGGTCCAAATATCCACTTGCAGACTCTACAAAAAGAGTGTTTGAAAGCTGAACTATGAAAGCAAGGTTCAACTCTGTGAGTTGAATGCAAACATCACAAAGAAGTTTCTCACAATGCTTCCGTGTAGTTCTGGGAAGTTTATCCCGTTTCCAACGAAATCCTCAGAGAGGTCAAAATATCCACTTGCAGATTCTACAGAAAGTGTGTTTGGAAACTGTGCCATCTAAAGGAATGTTCAGCTCTGTTAGTTCAATCCAATAATCACTAAGAATTGTCCTGTGAATGCTTCCGTTTGGTTTTTAGATGAAGTTATTTCCTTTACTACAGTAGGCCTCAAAGCAGTCCAAATCTCCAATCGGAGATTCTACAAAAAGATTGTTTACTACCTGCTCTATCTATAGGAATGTTCAACTCTGTGAGTCGAATGCAATCATCGCAAAGTAGTTTCTGAGAATGCTTCCATCTAGTTTTTATGTGAAGATTTTCCTTTTCCACCACAGGCCTCAAAGCCCTCCAAATGTCCACTTGCAGATTCTAGAAAAAGAGGGTTTCAGAGCTGCTCTGTCAAGAGGAAAGTTCAATTATTGAAGTGGAACACAAACATCACAAAGCAGTTTCTGAGAATGCTCCTGTTTAGTTTTTCTGTGAAGATGAACCCGTTTCCAACGAAATCTTCACAGAGGTCCACATATCCACTTGCAGAATCCAAAGAAAGAGAGTTTCAAAACTGCTCCATCAGCAGGATTGTTCACCTCTGTGAGTTGAATGCAGTCATCACAGGAAACATTCTGAGAATGCTTCTGTCTAGGTTTGATGTGAAGATATACCCGTTTCGAAGGAAGGCCACAAAGTGGTCCAAATATCCACTTGCAGATTCTACAAAAAGAGTGTTTGAAAGCTGAACTATGAAAGCAAGGTTCAACTCTGTGAGTTGAATGCAAACATCACAAAGAAGTTTCTCAGAATGCTTCCGTGTAGTTCTGGGAAGTTTATCCCGTTTCCAAAGAAATCCTCAGAGAGGTCCAAATATCCACTTGCAGATTCTACAGAAAGTGTGTTTGGAAACTGCGCCATCTAAGGGAATGTTCAGCTCTGTTAGTTCAATCCAATGATCACTAAGAATTGTCTGTGAATGCTTCCATTTTGGTTTTTAGATGAAGTTATTTCCTTTACTACAGTAGGCCTCAAAGCAGTCCAAATCTCCAATCGCAGATTCTACAAAAAGATTGTTTACAACCTGCTCTATCTATAGGAATGTTCAACTCTGTGAGTCGAATGCAATCATCACAAAGTAGTTTCTGAGAATGCTTCCATCTAGTTTTTATGTGAAGATTTTCCTTTTCCACCACAGGCCTCAAAGCCCTCCAAATGTCCACTTGCAGATTCTAGAAAAAGAGGGTTTCAGAGCTGCTCTGTCAAGAGGAAAGTTCAATTCCTGAAGTGGAACACAAACATCACAAAGCAGTTTCTGAGAATGCTCCTGTTTAGTTTTTCTGTGAAGATGAACCCGTTTCCAACGAAATCTTAACAGATGTCCACATATCCACTTGCAGAATCCAAAGAAAGGGAGTTTCAAAACTGCTCCATCAACAGGATTGTTCACCTCTGTGAGTTGAATGCAGTCATCACAGGAAACATTCTGAGAATGCTTCTGTCTAGGTTTGATGTGAAGATATACCCGTTTCGAAGGAAGGCCACAAAGTGGTCCAAATATCCACTTGCAGATTCTACAAAAAGAGTGTTTGAAAGCTGAACTATGAAAGCAAGGTTCAACTCTGTGAGTTGAATGCAAACATCACAAAGAAGTTTCTCACAATGCTTCCGTGTAGTTCTGGGAAGTTTATCCCGTTTCCAACGAAATCCTCAGAGAGGTCCAAATATCCACTTGCAGATTCTACAGAAAGTGTGTTTGGAAACTGCGCCATCTAAAGCAATGTTCAGCTCTGTTAGTTCAATGCAATGATCACTAAGAATTGTCTGTGAATGCTTCCGTTTGGTTTTTAGATGAAGTTATTTCCTTTACTACAGTAGGCCTCAAAGCAGTCCAAATCTCCAATCGCAGATTCTACAAAAAGATTGTTTACAACCTGCTCTATCTATAGGAATGTTCAACTCTGTGAGTCGAATGCAATCATCACAAAGTAGTTTCTGAGAATGCTTCCATCTAGTTTTTATGTGAAGATTTTCCTTTTCCACCACAGGCCTCAAAGCCCTCCAAATGTCCACTTGCAGATTCTAGAATAAGAGGGTTTCAGAGCTGCTCTGTCAAGAGGAAAGTACAATTCCTGAAGTGGAACACAAACATCACAAAGCAGTTTCTGAGAATGCTGCTGTTTAGTTTTTCTGTGAAGATGAACCCGTTTCCAACGAAATCTTCACAGAGGTCCACATATCCACTTGCAGAATCCAAAGAAAGAGAGTTTCAAAACTGCTCCATCAACAGGATTGTTCACCTCTGTGAGTTGAATGCAGTCATCACAGGAAACATTCTGAGAATTCTTCTGTCTAGGTTTGATGTGAAGATATACCCGTTTCGAAGGAAGGCCACAAAGTGGTCCAAATATCCACTTGCAGATTCTACAAAAAGAGTGTTTGAAAGCTGAACTATGAAAGCAAGGTTCAACTCTGTGAGTTGAATGCAAACATCACAAAGAAGTTTCTCAGCATGCTTCCGTGTAGTTCTGGGAAGTTTATCCCGTTTCCAACGAAATCCTCAGAGAGGTCCAAATATCCACTTGCAGATTCTACAGAAAGTGTGTTTGGAAACTGCTCCATCTAAAGGAATGTTCAGCTCTGTTAGTTCAATCCAATGATCACTAAGAATTGTCTGTGAATGCTTTCCGTTTGGTTTTTAGATGAAGTTATTTCCTTTACTACAGTAGGCCTCAAAGCAGTCCAAATCTCCAATCGCAGATTCTACAAAAAGATTGTTTACAACCTGCTCTATCTATAGGAATGTTCAACTCTGTGAGTCGAATGCAATCATCACAAAGTAGTTTCTGAGAATGCTTCCATCTAGTTTTTATGTGAAGATTTTCCTTTTCCACCACAGGCCTCAAAGCCCTCCAAATGTCCACTTGCAGATTCTAGAATAAGAGGGTTTCAGAGCTGCTCTGTCAAGAGGAAAGTTCAATTCCTGAAGTGGAACACAAACATCACAAAGCAGTTTCCGAGAATGCTCCTGTTTATTTTTTCTGTGAAGATGAACCCGTTTCCAACGAAATCTTCACAGAGGTCCTCATATCCACTTGCAGAATCCAAAGAAAGAGAGTTTCAAAACTGCTCCATCAACAGGATTGTTCACCTCTTGTGAGTTGAATGCAGTCATCACAGGAAACATTCTGAGAATGCTTCTGTCTAGGTTTGATGTGAAGATATACCCGTTTCGAAGGAAGGCCACAAAGTGGTCCAAATATCCACTTGCAGATTCTACAAAAAGAGTGTTTGAAAGCTGAACTATGAAAGCAAGGTTCAACTCTGTGAGTTGAATGCAAACATCACAAAGAAGTTTCTCAGCATGCTTACGTGTAGTTCTGGGAAGTTTATCCCGTTTCCAAAGAAATCCTCACAGAGGTCCAAATATCCACTTGCAGATTCTACAGAAAGTGTGTTTGGAAACTGCTCCATCTAAAGGAATGTTCAGCTCTGTTAGTTCAATGCAATGATCACTAAGAATTGTCTGTGAATGCTTCCGTTTGGTTTTTAGATGAAGTTATTTCCTTTACTACAGTAGGCCTCAAAGCAGTCCAAATCTCCAATCGCAGATTCTAGAAAAAGATTGTTTACAACCTGCTCTATATATAGGAATGTTCAACTCTGTGAGTCGAATGCAATCATCACAGAGTAGTTTCTGAGAATGCTTCCATCTAGTTTTTATGTGAAGATTTTCCTTTTCCACCACAGGCATCAAAGCCCTCCAAATGTCCACTTGCAGATTCTAGAAGAAGAGGGTTTCAGAGCTGCTCTGTCAAGAGGAAAGTTCAATTCTTGAAGTGGAACACAAACATCACAAAGCAGTTTCTGAGAATGCTTCTGTTTAGTTTTTCTGTGAAGATGAACCCGTTTCCAACGAAATCTTCACAGAGGTCCACATATCCACTTGCAGAATCCAAAGAAAGAGAGTTTCAAAAGTGCTCCATCAACAGGATTGTTCACCTCTGTGAGTTGAATGCAGTCATCACAGGAAACATTCTGAGAATGCTTCTGTCTAGGTTTGATGTGAAGATATACCCGTTTCGAAGGAAGGCCACAAAGTGGTCCAAATATCCACTTGCAGATTCTACAAAAAGAGTGTTTGAAAGCTGAACTATGAAAGCAAGGTTCAACTCTGTGAGTTGAATGCAAACATCACAAAGAAGTTTCTCAGAATGCTTCCGTGTAGTTCTGGGAAGTTTATCCCGTTTCCAACGAAATCCTCAGAGAGGTCCAAATATCCACTTGCAGATTCTACAGAAAGTGTGTTTGGGAACTGCGCCATCTAAGGGAATGTTCAGCTCTGTTAGTTCAATCCAATGATCACTAAGAATTGTCTGTGAATGCTTCCGTTTGGTTTTTAGATGAAGTTATTTCCTTTACTACAGTAGGCCTCAAAGCAGTCCAAATCTCCAATCGCAGATTCTACAAAAAGATTGTTTACAACCTGCTCTATCTATAGGAATGTTCAACTCTGTGAGTCGAATGCAATCATCACAAAGTAGTTTCTGAGAATGCTTCCATCTAGTTTTTATGGGAAGATTTTCCTTTTCCACCACAGGCCTCAAAGCCCTCCAAATGTCCACTTGCAGATTCTAGAAAAAGAGGGTTTCAGAGCTGCTCTGTCAAGAGGAAAGTTCAATTCTTGAAGTGGAACACAAACATCACAAAGCAGTTTCTGAGAATGCTCCTGTTTAGTTTTTCTGTGAAGATGAACCCGTTTCCAACGAAATCTACACAGAGGTCCACATATCCACTTGCAGAATCCAAAGAAAGAGAGTTTCAAAACTGCTCCATCAGCAGGATTGTTCACCTCTGTGAGTTGAATGCAGTCATCACAGGAAACATTCTGAGAATGCTTCTGTCTAGGTTTGATGTGAAGATATACCCGTTTCGAAGGAAGGCCAGAAAGTGGTCCAAATATCCACTTGCAGATTCTACAAAAAGAGTGTTTGAAAGCTGAACTATGAAAGCAAGGTTCAACTCTGTGAGTTGAATGCAAACATCACAAAGAAGTTTCTCAGAATGCTTCCGTGTAGTTCTGGGAAGTTTATCCCGTTTCCAACGAAATCCTCAGAGAAGTCCAAATATCCACTGGCAGATTCTACAGAAAGTGGGTTTGGAAACTGCTCCATCTAAAGGAATGTTCAGCTCTGTTAGTTCAATGCAATGATCACTAAGAATTGTCTGTGAATGCTTCCGTTTGGTTTTTAGATGAAGTTATTTCCTTTACTACAGTAGGCCTCAAAGCAGTCCAAATCTCCAATCGCAGATTCTACAAAAAGATTGTTTACAACCTGCTCTATCTATAGGAATGTTCAACTCTGTGAGTCGAATGCAATCATCACAAAGTAGTTTCTGAGAATGCTTCCATCTAGTTTTTATGTGAAGATTTTCCTTTTCCACCACAGGCCTCAAAGCCCTCCAAATGTCCACTTGCCGATTCTAGAAAAAGAGGGTTTCAGAGCTGCTCTGTCAAGAGGAAAGTTCAATTCTTGAAGTGGAACACAAACATCACAATGCAGTTTCTGAGAATGTTTCTGTTTAGTTTTTCTGTGAAGATGAACCCGTTTCCAACGAAATCTTCACAGAGGTCCACATATCCACTTGCAGAATCCAAAGAAAGAGAGTTTCAAAACTGCTCCATCAGCAGGATTGTTCACCTCTGTGAGTTGAATGCAGTCATCACAGGAAACATTCTGAGAATGCTTCTGTCTAGGTTTGATGTGAAGATATACCCGTTTCGAAGGAAGGCCACAAAGTGGTCCAAATATCCACTTGCAGATTCTGCAAAAAGAGTGTTTGAAAGCTGAACTATGAAAGCAAGGTTCAACTCTGTGAGTTGAATGCAAACATCACAAAGAAGTTTCTCAGAATGCTTCCGTGTAGTTCTGGGAAGTTTATCCCGTTTCCAACGAAATCCTCAGAGAAGTCCAAATATCCACTTGCAGATTCTACAGAAAGTGTGTTTGGAAAATGCTCCATCTAAAGGAATGTTCAGCTCTGTTAGTTCAATCCAATGATCACTAAGAATTGTCTGTGAATGCTTCCGTTTGGTTTTTAGATGAAGTTATTTCCTTTACTACAGTAGGCCTCAAAGCAGTCCAAATCTCCAATCGCAGATTCTACAAAAAGATTGTTTACAACCTGCTCTATCTATAGGAATGTTCAACTCTGTGAGTCGAATGCAATCATCACAAAGTAGTTTCTGAGAATGCTTCCATCTAGTTTTTATGTGAAGATTTTCCTTTTCCACCACAGGCCTCAAAGCCCTCCAAATGTCCACTTGCAGATTCTAGAAAAAGAGGGTTTCAGAGCTGCTCTGTCAAGAGGAAAGTTCAATTCTTGAAGTGGAACACAAACTTCACAAAGCAGTTTCTGAGAATGCTTCTGTTTAGTTTTTCTGTGAAGATGAACCCGTTTCCAACGAAATCTTCACAGAGGTCCACATATCCACTTGCAGAATCCAAAGAAAGAGAGTTTCAAAACTGCTCCATCAGCAGGATTGTTCACGTCTGTGGGTTGAATGCAGTCATCACAGGAAACATTCTGAGAATGCTTCTGTCTAGGTTTGATGTGAAGATATACCCGTTTCGAAGGAAGGCCACAAAGTGGTCCAAATATCCACTTGCAGATTCTACAAAAAGAGTGTTTGAAAGCTGAACTATGAAAGCAAGGTTCAACTCTGTGAGTTGAATGCAAACATCACAAAGAAGTTTCTCAGAATGCTTCCGTGTAGTTCTGGGAAGTTTATCCCGTTTCCAACGAAATCCTCAGAGAGGTCCAAATATCCACTTGCAGATTCTACAGAAAGTGTGTTTGGAAACTGCGCCATCTAAAGGAATGTTCAGCTCTGTTAGTTCAATGCAATGATCACTAAGAATTGTCTGTGAATGCTTCCGTTTGGTTTTTAGATGAAGTTATTTCCTTTACTACAGTAGGCCTCAAAGCAGTCCAAATCTCCAATCGCAGATTCTACAAAAAGATTGTTTACAACCTGCTCTATCTATAGGAATGTTCAACTCTGTGAGTCGAATGCAATCATCACAAAGTAGTTTCTGAGAATGCTTCCGTCTAGTTTTTATGTGAAGATTTTCCTTTTCCACCACAGGCCTCAAAGCCCTCCAAATGTCCACTTGCATATTCTAGAATAAGAGGGTTTCAGAGCTGCTCTGTCAAGAGGAAAGTTCAATTCCTGAAGTGGAACACAAACATCACAAAGCAGTTTCTGAGAATGCTTCTGTTTAGTTTTTCTGTGAAGATAAACCCGTTTCCAATGAAATCTTCACAGAGGTCCACATATCCACCTGCAGAATCCAAAGAAAGAGAGTTTCAAAACTGCTCCATCAGCAGGATTGTTCAACTCTGTGAGTTGAATGCAGTCATCACAGGAAACATTCTGAGAATGCTTCTGTCTAGGTTTGATGTGAAGATATACCCGTTTCGAAGGAAGGCCACAAAGTGGTCCAAATATCCACTTGCAGATTCTACAAAAAGAGTGTTTGAAAGCTGAACTATGAAAGCAAGGTTCAACTCTGTGAGTTGAATGCAAACATCACAAAGAAGTTTCTCAGAATACTTCCGTGTAGTTCTGGGAAGTTTATCCCGTTTCCAACGAAATCCTCAGAGAAGTCCAAATATCCACTTGCAGATTCTACAGAAAGTGTGTTTGGAAACTGCTCCATCTAAAGGAATGTTCAGCTCTGTTAGTTCAATCCAATGATCACTAAGAATTGTCTGTGAATGCTTCCGTTTAGTTTTTAGATGAAGTTATTTCCTTTACTACAGTAGGCCTCAAAGCAGTCCAAATCTCCAATCGCAGATTATACAAAAAGATTGTTTACAACCTGCTCTATCTATAGGAATGTTCAACTCTGTGAGTCGAATGCAATCATCACAAAGTAGTTTCTGAGAATGCTTCCATCTAGTTTTTATGGGAAGATTTTCCTTTTCCACCACAGGCCTCAAAGCCCTCCAAATGTCCACTTGCAGATTCTAGAAAAAGAGGGTTTCAGAGCTGCTCTGTCAAGAGGAAAGTTCAATTCCTGAAGTGGAACACAAACATCACAAAGCCGTTTCTGAGAATGCTCCTGTTTAGTTTTTCTGTGAAGATGAACCCGTTTCCAACGAAATCTTCACAGAGGTCCACATATCCACTTGCAGAATCCAAAGAAAGAGAGTTTCAAAACTGCTCCATCAGCAGGATTGTTCACCTCTGTGAGTTGAATGCAGTCATCACAGGAAACATTCTGAGAATGCTTCTGTCTAGGATTGATGTGAAGATATACCCGTTTCGAAGGAAGGCCACAAAGTGGTCCAAATATCCTCTTGCAGATTCTACAAAAAGAGTGTTTGAAAGCTGAACTATGAAAGCAAGGTTCAACTCTGTGAGTTGAATGCAAACATCACAAAGAAGTTTCTCAGAATGCTTCCGTGTAGTTCTGGGAAGTTTATCCCGTTTCCTACGAAATCCTCAGAGAGGTCAAAATATCCACTTGCAGATTCTACAGAAAGTGTGTTTGGAAACTGCGCCATCTAAAGGAATTTTCAGCTCTGTTAGTTCAATCTAATGATCACTAAGAATTGTCTGTGAATGCTTCCGTTTGGTTTTTAGATGAAGTTATTTCCTTTACTACAGTAGGCCTCAAAGCAGTCCAAATCTCCAATCGCAGATTCTACAAAAAGATTGTTTACAACCTGCTCTATCTATAGGAATGTTCAACTCTGTGAGTCGAATGCAATCATCACAAAGTAGTTTCTGAGAATGCTTCCATCTAGTTTTTATGTGAAGATTTTCCTTTTCCACCACAGGCTTCAAAGCCCTCCAAATGTCCACTTGCAGATTCTAGAAAAAGAGGGTTTCAGAGCTGTTCTGTCAAGAGGAAAGTTCAGTTCCTGAAGTGGAACACAAACATCACAAAGCAGTTTCTGAGAATGCTACTGTTTAGTTTTTCTGTGAAGATCAACCCGTTTCCAACGAAATCTTCGCAGAGTTACACATATCCACTTGCAGAATCCAAAGAAAGGGAGTTTCAAAACTGCTCCATGAGCAGGATTGTTCACCTCTGTGAGTTGAATGCAGTCATCACAGGAAACATTCTGAGAATGCTTCTGTCTAGGTTTGATGTGAAGATATACCCGTTTCGAAGGAAGGCCACAAAGTGGTCCACATATCCACTTGCAGATTCTACAAAAAGAGTCTTTGAAAGCTGAACTATGAAAGCAAGGTTCAACTCTGTGAGTTGAATGCAAACATCACAAAGAAGTTTCTCAGAATGCTTCCGTGTAGTTCTGGGAAGTTTATCCCGTTTCCAACGAAATCCTCAGAGAGGTCCAAATATCCACTTGCAGATTCTACAGAAAGTGTGTTTGGAAACTGCGCCATCTAAAGGAATGTTCAGCTCTGTTAGTTCAATCCAATGATCACTAAGAATTGTCTGTGAATGCTTCCGTTTGGTTTTTAGATGAAGTTATTTCCTTTACTACAGTAGGCCTCAAAGCAGTCCAAATCTCCAATCGCAGATTCTACAAAAACATTGTTTACAACCTGCTCTATCTATAGTAATGTTCAGCTCTGTGAGTCGAATGCAATCATCACAAAGTAGTTTCTGAGAATGCTTCCATCTAGTTTTTATGTGAAGATTTTCCTTTTGCACCACAGGTCTCAAAACCCTCCAAATGTCCACTTGCAGATTCTAGAAAAAGAGGTTTTCAGAGCTGCTCTGTCAAGAGGAAAGTTCAATTCTTGAAGTGGAACACAAACATCACAAAGCAGTTTCTGAGAATGCTCCTGTTTAGTTTTTCTGTGAAGATGAACCCGTTTCCAACGAAATCTTCACAGAGGTCCACATATCAACTTGCAGAATCCAAAGAAAGAGAGTTTCAAAACTGCTCCATCAGCAGGATTGTTCACCTCTGTGAGTTGAACGCAGTCATCACAGGGAAACATTCTGAGAATGCTTCTGTCTAGGATTGATGTGAAGATATACCCGTTTCGAAGGAAGGCCACAAAGTGGTCCAAATATCCACTTGCAGATTCTACAAAAAGAGTGTTTGAAAGCTGAACTATGAAAGCAAGGTTCAACTCTGTGAGTTGAATGCAAACATCACAAAGAAGTTTCTCAGAATGCTTCCGTGTAGTTCTGGGAAGTTTAGCCCGTTTCCAACGAAATCCTCAGAGAGGTCCAAATATCCACTTGCAGATTCTACAGAAAGTGTGTTTGGAAACTGCGCCATCTAAGGGAATGTTCAGCTCTGTTAGTTCAATCCAATGATCACTAAGAATTGTCTGTGAATGCTTCTGTTTGGTTTTTAGATGAAGTTATTTCCTTTACTACAGTAGGCCTCAAAGCAGTCCAAATCTCCAATCGCAGATTCTACAAAAAGATTGTTTACAACCTGCTCTATCTATAGGAATGTTCAACTCTGTGGGTCGAATGCAATCATCACAAAGTAGTTTCTGAGAATGCTTCCATCTAGTTTTTATGTGAAGATTTTCCTTTTCCACCACAGGCCTCAAAGCCCTCCAAATGTCCACTTGCAGACTCTAGAAAAAGAGGGTTTCAGAGCTGCTCTGTCAAGAGGAAAGTTCAATTCTTGAAGTGGAACACAAAAATCACAAAGCAGTTTCTGAGAATGCTTCTGTTTAGTTTTTCTGTGAAGATGAACCCGTTTCCAACGAAATCTTCACAGAGGTCC
The DNA here is from genome assembly GCF_000001405.40 of Homo sapiens. Taxonomy (NCBI): domain Eukaryota; kingdom Metazoa; phylum Chordata; class Mammalia; order Primates; family Hominidae; genus Homo; species Homo sapiens. Next base: position 54,329,414 of record NC_000011.10, on the reverse strand, counting down.
ACATATCCACTTGCAGAATCCAAAGAAAGAGAGTTTCAAAACTGCTCCATCAGCAGGATTGTTCACCTCTGTGAGTTGAATGCAGTCATCACAGGAAACATTCTGAGAATGCTTCTGTCTAGGTTTGATGTGAAGATATACCCGTTTCCAAGGAAGGCCACAAAGTGGTCCAAATATCCACTTGCAGATTCTACAAAAGGAGTGTTTGAAAGCTGAACTATGAAAGCAAGGTTCAACTCTGTGAGTTGAATGCAAACATCACAAAGAAGTTTCTCACAATGCTTCCGTGTAGTTCTGGGAAGTTTATCCCGTTTCCAACGAAATCCTCAGAGAGGTCCAAATATCCACTTGCAGATTCTACAAAAAGTGTGTTTGGAAACTGCGCCATCTAAAGGAATGTTCAGCTCTGTTAGTTCAATGCAATGATCACTAAGAATTGTCTGTGAGTGCTTCCGTTTGGTTTTTAGATGAAGTTATTTCCTTTACTACATTAAGCCTCAAAGCAGTCCAAATCTCCAATCGCAGATTCTACAAAAAGATTGTTTACAACCTGCTCTATCTATAGGAATGTTCAACTCTGTGAGTCGAATGCAATCATCACAAAGTAGTTTCTGAGAATGCTTCCATCTAGTTTTTATGGGAAGATTTTCCTTTTCCACCACAGGCCTCAAAGCCCTCCAAATGTCCACTTGCAGATTCTAGAAAAAGAGGGTTTCAGAGCTGCTCTGTCAAGAGGAAAGTTCAATTCTTGAAGTGGAACACAAACATCACAAAGCAGTTTCTGAGAATGCTTCTGTTTAGTTTTTCTGTGAAGATGAACCCGTTTCCAACGAAATCTTCACAGAGGTCCACATATCCACTTGCAGAATCCAAAGAAAGAGAGTTTCAAAACTGCTCCATCAGCAGGATTGTTCACCTCTGTGAGTTGAATGCAGTCATCACAGGAAACATTCTGAGAATGCTTCTGTCTAGGTTTGATGTGAAGATATACCCGTTTCGAAGGAAGGCCACAAAGTGGTCCAAATATCCACTTGCAGATTCTACAAAAAGAGTGTTTGAAAGCTGAACTATGAAAGCAAGGTTCAACTCTGTGAGTTGAATGCAAACATCACAAAGAAGTTTCTCACAATGCTTCCGTGTAGTTCTGGGAAGTTTATCCCGTTTCCAACGAAATCCTCAGAGAGGTCCAAATATCCACTTGCAGATTCTACAGAAAGTGTGTTTGGAAACTGCGCCATCTAAAGGAATGTTCAGCTCTGTTAGTTCAATCCAATGATCACTATGAATTGTCTGTGAATGCTTCCGTTTGGTTTTTAGATGAAGTTATTTCCTTTACTACAGTAGGCCTCAAAGCAGTCGAAATCTCCAATCGCAGATTCTGCAAAAAGATTGTTTACAACCTGCTCTATCTATAGGAATGTTCAACTCTGTGAGTCGAATGCAATCATCACAAAGTAGTTTCTGAGAATGCTTCCATCTAGTTTTTATGTGAAGATTTTCCTTTTCCACCACAGGCCTCAAAGCCCTCCAAATGTCCACTTGCAGATTCTAGAAAAAGAGGGTTTCAGAGCTGCTCTGTCAAGAGGAAAGTTCAATTCTTGAAGTGGAACACAAACATCACAAAGCAGTTTCTGAGAATGCTCCTGTTTAGTTTTTCTGTGAAGATGAACCCGTTTCCAACGAAATCTTCACAGAGGTCCACATATCCACTTGCAGAATCCAAAGAAAGAGAGTTTCAAAAGTGCTCCATCAGCAGGATTGTTCACCTCTGTGAGTTGAATGCAGTCATCACAGGAAACATTCTGAGAATGCTTCTGTCTAGGTTTGATGTGAAGATATTCCCGTTTCGAAGGAAGGCCACAAAGTGGTCCAAATATCCACTTGCAGATTCTACAAAAAGAGTGTTTGGAAGCTGAACTATGAAAGCAAGGTTCAAGTCTGTGAGTTGAATGCAACATCACAAAGAAGTTTCTGAGAATGCTTCTGTGCAGTTCTGGGAATTTATCCCGTTTCCAACGAAATCCTCAGAGAGTTCCCAATATCCACTTGCAGATTCTACAGAAAGTGTGTTTGGAAACTGCGCCATCTAAAGGAATGTTCAGCTCTCTTAGTTCAATCCAATGATCACAAAGAATTTTCTGTGAATGCTTCCATTTGGTTTTTAGATGAAGTTATTTCCTTTACTACAGTAGGCCTCAAAGCAGTCCAAATCTCCAATCGCAGATTCTACAAAAAGATTGTTTACAACCTGCTCTATCTATAGGAATGTTCAACTCTGTGAGTCGAATGCAATCATCACAAAAAAGTTTCTGAGAATGCTTCCATCTAGTTTTTATGTGGAGATTTTCCTTTTCCACCACAGGCCTCAAAGCCCTCCAAATGTCCACTTGCAGATTCTAGAATAAGAGGGTTTCAGAGCTGCTCTGTCAAGAGGAAAGTTCAATTCCTGAAGTGGAACACAAACATCACAAAGCAGTTTCTGAGAATGTTTCTTTTTAGTTTTTCTGGGAAGATGAACCCGTTTCCAACGAAATCTTCACAGAGGTCCACATATCCACTTGCAGAATCCAAAGAAAGAGAGTTTCAAAAGTGCTTCATCAACAGGATTGTTCACCTCTGTGAGTTGAATGCAGTCATCACAGGAAACATTCTGAGAATGCTTCTGTCTAGGTTTGATGTGAAGATATACCCGTTTCGAAGGAAGGCCAAAAAGTGGTCCAAATATCCACTTGCAGATTCTACAAAAAGAGTGTTTGAAAGCTGAACTATGAAAGCAAGGTTCAACTCTGTGAGTTGAATGCAAACATCACAAAGAAGTTTCTCAGAATGCTTTCCGTGTAGTTCTGGGAAGTTTATCCCGTTTCCAACGAAATCCTCAGAGAAGTCCAAATATCCCCTTGCAGATTCTACAGAAAGTGGGTTTGGAAACTGCTCCATCTAAAGGAATGTTCAGCTCTGTTAGTTCAATCCAATAATCACTAAGAATTGTCTGTGAATGCTTCCGTTTGGTTTTTAGATGAAGTTATTTCCTTTACTACAGTAGGCCTCAAAGCAGTCGAAATCTCCAATCGCAGATTCTACAAAAAGATTGTTTACAACCTGCTCTATCTATAGGAATGTTCAACTCTGTGAGTTGAATGCAATCATCACAAAGTAGTTTCTGAGAATGCTTCCATCTAGTGTTTATGTGAAGATTTTCCTTTTCCACCACAGGCCTCAAAGCCCTCCAAATGTCCACTTGCAGACTCTAGAAAAAGAGGGTTTCAGAGCTGCTCTGTCAAGAGGAAAGTTCAATTCTTGAAGTGGAACACAAACATCACAAAGCAGTTTCTGAGAATACTTCTGTTTAGTTTTTCTGTGAAGATGAACCCGTTTCCAACGAAATCTTCACAGAGGTCCACATATCCACTTGCAGAATCCAAAGAAAGAGAGTTTCAAAACTGCTCCATCAGCAGGATTGTTCACCTCTGTGAGTTGAATGCAGTCATCACAGGAAACATTCTGAGAATGCTTCTGTCTAGGTTTGATGTGAAGATATACCCGTTTCGAAGGAAGGCCACAAAGTGGTCCAAATATCCACTTGCAGATTCTACAAAAAGAGTGTTTGAAAGCTGAACTATGAAACCAAGGTTCAACTCTGTGAGTTGAATGCAAACTTCACAAAGAATTGTCTCACAATGCTTCCGTGTAGTTCTGGGAAGTTTATCCCGTTTCCAACGAAATCCTCAGAGAGGTCCAAATATCCACTTGCAGATTCTACAGAAAGTGTGTTTGGAAACTGCGCCATCTAAAGGAATGTTCAGCTCTGTTAGTTCAATGCAATGATCACTAAGAATTGTCTGTGAATGCTTCCGTTTGGTTTTTAGATGAAGTTATTTCCTTTACTACAGTAGGCCTCAAAGCAGTCCAAATCTCCAATCGCAGATTCTACAAAAAGATTGTTTACAACCTGCTCTATCTATAGGAATGTTCAACTCTGTGAGTCGAATGCAATCATCACAAAGTAGTTTCTGAGAATGCTTCCATCTAGTTTTTATGTGAAGATTTTCCTTTTCCACCACAGGCCTCAAAGCCCTCCAAATGTCCACTTGCAGATTCTAGAATAAGAGGGTTTCAGAGCTGCTCTGTCAAGAGGAAAGTTCAATTCCTGAAGTGGAACACAAACATCACAAAGCAGTTTCTGAGAATGCTTCTGTTTAGTTTTTCTGTGAAGATGAACCCGTTTCCAACGAAATCTTCACAGAGGTCCACATATCCACTTGCAGAATCCAAAGAAAGAGAGTTTCAAAACTGCTCCATCAACAGGATTGTTCACCTCTGTGAGTTGAATGCAGTCATAACAGGAAACATTCTGAGAATGCTTCTGTCTAGGTTTGATGTGAAGATATACCCGTTTCGAAGGAAGGCCACAAAGTGGTCCAAATATCCACTTGCAGATTCTACAAAAAGAGTGTTTGAAAGCTGAACTATGAAAGCAAGGTTCAACTCTGTGAGTGGAATGCAAACATCACAAAGAAGTTTCTCACAATGCTTCCGTGTAGTTCTGGGAAGTTTATCCCGTTTCCAACGAAATCCTCAGAGAAGTCCAAATATCCACGTGCAGATTCTACAGAAAGTGTGTTTGGAAACAGCGCCATCTAAAGGAGTGTTCAGCTCTGTTAGTTCAATGCAATGATCACTAAGAATTGTCTGTGAATGCTTCCGTTTGGTTTTTAGATGAAGTTATTTCCTTTACTACAGTAGGCCTCAAAGCAGTCCAAATCTCCAATCGCAGATTCTACAAAAAGATTGTTTACAACCTGCTCTATCTATAGGAATGTTCAACTCTGTGAGTCGAAAGCCATCATCACAAAGTAGTTTCTGAGAATGCTTCCATCTAGTTTTTATGTGAAGATTTTCCTTTTCCACCACAGGCCTCAAAGCCCTCCAAATGTCCACTTGCAGATTCTAGAAAAAGAGGGTTTCAGAGCTGCTCTGTCAAGAGGAAAGTTCAATTCTTGAAGTGGAACACAAACATCACAAAGCAGTTTCTGAGAATGCTTCTGTTTAGTTTTTCTGTGAAGATGAACCCGTTTCCAACGAAATCTTCACAGAGGTCCACATATCCACTTGCAGAATCCAAAGAAAGAGAGTTTCAAAACTGCTCCATCAGCAGGATTGTTCACCTCTGTGAGTTGAATGCAGTCATCACAGGAAACATTCTGAGAATGCTTCTGTCTAGGTTTGATGTGAAGATATATCCGTTTCGAAGGAAGGCCACAAAGTGGTCCAAATATCCACTTGCAGATTCTACAAAAAGAGTGTTTGAAAGCTGAACTATGAAAACAAGGTTCAACTCTGTGAGTTGAATGCAAATATCACAAAGAAGTTTCTCAGAATGCTTCCGTGTAGTTCTGGGAAGTTTATCCCGTTTCCAACGAAATCCTCAGAGAGGTCCAAATATCCACTTGCAGATTCTACAGAAAGTGTGTTTGGAAACTGCGCCATCTAAAGGAATGTTCAGCTCTGTTAGTTCAATCCAATGATCACTAAGTATTGTCTGTGAATGCTTCCGTTTGGTTTTTAGATGAAGTTATTTCCTTTACTACAGTAGGCCTCAAAGCAGTCCAAATCTCCAATCGCAGATTCTACAAAAAGATTGTTTACAACCTGCTCTATCTATAGGAATGTTCAACTCTGTGAGTCGAATGCAATCATCACAAAGTAGTTTCTGAGAATGCTTCCATCAAGTTTTTATGTGAAGATTTTCCTTTTCCACCACAGGCCTCAAAGCCCTCCAAATGTCCACTTGCAGATTCTAGAAAAAGAGGGTTTCAGAGCTGCTCTGTCAAGAGGAAAGTTCAATTCTTGAAGTGGAACACAAACATCACAAAGCAGTTTCCTGAGAATGCTTCTGTTTAGTTTTTCTGTGAAGATGAACCCGTTTCCAACGAAATCTTCAGAGAGGTCCACATATCCACTTGCAGAATCCAAAGAAAGAGAGTTTCAAAACTGCTCCATCAGCAGGATTGTTCACCTCTGTGAGTTGAATGCAGTCATCACAGGAAACATTCTGAGAATGCTCCTGTTTAGTTTTTCTGTGAAGATGAACCCGTTTCGAAGGAAGGCCCCAAAGTGGTCCAAATATCCACTTGCAGATTCTACAAAAAGAGTGTTTGAAAGCTGAACTATGAAAGCAAGGTTCAACTCTGTGAGTTGAATGCAAACATCACAAAGAAGTTTCTCAGAATGCTTCCCTGTAGTTCTGGGAAGTTTATCCCGTTTCCAACGAAATCCTCAGAGAAGTCCAAATATCCACTTGCAGATTCTACAGAAAGTGGGTTTGGAAACTGCTTCATCTAAAGGAATGTTCAGCTCTGTTAGTTCAATGCAATGATCACTAAGAATTGTCTGTGAATGCTTCCGTTTAGTTTTTAGATGAAGTTATTTCCTTTACTACAGTAGGCCTCAAAGCAGTCCAAATCTCCAATCGCAGATTCTACAAAAAGATTGTTTACAACCTGCTCTATCTATAGGAATATTCAACTCTGTGAGTCGAGTGCAATCATCACAAAGTAGTTTCTGAGAATGCTTCCATCTAGTTTTTATGTGAAGATTTTCCTTTTCCACCACAGGCCTCAAAGCCCTCCAAATGTCCACTTGCAGATTCTAGAATAAGAGGATTTCAGAGCTGCTCTGTCAAGAGGAAAGTTCAATTCCTGAAGTGGAACACAAACATCACAAAGCAGTTTCTGAGAATGCTTCTGTTTAGTTTTTCTGTGAAGATGAACCCGTTTCCAACGAAATCTTCACAGAGGTCCACATATCCACTTGCAGAATCCAAAGAAAGAGAGTTTCAAAACTGCTCCATCAGCAGGATTGTTCACCTCTGTGAGTTGAATGCAGTCATCACAGGAAACATTCTGAGAATGCTTCTGTCTAGGTTTGATGTGAAGATATACCCGTTTCGAAGGAAGGCCACAAAGTGGTCCAAATATCCACTTGCAGATTCTACAAAAAGAGTGTTTGAAAGCTGAACTATGAAAGCAAGGTTCAACTCTGTGAGTTGAATGAAAACATCACAAAGAAGTTTCTCACAATGCTTCCGTGTAGTTCTGGGAAGTTTATCCCGATTCCAACGAAATCCTCAGAGAAGTCCAAATATCCACTTGCAGATTCTACAGAAAGTGTGTTTGGAAACTGCTCCATCTAAAGGAATGTTCAGCTCTGTTAGTTCAATCCAATGATCACTAAGAATTGTCTGTGAATGCTTCGGTTTGGTTTTTAGCTGAAGTTATTTCCTTTACTACAGTAGGCCTCAAAGCAGTCCAAATCTCCAATCGCAGATTCTACAAAAAGATTGTTTACAACCTGCTCTATCTATAGGAATGTTCAACTCTGTGAGTCGAATGCAATCATCACAAAGTAGTTTCTGAGAATGCTTCCATCTAGTTTTTATGTGAAGATTTTCCTTTTCCACCACAGGCCTCAAAGCCCTCCAAATGTCCACTTGCAGATTCTAGAAAAAGAGGGTTTCAGAGCTGCTCTGTCAAGAGGAAAGTTCAATTCCTGAAGTGGAACACAAACATCACAAAGCAGTTTCTGAGAATGCTCCTGTTTAGTTTTTCTGTGAAGATGAACCCGTTTCCAACGAAATCTTCACAGAGGTCCACATATCCACTTGCAGAATCCAAAGAAAGAGAGTTTCAAAACTGCTCCATCAGAAGGATTGTTCACCTCTGTGAGTTGAATGCAGTCATCACAGGAAACATTCTGAGAATGCTTCTGTCTAGGTTTGATGTGAAGATATACCCTTTTCGAAGGAAGGCCACAAAGTGGTCCAAATATCCACTTGCAGATTCTACAAAAAGAGTGTTTGAAAGCTGAACTATGAAAGCAAGGTGCAAATCCTGTGAGTTGAATGCAAACATCACAAAGAAGTTTCTCAGAATGCTTTCCGTGTAGTTCTGGGAATTTTATCCCTTTTCCAACGATATCCTCAGAGAGGTCCAAATATCCACTTGCAGATTCTACAGAAAGTGTGTTTGGAAACTGCGCCATCTAAAGCAATGTTCAGCTCTGTTAGTTCAATGCAATGATCACTAAGAATTGTCTGTGAATGCTTCCGTTTGGTTTTTAGATGAAGTTATTTCCTTTACTACAGTAGGCCTCAAAGCAGTCCAAATCTCCAATCGCAGATTCTACAAAAAGATTGTTTACAACCTGCTCTATGTATAGGAATGTTCAACTCTGTGAGTCGAATGCAATCATCACAAAGTAGTTTCTGAGAATGCTTCCATCTAGTTTTTATGTGAAGATTTTCCTTTTCCACCACAGGCCTCAAAGCCCTCCAAATGTCCACTTGCAGATTCTAGAATAAGAGGGTTTCAGAGCTGCTCTGTCAAGAGGAAAGTACAATTCCTGAAGTGGAACACAAACATCACAAAGCAGTTTCTGAGAATGCTCCTGTTTAGTTTTTCTGTGAAGATGAACCCGTTTCCAACGAAATCTACACAGAGGTCCACATATCCACTTGCAGAATCCAAAGAAAGAGAGTTTCAAAACTGCTCCATCAGCAGGATTGTTCACCTCTGTGAGTTGAATGCAGTCATCACAGGAAACATTCTGAGAATGCTTCTGTCTAGGTTTGATGTGAAGATATACCCTTTTCGAAGGAAGGCCACAAAGTGGTCCAAATATCCACTTGCAGATTCTACAAAAAGAGTGTTTGAAAGCTGAACTATGAAAGCAAGGTTCAACTCTGTGAGTTGAATGCAAACATCACAAAGAAGTTTCTCACAATGCTTCCGTGTAGTTCTGGGAAGTTTATCCCGTTTCCAACGAAATCCTCAGAGAAGTCCAAATATCCACTTGCAGATTCTACAGAAAGTGTGTTTGGAAACTGCTCCATTTAAAGGAATGTTCAGCTCTGTTAGTTCAATCCAATGATCACTAAGAATTGTCTGTGAATGCTTCCGTTTGGTTTTTAGATGAAGTTATTTCCTTTACTACAGTAGGCCTCAAAGCAGTCCAAATCTCCAATCGCAGATTCTACAAAAAGATTGTTTACAACCTGCTCTATGTATAGGAATGTTCAACTCTGTGAGTCGAATGCAATCATCACAAAGTAGTTTCTGAGAATGCTTCCATCTAGTTTTTATGTGAAGATTTTCCTTTTCCACCACAGGCCTCAAAGCCCTCCAAATGTCCACTTGCAGATTCTAGAATAAGAGGGTTTCAGAGCTGCTCTGTCAAGAGGAAAGTTCAATTCCTGAAGTGGAACACAAACATCACAAAGCAGTTTCTGAGAATGCTTCTGTTTAGTTTTTCTGTGAAGATGAACCCGTTTCCAACGAAATCTTCACTGAGGTCTACATATCCACTTGCAGAATCCAAAGAAAGAGAGTTTCAAAACTGCTCCATCAGCAGGATTGTTCACCTCTGTGAGTTGAATGCAGTCATCACAGGAAACATTCTGAGAATGCTTCTGTCTAGGTTTGATGTGAAGATATACCCGTTTCGAAGGAAGGCCACAAAGTGGTCCAAATATCCACTTGCAGATTCCACAAAAAGAGTGTTTGAAAGCTGAACTATGAAAGCAAGGTTCAACTCTGTGAGTTGAATGCAAACATCACAGAGAAGTTTCTCACAATGCTTCCGTGTAGTTCTGGGAAGTTTATCCCGTTTCCAACGAAATCCTCAGAGAAGTCCAAATATCCACTTGCAGATTCTACAGAAAGTGTGTTTGGAAACTGCGCCATCTAAAGGAATGTTCAGCTCTGTTAGTTCAATGCAATGATCACTAAGAATTGTCTGTGAATGCTTCCGTTTGGTTTTTAGATGAAGTTATTTCCTTTACTACAGTAGGCCTCAAAGCAGTCCAAATCTCCAATCGCAGATTCTACAAAAACATTGTTTACAACCTGCTCTATCTATAGGAATGTTCAACTCTGTGAGTCGAATGCAATCATCACAAAGTAGTTTCTGAGAATGCTTCCATCTAGTTTTTATGTGAAGATTTTCCTTTTCCACCACAGGCCTCAAAGCCCTCCAAATGTCCACTTGCAGATTCTAGAATAAGAGGGTTTTAGAGCTGCTCTGTCAAGAGGAAAGTTCAATTCCTGAAGTGGAACACAAACATCACAAAGCAGTTTCTGAGAATGCTTCTGTTTAGTTTTTCTGTGAAGATGAACCCGTTTCCAACGAAATCTTCACAGAGGTCCACATATCCACTTGCAGAATCCAAAGAAAGAGAGTTTCAAAACTGCTCCATCAGCAGGATTGTTCACCTCTGTGAGTTGAATGCAGTCATCACAGGAAACATTCTGAGAATGCTTCTGTCTAGGTTTGATGTGAAGATATACCCCTTTCGAAGGAAGGCCACAAAGTGGTCCAAATATCCACTTGCAGATTCTACAAAAAGAGTGTTTGAAAGCTGAACTATGAAAGCAAGGTTCAACTCTGTGAGTTGAATGCAAACATCACAAAGAAGTTTCTCACAATGCTTCCGTGTAGTTCTGGGAAGTTTATCCCGTTTCCAACGAAATCCTCAGAGAAGTCCAAATATCCAATTGCAGATTCTACAGAAAGTGGGTTTGGAAACTGCTCCATCTAAAGGAATGTTCAGCTCTGTTAGTTCAATCCAATGATCACTAAGAATTGTCTGTGAATGCTTCCGTTTGGTTTTTAGATGAAGTTATTTCCTTTACTACAGTAGGCCTCAAAGCAGTCCAAATCTCCAATCGCAGATTCTACAAAAAGATTGTTTACAACCTGCTCTATCTATAGGAATGTTCAACTCTGTGAGTCGAATGCAATCATCACAAAGGAGTTTCTGAGAATGCTTCCATCTAGTTTTTATGTGAAGATTTTCCTTTTCCACCACAGGCCTCAAAGCCCTCCAAATGTCCACTTGCAGATTTTAGAATAAGAGGGTTTCAGAGCTGCTCTGTCAAAAGGAAAGTTCAATTCTTGAAGTGGAACACAAACATCACAAAGCAGTTTCTGAGAATGCTCCTGTTTAGTTTTTCTGTGAAGATGAACCCGTTTCCAACGAAATCTTCACAGAGGTCCACATATCCACTTGCAGAATCCAAAGAAAGAGAGTTTCAAAACTGCTCCATCAACAGGATTGTTCACCTCTGTAAGTTGAATGCAGTCATCACAGGAAACATTCTGAGAATGCTTCTGTCTAGGTTTGATGTGAAGATATACCCGTTTCGAAGGAAGGCCACAAAGTGGTCCAAATATCCACTTGCAGATTCTACAAAAAGAGTGTTTGAAAGCTGAACTATGAAAGCAAGGTTCAACTCTGTGAGTTGAATGCAAACATCACAAAGAATTTTCTCAGAATGCTTCCGTGTAGTTCTGGGAAGTTTATCCCGTTTCCAACGAAATCCTCAGAGAAGTCCAAATATCCACTTGCAGATTCTACAGAAAGTGTGTTTGGAAACTGCTCCATCTAAAGGAATGTTCAGCTCTGTTAGTTCAATGCAATGATCACTAAGAATTGTCTGTGAATGCTTCCGTTTGGTTTTTAGATGAAGTTATTTCCTTTACTACAGTAGGCCTCAAAGCAGTCCAAATCTCCAATCGCAGATTCTACAAAAAGATTGTTTACAACCTGCTCTATCTATAGGAATGTTCAACTCTGTGAGTCGAATGCAATCATCACAAAGTAGTTTCTGAGAATGCTTCCATCTAGTTTTTATGTGAAGATTTTCCTTTTCCACCACAGGCCTCAAAGCCCTCCAAATGTCCACTTGCAGATTCTAGAAAAAGAGGGTTTCAGAGCTGCTCGGTCAAGAGGAAAGTTCAATTCTTGAAGTGGAACACAAACATCACAAAGCAGTTTCTGAGAATGCTTCTGTTTAGTTTTTCTGTGAAGATGAACCCGTTTCCAACGAAATCTTCACAGAGGTCCACATATCCACTTGCAGAATCCAAAGAAAGAGAGTTTCAAAACTGCTCCATCAGCAGGATTGTTCACCTCTGTGAGTTGAATGCAGTCATCACAGGAAACATTCTGAGAATGCTTCTGTCTAGGTTTGATGTGAAGATATACCCGTTTCGAAGGAAGGCCACAAAGTGGTCCAAATATCCACTTGCAGATTCTACAAAAAGAGTGTTTGAAAGCTGAACTATGAAAGCAAGGTTCAACTCTGTGAGTTGAATGCAAACATCACAAAGAAGTTTCTCAGCATGCTTCCGTGTAGTTCTGGGAATTTTATCCCGTTTCCAACGAAATCCTCAGAGAGGTCCAAATATCCACTTGCAGATTCTACAGAAAGTGTGTTTGGAAACTGCGCCATCTAAAGCAATGTTCAGCTCTGTTAGTTCAATGCAATGATCACTAAGAATTGTCTGTGAATGCTTCCGTTTGGTTTTTAGATGAAGTTATTTCCTTTACTACAGTAGGCCTCAAAGCAGTCCAAATCTCCAATCGCAGATTCTACAAAAAGATTGTGTACAACCTGCTCTATCTATAGGAATGTTCAACTCTGTGAGTCGAATGCAATCATCACAAAGTAGTTTCTGAGAATGCTTCCATCTAGTATTTATGTGAAGATTTCCCTTTTCCACCACAGGCCTCAAAGCCCTCCAAATGTCCACTGGCAGATTCTAGAAAAAGAGGGTTTCAGAGCTGCTCTGTCAAGAGGAAAGTTCAATTCCTGAAGTGGAACACAAACATCACAAAGCAGTTTCTGAGAATGCTTCTGTTTAGTTTTTCTGTGAAGATGAACCCGTTTCCAACGAAATCTTCACAGAGGTCCACATATCAACTTGCAGAATCCAAAGAAAGAGAGTTTCAAAACTGCTCCATCAGCAGGGTTGTTCACCTCTGTGAGTTGAATGCAGTCATCACAGGAGACATCCTGAGAATGCTTCTGTCTAGGTTTGATGTGAAGATATACCCGTTTCGAAGGAAGGCCACAAAGTGGTCCAAATATCCACTTGCAGATTCTACAAAAAGAGTGTTTGAAAGCTGAACTATGAAAGCAAGGTTCAACTCTGTGAGTTGAATGCAAATATCACAAAGAAGTTTCTCAGCATGCTTCCCTGTAGTTCTGGGAAGCATATCCCGTTTCCAACGAAATCCTCAGAGAAATCCAAATATCCACTTGCTGATTCTACAGAAAGTGGGTTTGGAAACTGCTCCATCTAAAGGAATGTTCAGCTCTGTTAGTTCAATCCAATGATCACTAAGAATTTTCTGTGAATGCTTCCGTTTGGTTTTTAGATGAAGTTATTTCCTTTACTACAGTAGGCCTCAAAGCAGTCCAAATCTCCAATCGCAGATTCTACAAAAAGATTGTTTACAACCTGCTCTATCTATAGGAATGTTCAACTCTGTGAGTCGAATGCAATCATCACAAAGTAGTTTCTGAGAATGCTTCCATCTAGTTTTTATGTGACGATTTTCCTTTTCCACCACAGGCCTCAAAGCCCTCCAAATGTCCACTTGCAGATTCTAGAAAAAGAGGGTTTCAGAGCTGCTCTGTCAAGAGGAAAGTTCAATTCCTTAAGTGGAACACAAACATCACAAAGCAGTTTCTTAGAATGCTTCTGTTTAGTTTTTCTGTGAAGATGAACCCGTTTCCAACGAAATCTTCACAGAGGTCCACATATCCACTTGCAGAATCCAAAGAAAGAGAGTTTCAAAACTGCTCCATCAGCAGGATTGTTCACCTCTGTGAGTTGAATGCAGTCATCACAGGAAACATTCTGAGAATGCTTCTGTCTAGGTTTGATGTGAAGATATACCCGTTTCGAAGGAAGGCCACAAAGTGGTCCAAATATCCACTTGCAGATTCTACAAAAAGAGTGTTTGAAAGCTGAACTATGAAAGCAAGGTTCAACTCTGTGAGTTGAATGCAAACATCACAAAGAAGTTTCTCAGAATGCTTCCGTGTAGTTCTGGGAAGTTTATCCCGTTTCCAACGAAATCCTCAGAGAAGTCCAAATATCCACTTGCAGATTCTACAGAAAGTGTGTTTGGAAACTGCGCCATCTAAAGGAATGTTCAGCTCTGTTAGTTCAATGCAATGATCACTAAGAATTGTCTGTGAATGCTTCCGTTTGGTTTTTAGATGAAGTTATTTCCTTTACTACAGTAGGCCTCAAAGCAGTCCAAATCTCCAATCGCAGATTCTACAAAAAGATTGTTTACAACCTGCTCTATCTATAGGAATGTTCAACTCCGTGAGTCGAATGCAATCATCACAAAGTAGTTTCTGAGAATGCTTCCATCTAGTTTTTATGTGAAGATTTTCCTTTTGCACCACAGGCCTCAAAGCCCTCCAAATGTCCACTTGCAGATTCTAGAAAAAGAGGGTTTCAGAGCTGCTCTGTCAAGAAGAAAGTTCAATTCTTGATGTGGAACAAAAACATCACAAAGCAGTTTCTGAGAATGCTCCTGTTTAGTTTTTCTGTGAAGATGAGCCCGTTTCCAACGAAATCTTCACAGAGGTCCACATATCCACTTGCAGAATCCAAAGAAAGAGAGTTTCAAAACTGCTCCATCAGCAGGATTGTTCACCTTCTGTGAGTTGAATGCAGTCATCACAGGAAACATTCTGAGAATGCTTCTGTCTAGGTTTGATGTGAAGATATAGCCGTTTCGAAGGAAGGCCACAAAGTGGTCCAAATATCCACTTGCAGATTCTACAAAAAGAGTGTTTGAAAGCTGAACTATGAAAGCAAGGTTCAACTCTGTGAGTTGAATGCAAACATCCAAAGAAGTTTCTCAGAATGCTTCCGTGTAGTTCTGGGAAGTTTATCCCGTTTCCAACGAAATCCTCAGAGAAGTCCAAATATCCACTTGCAGATTCTACAGAAAGTGTGTTTGGAAACTGCTCCATCTAAAGGAATGTTCAGCTCTGTTAGTTCAATCCAATGATCACTAAGAATTGTCTGTGAATGCTTCCGTTTGGTTTTTAGATGAAGTTATTTCCTTTACTACAGTAGGCCTCAAAGCAGTCCAAATCTCCAATCGCAGATTCTACAAAAAGATTGTTTACAACCTGCTCTATCTATAGGAATGTTCAACTCTGTGAGTCGAATGCAATCATCACAAATAGTTTCTGAGAATGCTTCCATCTAGTTTTTATGGGAAGATTTTCCTTTTCCACCACAGGCCTCAAAGCCCTCCAAATGTCCACTTGCAGATTCTAGAAAAAGAGGGTTTCAGAGCTGCTCTGTCAAGAGGAAAGTTCAATTCTTGAAGTGGAACACAAACATCACAAAGCAGTTTCTGAGATTGCTTCTGTTTAGTTTTTCTGTGAAAATGAACCCGTTTCCAACGAAATCTTCACAGAGGTCCACATATCCACTTGCAGAATCCAAAGGAAGAGAGATTCAAAACTGCTCCATCAACAGGATTGTTCACCTCTGTGAGTTGAATGCAGTCATCACAGGAAACATTCTGAGAATGCTTCTGTCTAGGTTTCATGTGAAGATATACGCGTTTCGAAGGAAGGCCACAAAGTGGTCCAAATATCCACTTGCAGATTCTACAAAAAGAGTGTTTGAAAGCTGAACTATGAAAGCAAGGTTCAACTCTGTGAGTTGAATGCAAACATCACAAAGAAGTTTCTCAGAATGCTTCCGTGTAGTTCTGGGAAGTTTATCCCGTTTCCAACGAAATCCTCAGAGAAGTCCAAATATCCACTTGCAGATTCTACAGAAAGTGTGTTTGGAAACTGCTCCATCTAAAGGAATGTTCAGCTCTGTTAGTTCAATCCAATGATCACTAAGAATTGTCTGTGAATGCTTCCGTTTGGTTTTTAGATGAAGTTATTTCCTTTACTACAGTAGGCCTCAAAGCAGTCCAAATCTCCAATCGCAGATTCTACAAAAAGATTGTTTACAACCTGCTCTATCTATAGGAATGTTCAACTCTGTGAGTCGAATGCAATCATCACAAAGTAGTTTCTGAGAATGCTTCCGTCTAGTTTTTATGTGAAGATTTTCCTTTTCCACCACAGGCCTCAAAGCCCTCCAAATATCCACTTGCATATTCTAGAATAAGAGGGTTTCAGAGCTGCTCTGTCAAGAGGAAAGTTCAATTCCTGAAGTGGAACACAAACATCACAAAGCAGTTTCTGAGAATCCTCCTGTTTAGTTTTTCTGTGAAGATGAACCCGTTTCCAACGAAATCTTCACAGAGGTCCACATATCCACTTGCAGAATCCAAAGAAAGAGAGTTTCAAAACTGCTCCATCAGCAGGATTGTTCACCTCTGTGAGTTGAATGCAGTCATCACAGGAAACATTCCGAGAATGCTTCTGTCTAGGTTTGATGTGAAGATATACCCGTTTCGAAGGAAGGCCACAAAGTGGTCCAAATATCCACTTGCAGATTCTACAAAAAGAGTGTTTGAAAGCTGAACTATGAAAGCAAGGTTCAACTCTGTGAGTTGAATGCAAACATCACAAAGAAGTTTCTCAGAATGCTTCCGTGTAGTTCTGGGAAGTTTATCCCGTTTCCAACGAAATCCTCAGAGAGGTCTTAATATCCACTTGCAGATTCTACAGAAAGTGTGTTTGGAAACTGCGCCATCTAAAGGAATGTTCAGCTCTGTTAGTTCAATCCAATGATCACTAAGAATGGTCTGTGAATGCTTCCGTTGGGTTTTTAGATGAAGTTATTTCCTTTACTACAGTAGGCCTCAAAGCAGTCCAAATCTCCAATCGCAAATTCTACAAAAAGATTGTTTACAACCTGCTCTATCTATAGGAATGTTCAACTCTGTGAGTCGAATGCAATCATCACAAAGGAGTTTCTGAGAATGCTTCCATAAAGTTTTTATGTGAAGATTTTCCTTTCCCACCACAGGCCTCAAAGCCCTCCAAATGTCCACTTGCAGATTCTAGAATAAGAGGGTTTCAGAGCTGCTCTGTCAAGAGGAAAGTTCAATTCTTTAAGTGGAACACAAACATCACAAAGCAGTTTCTGAGAATGCTCCTGTTTAGTTTTTCTGTGAAGATGAACCCGTTTCCAACGAAATCTTCACAGAGGTCCACATATCCACTTGCAGAATCCAAAGAAAGAGAGTTTCAAAACTGCTCCAACAGCAGGATTGTTCACCTCTGTGAGTTGAATGCAGTCATCACAGGAAACATTCTGAGAATGCTTCTGTCTAGGTTTGATGTGAAGATATACCCGTTTCGAAGGAAGGCCACAAAGTGGTCCAAATATCCACTTGCAGATTCTACAAAAAGAGTGTTTGAAAGCTGAACTATGAAAGCAAGGTTCAACTCTGTGAGTTGAATGCAAACATCACAAAGAAGTTTCTCAGAATGCTTCCGTGTAGTTCTGGGAAGTTTATCCCGTTTCCAACGAAATCCTCAGAGAAGTCCAAATATCCACTTGCAGATTCTACAGAAAGTGTGTTTGGAAACTGCGCCATCTAAAGGAATGTTCAGCTCTGTTAGTTCAATCCAATAATCACTAAGAATTGTCTGTGAATGCTTCCGTTTGGTTTTTAGATGAAGTTATTTCCTTTACTACAGTAGGCCTCAAAGCAGTCCAAATCTCCAATCGCAGATTCTACAAAAAGATTGTTTACAACCTGCTCTATCTATAGGAATGTTCAACTCTGTGAGTCGAATGCAATCATCACAAAGGAGTTTCTGAGAATGCTTCCATCTAGTTTTTATGTGAAGATTTTCCTTTTCCACCACAGGCCTCAAAGCCCTCCAAATGTCCACTTGCAGATTCTAGAATAAGAGGATTTCAGAGCTGCTCTGTCAAGAGGAAAGTTCAATTCTTGAAGTGGAACACAAACATCACAAAGCAGTTTCTGAGAATGCTTCTGTTTAGTTTTTATGTGAATATGATCCCGTTTGCAACGAAATCTTCAAGGAGGTCCAAACATCCACTTGCAGACTCCAAAGAAAGACTTTCAAAACTGCTCCATCAACAGGATTGTTCACCTCTGTGCGTTGAATGCAGTCATCACAGGAAACATTCTGAGAATGCTTCTGTCTAGGTTTGATGTGAAGATATGCCCGTTTCGAAGGAAGGCCACAAAGTGGTCCAAATATCCACTTGCAGATTCTACAAAAAGAGTGTTTGAAAGCTGAACTATGAAAGCAAGGTTCAACTCTGTGAGTTGAATGCAAACATCACAAAGAAGTTTCTCACAATGCTTCCCTGTAGTTCTGGGAAGTTTATCCCGTTTCCAACGAAATCCTCAGAGAGGTCCAAATATCCACTTGCAGATTCTACAGAAAGTGTGTTTGGAAACTGCGCCATCTAAACGAATGTTCAGCTCTGTTAGTTCAATGCAATGATCACTAAGAATTGTCTGTGAATGCTTCCGTTTGGTTTTTAGATGAAGTTATTTCCTTTACTACAGTAGGCCTCAAAGCAGTCCAAATCTCCAATCGCAGATTCTACAAAAAGATTGTTTACAACCTGCTCTATCTATAGGAATGTTCAACTCTGTGAGTCGAATGCAATCATCACAAAGTAGTTTCTGAGAATGCTTCCATCTAGTTTTTATGTGAAGATTTTCCTTTTCCACCACAGGCCTCAAAGCCCTCCAAATGTCCACTTGCAGATTCTAGAAAAAGAGGGTTTCAGAGCTGCTCTGTCAAGAGGAAAGTTCAATTCTTGAAGTGGAACACAAACATCACAAAGCAGTTTCTGAGAATGTTTCTGTTTAGTTTTTCTGTGAAGATGAACCCGTTTCCAACGAAATCTTCACAGAGGTCCACATATCCACTTGCAGAATCCAAAGAAAGAGAGTTTCAAAACTGCTCCATCAGCAGGATTGTTCACCTCTGTGAGTTGAATGCAGTCATCACAGGAAACATTGCTGAGAATGCTTCTGTCTAGGTTTGATGTGAAGATATACCCGTTTCGAAGGAAGGCCACAAAGTGGTCCAAATATCCACTTGCAGATTCTACAAAAAGAGTGTTTGAAAGCTGAACTATGAAAGCAAGGTTCAACTCTGTGAGTTGAATGCAAACATCACAAAGAAGTTTCTCAGAATGCTTCCGTGTAGTTCTGGGAAGTTTATCACATTTCCAACGAAATCCTCAGAGAGGTCCAAATATCCACATGCAGATTCTACAGAAAGTGTGTTTGGAAACTGTGCCATCTAAAGGAATGTTCAGCTCTGTTAGTTCAATCCAATGATCACTAAGAATTGTCTGTGAATGCTTCCGTTTGGTTTTTAGATGAAGTTATTTTCTTTACTGCAGTAGGCCTCAAAGCATTCCAAATCTCCAATCGCAGATTCTACAAAAAGATTGTTTACAACCTGCTCTATCTATAGGAATGTTCAACTCTGTGAGTCGAATGCAATCATCACAAAGTAGTTTCTGAGAATGCTTCCATAAAGTTTTTACGTGAAGATTTTCCTTTTCCACCACAGGCCTCAAAGCCCTCCAAATGTCCACTTGCAGATTCTAGAAAAAGAGGGTTTCAGAGCTGCTCTGTCAAGAGGAAAGTTCAATTCTTTAAGTGGAACACAAACATCACAAAGCAGTTTCTGAGAATGCTCCTGTTTAGTTTTTCTGTGAAGATGAACCCGTTTCCAACGAAATCTTCACAGAGGTCCACATATCCACTTGCAGAATCCAAAGAAAGAGAGTTTCAAAACTGCTCCATCAGCAGGATTGTTCACCTCTGTGAGTTGAATGCAGTCATCACAGGAAACATTCTGAGAATGCTTCTGTCTAGGTTTGATGTGAAGATATACCCGTTTCGAAGGAAGGCCACAAAGTGGTCCAAATATCCACTTGCAGATTCTACAAAAAGAGTGTTTGAAAGCTGAACTATGAAAGCAAGGTTCCACTCTGTGAGTTGAATGCAAACATCACAAAGAAGTTTCTCAGAATGCTTCCGTGTAGTTCTGGGAAGTTTATCCCGTTTCCAACGAAATCCTCAGAGAGGTCCAAATATCCACTTGCAGATTCTACAGAAAGTGTGTTTGGAAACTGCGCCATCTACAGGAATGTTCAGCTCTGTTAGTTCAATGCAATGATCACTAAGAATTGTCTGTGAATGCTTCCGTTTGGTTTTTAGATGAAGTTATTTCCTTTACTAGAGTAGGCCTCAAAGCAGTCCAAATCTCCAATCGCAGATTCTACAAAAAGATTGTTTACAACCTGCTCTATCTATAGGAATGTTCAACTCTGTGAGTCGAATGCAATCATCACAAAGTAGTTTCTGAGAATGCTTCCATCTAGTTTTTATGTGAAGATTTTCCTTTTCCACCACAGGCCTCAAAGCCCTCCAAATGTCCACTTGCAGATTCTAGAAAAAGAGGGTTTCAGAGCTGCTCTGTCAAGAGGAAAGTTCAATTCTTGAAGTGGAACACAAACATCACAAAGCAGTTTCTGAGAATGTTTCTGTTTAGTTTTTCTGTGAAGATGAACCCGTTTCCAACGAAATCTTCACAGAGGTCCACATATCCACTTGCAGAATCCAAAGAAAGAGAGTTTCAAAACTGCTCCATCAGCAGGATTGTTCACCTCTGTGAGTTGAATGCAGTCATCACAGGAAACATTCTGAGAATGCTTCTGTCTGGGTTTGATGTGAAGATATACCCGTTTCGAAGGAAGGCCACAAAGTGGTCCAAATATCCACTTGCAGATTCTACAAAAAGAGTGTTTGAAAGCTGAACTATCGAAAGCAAGGTTCAACTCTGTGAGTTGAATGCAAACATCACAAAGAAGTTTCTCAGACTGCTTCCGTGTAGTTCTGGGAAGTTTATCCCGTTTCCAACGAAATCCTCAGAGAAGTCCAAATATCCACTTGCAGATTCTACAGAAAGTGTGTTTGGAAACTGCGCCATCTAAAGGAATGTTCAGCTCTGTTAGTTCAATGGAATGATCACTAAGAATTGTCTGTGAATGCTTCCGTTTGGTTTTTAGATGAAGTTATTTCTTTTACTACAGTAGGCCTCAAAGCAGTCCAAATCTCCAATCGCAGATTCTACAAAAAGATTGTTTACAACCTGCTCTATCTATAGGAATGTTCAACTCTTTGAGTCGAATGCAATCATCACAAAGTAGTTTCTGAGAATGCTTCCATCTAGTTTTTATGTGAAGATTTTCCTTTTCCACCACAGGCCTCAAAGCCCTCCAAATGTCCACTTGCAGATTCTAGAAAAAGAGGGTTTCAGAGCTGCTCTGTCAAGAGGAAAGTTCAATTCTTGAAGTGGAACACAAACATCACAAAGCAGTTTCTGAGAATGCTTCTGTTTAGTTTTTCTGTGAAGATGAACCCGTTTCCTACGAAATCTTCACAGAGGTCCACATATCCACTTGCAGAATCCAAAGAAAGAGAGTTTCAAAACTGCTCCATCAGCAGGATTGTTCACCTCTGTGAGTTGAATGCAGTCATCACAGGAAACATTCTGAGAAGGCTTCTGTCTAGGTTTGATGTGAAGATATACCCGTTTCGAAGGAAGGCCACAAAGTGGTCCAAATATCCACTTGCAGATTCTACAAAAAGAGTGTTTGAAAGCTGAACAATGAAAGCAAGTTTCAACACTGTGAGTTGAATGCAAACATCACAAAGAAGTTTCTCAGAATGCTTCCGTGTAGTTCTGGGAAGTTTATCCCGTTTCCAACGAAATCCTCAGAGAAGTCCAAATATCCACTTGCAGATTCTACAGAAAGTGTGTTTGGAAACTGCGCCATCTAAAGGAATGTTCAGCTCTGTTAGTTCAATGCAATGATCACTAAGAATTGTCTGTGAATGCTTCCGTTTGGTTTTTAGATGAATTTATTTCCTTTACTACAGTAGGCCTCAAAGCAGTCCAAATCTCCAATCGCAGATTCTACAAAAAGATTGTTTACAACCTGCTCTATCTATAGGAATGTTCAACTCTGTGAGTCGAATGCAATCATCACAAAGTAGTTTCTGAGAATGCTTCCATCTAGTTTTTATGTGAAGATTTTCCTTTTCCACCACAGGCCTCAAAGCCCTCCAAATGTCCACTTGCAGATTCTAGAAAAAGAGGGTTTCAGAGCTGCTCTGTCAAGAGGAAAGTTCAATTCTTGAAGTGGAACACAAACATCACAAAGCAGTTTCTGAGAATGCTCCTGTTTAGATTTTCTGTGAAGATGAACCCGTTTCCAACGAAATCTTCACAGAGGTCCACATATCCACCTGCAGAATCCAAAGAAAGAGAGTTTCAAAACTGCTCCATCAGCAGGATTGTTCACCTCTGTGAGTTGAATGCAGTCATCACAGGAAACATTCCGAGAATGCTTCTCTCTAGGTTTGATGTGAAGATATACCCGTTTCGAAGGAAGGCCACAAAGTGGTCCAAATATCCACTTGCAGATTCTACAAAAAGAGTGTTTGAAAGCTGAACTATGAAAGCAAGGTTCAACTCTGTGTGTTGAATGCAAACATCACAAAGAAGTTTCTCAGAATGCTTCCGTGTAGTTCTGGGAAGTTTATCCCGTTTCCAACGAAATCCTCAGAGAAGTCCAAATATCCACTTGCAGATTCTACAGAAAGTGTGTTTGGAAACTGCTCCATCTAAAGGAATGTTCAGCTCTGTTAGTTCAATCCAATGATCACTAAGAATTGTCTGTGAATGCTTCCGTTTGGTTTTTAGATGAAGTTATTTCCTTTACTACAGTAGGCCTCAAAGCAGTCCAAATCTCCAATCGCAGATTCTACAAAAAGATTGTTTACAACCTGCTCTATCTATAGGAATGTTCAACTCTGTGAGTCGAATGCAATCATCACAAAGTAGTTTCTGAGAATGCTTCCATCTAGTTTTTATGTGAAGATTTTCCTTTTCCACCACAGGCCTCAAAGCCCTCCAAATGTCCACTTGCAGATTCTAGAATAAGAGGATTTCAGAGCTGCTCTTTCAAGAGGAAAGTTCAATTCCTGAAGTGGAACACAAACATCACAAAGCAGTTTCTGAGAATGATTCTGTTTAGTTTTTCTGTGAAGATGAACCCGTTTCCAACGAAATCTTCACAGAGGTCCACATATCCACTTGCAGAATCCAAAGAAAGAGAGTTTCAAAACTGCTCCATCAGCAGGATTGTTCAGCTCTGTGAGTTGAATGCAGTCATCACAGGAAACATTCTGAGAATGCTTCTGTCTAGGTTTGATGTGAAGATATACCCGTTTCGAAGGAAGGCCACAAAGTGGTCCAAATATCCACTTGCAGATTCTACAAAAAGAGTGTTTGAAAGCTGAACTATGAAAGCAAGGTTCAACTCTGTGAGTTGAATGCAAACATCACAAAGAAGTTTCTCACAATGCTTCCGTGTAGTTCTGGGAAGTTTATCCCGTTTCCAACGAAATCCTCAGAGAAGTCCAAATATCCACTTGCAGATTCTACAGAAAGTGTGTTTGGAAACTGCTCCATCTAAAGGAATGTTCAGCTCTGTTAGTTCAATCCAATGATCACTAAGAATTGTCTGTGAATGCTTCCGTTTGGTTTTTAGATGAAGTTATTTCCTTTACTACAGTAGGCCTCAAAGCAGTCCAAATCTCCAATCGCAGATTCTACAAAAAGATTGTTTACAACCTGCTCTACCTATAGGAATGTTCAACTCTGTGAGTCGAATGCAATCATCACAAAGTAGTTTCTGAGAATGCTTCCATCTAGTTTTTATGTGAAGATTTTCCTTTTCCACCACAGGCCTCAAAGCCCTCCAAATGTCCACTTGCAGATTCTAGAATAAGAGGGTTTCAGAGCTGCTCTGTCAAGAGGAAAGTTCAATTCCTGAAGTGGAACACAAACATCACAAAGCAGTTTCTGAGAATGCTCCTGTTTAGTTTTTCTGTGAAGATGAACCCGTTTCCAACGAAATCTTCACAGAGGTCCACATATCCACTTGCAGAATCCAAAGAAAGAGAGTTTCAAAACTGCTCCATCAGCAGGATTGTTCACCTCTGTGAGTTGAATGCAGTCATCACAGGAAACATTCTGAGAATGCTTATCTGTCTAGGTTTGATGTGAAGATATACCCGTTGCGAAGGAAGGCCACAAAGTGGTCCAAATATCCACTTGCAGATTCTACAAAAAGAGTGTTTGAAAGCTGAACTATGAAAGCAAGTTTCAACTCTGTGAGTTGAATGCAAACATCACAAAGAAGTTTCTCAGAATACTTCCGTGTAGTTCTGGGAAGTTTATCCCGTTTCCAACGAAATCCTCAGAGAAGTCCAAATATCCACTTGCAGATTCTACAGAAAGTGGGTTTGGAAACTGCTCCATCTAAAGGAATGTTCAGCTCTGTTAGTTCAATCCAATGATCACTAAGAATTGTCTGTGAATGCTTCCGTTTGGTTTTTAGATGAAGTTATTTCCTTTACTACAGTAGGCCTCAAAGCAGTCCAAATCTCCAATCGCAGATTCTACAAAAAGATTGTTTACAACCTCCTCTATCTATAGGAATGTTCAACTCTGTGAGTCGAATGCAATCATCACAAAGTAGTTTCTGAGAATGCTTCCATCTAGTTTTTATGTGAAGATTTTCCTTTTCCACCACAGGCCTCTAAGCCCTCCAAATGTCCACTTGCAGTTTCTAGAAAAAGAGGGTTTCAGAGCTGCTCTGTCAAGAGGAAAGTTCAATTCTGGAAGTGGAACACAAACATCACAAAGCAGTTTCTGAGAATGCTCCTGTTTAGTTTTTCTGTGAAGATGAACACGTTTCCAACGAAATCTTCACAGAGGTCCACATATCCACTTGCAGAATCCAAAGAAAGAGAGTTTCAAAACTGCTCCATCAGCAGGATTGTTCACCTCTGTGAGTTGAATGCAGTCATCACAGGAAACATTCTGAGAATGCTTCTGTCTAGGTTTGATGTGAAGATATACCCGTTTCGAAGGAAGGCCACAAAGTGGTCCAAATATCCACTTGCAGATTCTACAAAAAGAGTGTTTGAAAGCTGAACTATGAAAGCAAGGTTCAACTCTGTGAGTTGAATGCAAACATCACAAAGAAGTTTCTCAGAATACTTACGTGTAGTTCTGGGAAGTTTATCCCATTTCCAACGAAATCATCAGAGAGGTCCAAATATCCACTTGCAGATTCTACAGAAAGTGGGTTTGGAAACTGCTCCATCTAAAGGAATGTTCAGCTCTGTTAGTTCAATCCAATGATCACTAAGAATTGTCTGTGAATGCTTCCGTTTGGTTTTTAGATGAAGTTATTTCCTTTACTACAGTAGGCCTCAAAGCAGTCCAAATCTCCAATCGCAGATTCTACAAAAAGATTGTTTACAACCTGCTCTATCTATAGGAATGTTCAACTCTGTGAGTCGAATGCAATCATCACAAAGTAGTTTCTGAGAATGCTTCCATCTAGTTTTTATGTGAAGATTTTCCTTTTCCACCACAGGCCTCAAAGCCCTCCAAATGTCCACTTGCAGATTCTAGAAAAAGAGGGTTTCAGAGCTGCTCTGTCAAGAGGAAAGTTCAATTCTTGAAGTGGAACACAAACATCACAAAGCAGTTTCTGAGAATGCTTCTGTTTAGTTTTTCTGTGAAGATGAACCCGTTTCCAACGAAATCTTCACAGAGGTCCACATATCAACTTGCAGAATCCAAAGAAAGAGAGTTTCAAAAGTGCTCCATCAACAGGATTGTTCACCTCTGTGAGTTGAATGCAGTCATCACAGGAAACATTCTGAGAATGCTTCTGTCTAGGTTTGATGTGAAGATATACCCGTTTCGAAGGAAGGCCACAAAGTGGTCCAAATATCCACTTGCAGATTCTACAAAAAGAGTGTTTGAAAGCTGAACTATGAAAGCAAGGTTCAACTCTGTGAGTTGAATGCAAACATCACAAAGAAGTTTCTCAGAATGCTTCCCTGTAGTTCTGGGAAGTTTATCCCGTTTCCAACGAAATCCTCAGAGAAGTCCAAATATCCACTTGCAGATTCTACAGAAAGTGTGTTTGGAAACTGCTCCATCTAAAGGAATGTTCAGCTCTGTTAGTTCAATCCAATGATCACTAAGAATTGTCTGTGAATGCTTCCGTTTGGTTTTTAGATGAAGTTATTTCCTTTACTACAGTAGGCCTCAAAGCAGTCCAAATCTCCAATCGCAGATTCTACAAAAAGATTGTTTACAACCTGCTCTATCTATAGGAATGTTCAACTCTGTGAGTCGAATGCAATCATCACAAAGTAGTTTCTGAGAATGCTTCCATCTAGTTTTTATGTGAAGATTTTCCTTTTCCACCACAGGCCTCAAAGCCCTCCAAATGTCCACTTGCAGATTCTAGAAAAAGAGGGTTTCAGAGCTGCTCTGTCAAGAGGAAAGTTCAATTCTTGAAGTGGAACAGAAACATCACAAAGCAGTTTCTGGGAATGCTTCTGTTTAGTTTTTCTGTGAAGATGAACCCGTTTCCAACGAAATCTTCACAGAGGTCCACATATCAACTTGCAGAATCCAAAGAAAGAGAGTTTCAAAACTGCTCCATCAACAGGATTGTTCACCTCTGTGAGTTGAATGCAGTCATCACAGGAAACATTCTGAGAATGCTTCTGTCTAGGTTTGATGTGAAGATATACCCGTTTCGAAGGAAGGCCACAAAGTGGTCCAAATATCCACTTGCAGATTCTACAAAAAGAGTGTTTGAAAGCTGAACTATGAAAGCAAGGTTCAACTCTGTGAGTTGAATGCAAACATCACAAAGAAGTTTCTCAGAATGCTTCCGTGTAGTTCTGGGAAGTTTATCCCGTTTCCAACGAAATCCTCAGAGAAGTCCAAATATCCACTTGCAGATTCTACAGAAAGTGGGTTTGGAAACTGCTCTATCTAAGGGAATGTTCAGTTCTGTTAGTTCAATCCAATGATCACTAAGAATTGTCTGTGAATGCTTCCGTTTGGTTTTTAGATGAAGTTATTTCCTTTACTACAGTAGGCCTCAAAGCAGTCCAAATCTCCAATCGCAGATTCTACAAAAAGATTGTTTACAACCTGCTCTATCTGTAGGAAAGTTCAACTCTGTGAGTCGAATGCAATCATCACAAAGGAGTTTCTGAGAATGCTTCCATCTAGTTTTTATGTGAAGATTTTCCTTTTCCACCACAGGCCTCAAAGCCCTCCTAATGTCCACTTGCGGATTCTAGAAAAAGAGGGTTTCAGAGCTGCTCTGTCAAGAGGAAAGTTCAATTCTTGAAGTGGAACACAAACATCACAAAGCAGTTTCTGAGAATGCTCCTGTTTAGTTTTTCTGTGAAGATGAACCCGTTTCCAACGAAATCTTCACAGAGGTCCACATATCCACTTGCAGAATCCAAAGAAAGAGAGTTTCAAAACTGCTCCATCAGCAGGATTGTTCACCTCTGTGAGTTGAATGCAGTCATCACAGGAAACATTCTGAGAATGCTTCTGTCTAGGTTTGATATGAAGATATACCCGTTTCGAAGGAAGGCCACAAAGTGGTCCAAATATCCACTTGCAGATTCTACAAAAAGAGTGTTTGAAAGCTGAACTATGAAAGCAAGCTTCAACTCTGTGAGTTGAATGCAAACATCACAAAGAAGTTTCTCAGAATGCTTCCGTGTAGTTCTGGGAAGTTTATCCCGTTTCCAACGAAATCCTCAGAGAAGTCCAAATATCCACTTGCAGATTCTACAGAAAGTGTGTTTGGAAACTGCGCCATCTAAAGGAATGTTCAGCTCTGTTAGTTCAATGCAATGATCACTAAGAATTGTCTGTGAATGCTTCCGTTTGGTTTTTAGATGAAGTTATTTCCTTTACTACAGTAGGCCTCAAAGCAGTCCAAATCTCCAATCGCAGATTCTACAAAAAGATTGTTTACAACCTGCTCTATCTATAGGAATGTTCAACTCTGTGAGTCGAATGCAATCATCACAAAGTAGTTTCTGAGAATGCTTCCATCTAGTTTTTATATGAAGATTTTCCTTTTCCACCACAGGCCTCAAAGCCCTCCAAATGTCCACTTGCAGATTCTAGAATAAGAGGGTTTCAGAGCTGCTCTGTCAAGAGGAAAGTTCAATTCTTGAAGTGGAAAACAAACATCACAAAGCAGTTTCTGAGAATGCTCCTGTTTAGTTTTTCTGTGAAGATGAACCCGTTTCCAACGAAATCTTCACAGAGGTCCACATATCCACTTGCAGAATCCAAAGAAAGAGAGTTTCAAAACTGCTCCATCAGCAGGATTGTTCACCTCTGTGAGTTGAATGCAGTCATCACAGGAAACATTCTGAGAATGCTTCTGTCTAGGTTTGATGTGAAGATATACCCGTTTCGAAGGAAGGCCACAAAGTGGTCCAAATATCCACTTGCAGATTCTACAAAAAGAGTGTTTGAAAGCTGAACTATGAAAGCAAGGTTCAACTCTGTGAGTTGAATGCAAACATCACAAAGAAGTTTCTCAGAATGCTCCGTGTAGTTCTGGGAAGTTTATCCCGTTTCCAACGAAATCCTCAGAGAAGTCCAAATATCCACTTGCAGATTCTACAGAAATTGTGTTTGGAAACTGCGCCATCTAAAGGAATGTTCAGCTCTGTTAGTTCAATGCAATGATCACTAAGAATTGTCTGTGAATGCTTCAGTTTGGTTTTTAGATGAAGTTATTTCCTTTACTACAGTAGGCCTCAAAGCAGTCCAAATCTCCAATCGCAGATTCTACAAAAAGATTGTTTACAACCTGCTCTATCTATAGGAATGTTCAACTCTGTGAGTCGAATGCAATCATCACAAAATAGTTTCTGAGAATGCTTCCATCTAGTTTTTATGTGAAGATTTTCCTTTTCCACCACAGGCCTCAAAGCCCTCCAAATGTCCACTTGCAGATTCTAGAATAAGAGGGTTTCAGAGCTGCTCTGTCAAGAGGAAAGTTCAATTCCTGAAGTGGAACACAAACATCACAAAGCAGTTTCTGAGAATGCTCCTGTTTAGTTTTTCTGTGAAGATGAACCCGTTTCCAACGAAATCTTCACAGAGGTCCACATATCCACTTGCAGAATCCAAAGAAAGAGAGTTTCAAAACTGCTCCATCAGCAGGATTGTTCACCTCTGTGGGTTGAATGCAGTCATCAGAGGAAACATTCTGAGAATGCTTCTGTCTAGGTTTGATGTGAAGATATACTCATTTCGAAGGAAGGCCACAAAGTGGTCAAAATATCCACTTGCAGATTCTACAAAAAGAGTGTTTGAAAGCTGAACTATGAAAGCAAGGTTCAACTCTGTGAGTTGAATGCAAACGTCACAAAGAAGTTTCTCACAATGCTTCCATGTAGTTCTGGGAAGTTTAGCCCGTTTCCAACGAAATCCTTAGAGAAGTCCAAATATCCACTTGCAGATTCTGCAGAAAGTGTGTTTGGAAACTGCTCTATCTAATGGAATGTTCAGCTCTGTGAGTTCAATCCAATGATCACTAAGAATTGTCTGTGAATGCTTCCCGTTTGGTTTTTAGATGAAGTTATTTCCTTTACTACAGTAGGCCTCAAAGCAGTCGAAATCTCCAATCGCAGATTCTACAAAAAGATTGTTTACAACCTGCTCTATCTATAGGAATGTTCAACTCTGTGAGTCGAATGCAATCATCACAAAGTAGTTTGTGAGAATGCTTCCATCTAGTTTTTATGTGAAGATTTTCCTTTTCCACCACAGGCCTCAAAGCCCTCCAAATGTCCACTTGCAGATTCTAGAAAAAGAGGGATTCAGAGCTGCTCTGTCAAGAGGAAAGTTCAATTCCTGAAGTGGAACACAAACATCACAAAGCAGTTTCTGAGAATGCTTCTGTTTAGTTTTTCTGTGAAGATGAACCCGTTTCCAACGAAATCTTCACAGAGGTCCACATATCAACTTGCAGAATCCAAAGAAAGAGAGTTTCAAAAGTGCTCCATCAACAGGATTGTTCACCTCTGTGAGTTGAATGCAGTCATCACAGGAAACATTCTGAGAATGCTTCTGTCTAGGTTTGATGTGAAGATATACCCGTTTCGAAGGAAGGCCACAAAGTGGTCCAAATATCCACTTGCAGATTCTACAAAAAGAGTGTTTGAAAGCTGAACTATGAAAGCAAGGTTCAACTCTGTGAGTTGAATGCAAACATCACAAAGAAGTTTCTCAGAATGCTTCCCTGTAGTTCTGGGAAGTTTATCCCGTTTCCAACGATATCCTCAGAGAAGTCCAAATATCCACTTGCAGATTCTACAGAAAGTGGGTTTGGAAACTGCTCCATCTAAAGGAATGTTCAGCTCTGTTAGTTCAATGCAATGATCACTAAGAATTGTCTGTGAATGCTTCCGTTTGGTTTTTAGATGAAGTTATTTCCTTTACTACAGTAGGCCTCAAAGCAGTCCAAATCTCCAATCGCAGATTCTACAAAAAGATTGTTTACAACCTGCTCTATCTATAGGAATGTTCAACTCTGTGAGTCGAATGCAATCATCACAAAGTAGTTTCTGAGAATGCTTCCATCTAGTTTTTATGTGAAGATTTTCCTTTTCCACCACAGGCCTCAAAGCCCTCCAAATGTCCACTTGCAGATTCTAGAAAAAGAGGGTTTCAGAGCTGCGCTGTCAAGAGGAAAGTTCAATTCTTGAAGTGGAACACAAACATCACAAAGCAGTTTCTGAGAATGCTTCTGTTTAGTTTTTCTGTGAAGATGAACCCGTTTCCAACGAAATCTTCACAGAGGTCCACATATCCACATGCAGAATCCAAAGAAAGAGAGTTTCAAAACTGCTCCATCAGCAGGATTGTTCACCTCTGTGAGTTGAATGCAGTCATCACAGGAAACATTCTGAGAATGCTTCTGTCTAGGTTTGATGTGAAGATATACCCGTTTCGAAGGAAGGCCACAAAGTGGTCCAAATATCCACTTGCAGATTCTACAAAAAGAGTGTTTGAAAGCTGAACTATGAAAGAAAGGTTCAACTCTCTGAGTTGAATGCAAACATCACAAAGAAGTTTCTCACAATGCTTCCGTGTAGTTCTGGGAAGTTTAGCCCGTTTCCAACGAAATCCTCAGAGATGTCCAAATATCCACTTGGAGATTCTACAGAAAGTGTGTTTGGAAACTGCTCCATCTAAAGGAATGTTCAGCTCTGTTATTTCAATCCAATGATCACTAAGAATTGTCTGTGAATGCTTCCGTTTGGTTTTTAGATGAAATTATTTCCTTTACTACAGTAGGCCTCAAAGCAGTCCAAATCTCCAATCGCAGATTCTACAAAAAGATTGTTTACAACCTGCTCTATCTATAGGAATGTTCAACTCTGTGAGTCGAATGCAATCATCACAAAGTAGTTTCTGAGAATGCTTCCATCTAGTTTTTATGTGAAGATTTTCCTTTTCCACCACAGGCCTCAAAGCCCTCCAAATGTCCACTTGCAGATTCTAGAATAAGAGGGTTTCAGAGCTGCTCTGTCAAGAGGAAAGTTCAATTCCTGAAGTGGAACACAAACTTCACAAAGCAGTTTCTGAGAATGTTCCTGTTTAGTTTTTCTGTGAAGATGAACCCGTTTCCAACGAAATCTTCACAGAGGTCCACATATCCACTGGCAGAATCCAAAGAAAGAGAGTTTCAAAACTGCTCCATCAGCAGGATTGTTCACCTCTGTGAGTTGAATGCAGTCATCACAGGAAACATTCTGAGAATGCTTCTGTCTAGGTTTGATGTGAAG
Source organism: Homo sapiens (assembly GCF_000001405.40). Taxonomy (NCBI): domain Eukaryota; kingdom Metazoa; phylum Chordata; class Mammalia; order Primates; family Hominidae; genus Homo; species Homo sapiens. Next base: position 54,297,826 of record NC_000011.10, on the reverse strand, counting down.
ATATAACCCGTTTCGAAGGAAGGCCACAAAGTGGTCCAAATATCCACTTGCAGATTCTACAAAAAGAGTGTTTGAAAGCTGAACTATGAAAGCAAGGTTCAACTCTGTGAGTTGAATGCAAACATCACAAAGAAGTTTCTCACAATGCTTCCGTGTAGTTCTGGGAAGTTTATCCCGTTTCCAACGAAATCCTCAGAGAGGTCCAAATATCCACTTGCAGATTCTACAGAAAGTGTGTTTGGAAACTGCTCCATCTAAAGGAATGTTCAGCTCTGTTAGTTCAATCCAATGATCACTAAGAATTGTCTGTGAATGCTTCCGTTTGGTTTTTAGATGAAGTTATTTCCTTTACTACAGTAGGCCTCAAAGCAGTCCAAATCTCCAATCGCAGATTCTACAAAAAGATTGTTTACAACCTGCTCTATCTATAGGAATGTTCAACTCTGTGAGTCGAATGCAATCATCACAAAGTAGTTTCTGAGAATGCTTCCATCTAGTTTTTATGTGAAGATTTTCCTTTTCCACCACAGGCCTCAAAGCCCTCCAAATGTCCACTTGCAGATTCTAGAATAAGAGGGTTTCAGAGCTGCTCTGTCAAGAGGAAAGTTCAATTCCTGAAGTGGAACACAAACATCACAAAGCAGTTTCTGAGAATGCTCCTGTTTAGTTTTTCTGTGAAGATGAACCCGTTTCCAACGAAATCTTCACAGAGGTCCACATATCCACTTGCAGAATCCAAAGAAAGAGAGTTTCAAAACTGCTCCATCAGCAGGATTGTTCACCTCTGTGAGTTGAATGCAGTCATCACAGGAAACATTCTGAGAATGCTTCTGTCTAGGTTTGATGTGAAGATATACCTGTTTCAAAGGAAGGCCACAAAGTGGTCCAAATATCCACTTGCAGATTCTACAAAAAGAGTGTTTGAAAGCTGAACTATGAAAGCAAGGTTCAACTCTCTGAGTTGAATGCAAACATCACAAAGAAGTTTCTAACAATGCTTCCGTGTAGTTCTGGGAAGTTTATCCCGTTTCTAACGAAATCCTCAGAGAAGTCCAAATATCCACTTGCAGATTCTACAGAAAGTGGGTTTGGAAACTGCTCCATCTAAAGGAATGTTCAGCTCTGTTAGTTCAATCCAATAATCACTAAGAATTGTCTGTGAATGCTTCCGTTTGGTTTTTAGATGAAGTTATTTCCTTTACTACAGTAGGCCTCAAAGCAGTCCAAATCTCCAATCGCAGATTCTACAAAAACATTGTTTACAACCTGCTCTATCTATAGGAATGTTCAACTCTGTGAGTCGAATGCAATCATCACAAAGTAGTTTCTGAGAATGCTTCCATCTAGTTTTTATGTGAAGATTTTCCTTTTCCACCACAGGCCTCAAAGCCCTCCAAATGTCCACTTGCAGATTCTAGAAAAAGAGGGTTTCAGAGCTGCTCTGTCAAGAGGAAAGTTCAATTCCTGAAGTGGAACACAAACATCACAAAGCAGTTTCTGAGAATGCTTCTGTTTAGTTTTTCTGTGAAGATGAACCCGTTTCCAACGAAATCTTCACAGAGGTCCACATATCCACTTGCAGAATCCAAAGAAAGAGAGTTTCAAAACTGCTCCATCAGCAGGATTGTTCACCTCTGTGAGTTGAATGCAGTCATCACAGGAAACATTCTGAGAATGCTTCTGTCTAGGTTTGATGTGAAGATATACCCGTTTCGAAGGAAGGACACAAAGTGGTCCAAATATCCACTTGCAGATTCTACAAAAAGAGTGTTTGAAAGCTGAACTATGAAAGCAAGGTTCAACTGTGTGAGTTGAATGCAAACATCACAAAGAAGTTTCTCAGAATGCTTCCGTGTAGTTCTGGGAATTTTATCCCGTTTCCAACGAAATCCTCAGAGAGGTCCAAATATCCACTTGCAGATTCTACAGAAAGTGTGTTTGGAAACTGCGCCATCTAAAGGAATGTTCAGCTCTGTTAGTTCAATGCAATGATCACTAAGAATTGTCTGTGAATGCTTCCGTTTGGTTTTTAGATGAAGTTATTTCCTTTACTACAGTAGGCCTCAAAGCAGTCCAAATCTCCAATCGCAGATTCTACAAAAAGATTGTTTACAACCTGCTCTATCTATAGGAATGTTCAACTCTGTGAGTCGAATGCAATCATCACAAAGTAGTTTCTGAGAATGCTTCCATCTAGTTTTTATGTGAAGATTTTCCTTTTCCACCACAGCCCTCAAAGCCCTCCAAATGTCCACTTGCAGATTCTAGAAAAAGAGGGTTTCAGAGCTGCTCTGTCAAGAGGAAAGTTCAATTCTTGAAGTGGAACACAAACATCACAAAGCAGTTTCTGAGAATGCTTCTGTTTAGTTTTTCTGTGAAGATGAACCCGTTTCCAATGAAATCTTCACAGAGGTCCACATATCCACTTGCAGAATCCAAAGAAAGAGAGTTTCAAAACTGCTCCATCAGCAGGATTGTTCACCTCTGTGAGTTGAATGCAGTCATCACAGGAAACATTCTGAGAATGCTTCTGTCTAGGTTTGATGTGAAGATATACCCGTTTCGAAGGAAGGCCACAAAGTGGTCCAAATATCCACTTGCAGATTCTACAAAAAGAGTGTTTGAAAGCTGAACTATGAAAGCAAGGTTCAACTCTGTGAGTTGAATGCAAACATCACAAAGAAGTTTCTCAGAATGCTTCCGTGTAGTTCTGGGAATTTTATCCCGTTTCCAACGAAATCCTCAGGGAGGTCCAAATATCCACTTGCAGATTCTACAGAAAGTGTGTTTGGAAACTGCGCCATCTAAAGGAATGTTCAGCTCTGTTAGTTCAATGCAATGATCACTAAGAATTGTCTGTGAATGCTTCCGTTTGGTTTTTAGATGAAGTTATTTCCTTTACTACAGTAGGCCTCAAAGCAGTCCAAATCTCCAATCGCAGATTCTACAAAAAGATTGTTTACAACCTGCTCTATCTGTAGGAAAGTTCAACTCTGTGAGTCGAATGCAATCATCACAAAGGAGTTTCTGAGAATGCTTCCATCTAGTTTTTATGTGAAGATTTTCCTTTTCCACCACAGGCCTCAAAGCCCTCCAAATGTCCACTTGCAGATTCTAGAAAAAGAGGGTTTCAGAGCTGCTCTGTCAAGAGGAAAGTTCAATTCTTGAAGTGGAACACAAACATCACAAAGTAGTTTCTGAGAATGCTTCTGTTTAGTTTTTCTGTGAAGATGAACCCGTTTCCAACGGAATCTTCACAGAGGTCCACATATCCACTTGCAGAATCCAAAGAAAGAGAGTTTCAAAACTGCTCCATCAGCAGGATTGTTCACCTCTGTGAGTTGAATGCAGTCATCACAGGAAACATTCTGAGAATGCTTCTGTCTAGGTTTGATGTGAAGATATACCCGTTTCGAAGGAAGGCCACAAAGTGGTCCAAATATCCACTTGCAGATTCTACAAAAAGAGTGTTTGAAAGCTGAACTATGAAAGCAAGGTTCAACTCTGTGAGTTGAATGCAAACATCACAAAGAAGTTTCTCAGAATGCTTCCGTGTAGTTCTGGGAAGTTTATCCCGTTCCCAACGAAATCCTCAGAGAGGTCCAAATATCCACTTGCAGATTCTACAGAAAGTGTGTTTGGAAACTGCTCCATCTAAAGGAATGTTCAGCTCTGTTTGTTCAATGCAATGATCACTAAGAATTGTCTGTGAATGCTTCCGTTTGGTTTTTAGATGAAGTTATTTCCTTTACTACAGTAGGCCTCAAAGCAGTCCAAATCTCCAATCGCAGATTCTACAAAAAGATTGTTTACAACCTGCTCTATCTATAGGAATGTTCAACTCTGTGAGTCGAATGCAATCATCACAAAGTAGTTTCTGAGAATGCTTCCATCTAGTTTTTATGTGAAGATTTTCCTTTTCCACCACAGGCCTCAAAGCCCTCCAAATGTCCACTTGCAGATTCTAGAATAAGAGGGTTTCAGAGCTGCTCTGTCAAGAGGAAAGTTCAATTCCTGAAGTGGAAAACAAACATTACAGAGCAGTTTCTGAGAATGTTTCTGTTTAGTTTTTCTGTGAAGATGAACCCGTTTCCAACGAAATCTTCACAGAGGTCCACATATCAACTTGCAGAATCCAAAGAAAGAGAGTTACAAAACTGCTCCATCAACAGGATTGTTCACCTCTGTGAGTTGAATGCAGTCATCACAGGAAACATTCTGAGAATGCTTCTGTCTAGGTTTGATGTGAAGATATACCCGTTTCGAAGGAAGGCCACAAAGTGGTCCAAATATCCACTTGCAGATTCTACAAAAAGAGTGTTTGAAAGCTGAACTATGAAAGCAAGGTTCAACTCTGTGAGTTGAATGCAAACATCACAAAGAAGTTTCTCACAATGCTTCCGTGTAGTTCTGGGAAGTTTATCCCGTTTCCAACGAAATCCTCAGAGAAGTCCAAATATCCACTTGCAAATTCTACAGAAAGTGTGTTTGGAAACTGCTCCATCTAAAGGAATGTTCAGCTCTGTTAGTTCAATCCAATGATCACTAAGAATTGTCTGTGAATGCTTCCGTTTGGTTTTTAGATGAAGTTATTTCCTTTACTACAGTAGGCCTCAAAGCAGTCCAAATCTCCAATCGCAGATTCTACAAAAAGATTGTTTACAACCTGCTCTATGTATAGGAATGTTCAACTCTGTGAGTCGAATGCAATCATCACAAAGTAGTTTCTGAGAATGCTTCCATCTAGTTTTTATGTGAAGATTTTCCTTTTCCACCACAGGCCTCAAAGCCCTCCAAATGTCCACTTGCAGATTCTAGAAAAAGAGGGTTTCAGAGCTGCTCTGTCAAGAGGAAAGTTCAATTCTTGAAGTGGAACACAAACATCACAAAGTAGTTTCTGAGAATGCTTCTGTTTAGTTTTTCTGTGAAGATGAACCCGTTTCCAACGAAATCTTCACAGAGGTCCACATATCAACTTGCAGAATCCAAAGAAAGAGAGTTTCAAAAGTGCTCCATCAACAGGATTGTTCACCTCTGTGAGTTGAATGCAGTCATCACAGGAAACATTCTGAGAATGCTTCTCTCTAGGTTTGATGTGAAGATATACCCGTTTCGAAGGAAGGCCACAAAGTGGTCCAAATATCCACTTGCAGATTCTACAAAAAGAGTGTTTGAAAGCTGAAGTATGAAAGCAAGGTTCAACTCTGTGAGTTGAATGCAAACATCACAAAGAAGTTTCTCAGAATGCTCCGTGTAGTTCTGGGAAGTTTATCCCGTTTCCAACGAAATCCTCAGAGAAGTCCAAATATCCACTTGCAGATTCTACAGAAAGTGTGTTTGGAAACTGCTCCATCTAAAGGAATGTTCAGCTCTGTTAGTTCAATCCAATGATCACTAAGAATTGTCTGTGAATGCTTCCGTTTGGTTTTTAGATGAAGTAGTTTCCTTTACTACAGAAGGCCTCAAAGCAGTCCAAATCTCCAATCGCAGATTCTACAAAAAGATTGTTTACAACCTGCTCTATCTATAGGAATGTTCAACTCTGTGAGTCGAATGCAATCATCACAAAGAAGTTTCTGAGAATGCTTCCATCTAGTTTTTATGTGAAGATTTTCCTTTTCCACCACAGGCCTCAAAGCCCTCCAAATGTCCACTTGCAGATTCTAGAAAAAGAGGGTTTCAGAGCTGCTCTGTCAACAGGAAAGTTCAATTCTTGAAGTGGAACACAAACATCACAAAGCAGTTTCTGAGAATGCTCCTGTTTAGTTTTTCTGTGAAGATGAACCCGTTTCCAACGAAATCTTCACAGAGGTCCACATATCCACTTGCAGAATCCAAAGAAAGAGAGTTTCAAAACTCCTCCATCAGCAGGATTGTTCACGTCTGTGAGTTGAATGCAGTCATCACAGGAAACATTCTGAGAATGCTTCTGTCTAGGTTTGATGTGAAGATATACCCGTTTCGAAGGAAGGCCACAAAGTGGTCCAAATATCCACTTGCAGATTCTACAAAAAGAGTGTTTGAAAGCTGAACTATGAAAGCAAGGTTCAACTCTGTGAGTTGAATGCAAACATCACAAAGAAGTTTCTCAGAATGCTTCCCTGTAGTTCTGGGAAGTTTATCCCGTTTCCAACGAAATCCTCAGAGAAGTCCAAATATCCACTTGCAGATTCTACAGAAAGTGGGTTTGGAAACTGCTCCATCTAAAGGAATGTTCAGCTCTGTTAATTCAATGCAATGATCACTAAGAATTGTCTGTGAATGCTTCCGTTTGGTTTTTAGATGAAGTTATTTCCTTTACTACAGTAGGCCTCAAAGCAGTCCAAATCTCCAATCGCAGATTCTACAAAAAGATTGTTTACAACCTGCTCTATGTATAGGAATGTTCAACTCTGTGAGTCGAATGCAATCATCACAAAGTAGTTTCTGAGAATGCTTCCATCTAGTTTTTATGTGAAGATTTTCCTTTTCCACCACAGGCCTCAAAGCCCTCCAAATGTCCACTTGCAGATTCTAGAAAAAGAGGGTTTCAGAGCTGCTCTGTCAAGAGGAAAGTTCAATTCTTGAAGTGGAACACAAACATCACAAAGTAGTTTCTGAGAATGCTTCTGTTTAGTTTTTCTGTGAAGATGAACCCGTTTCCAACGAAATCTTCACAGAGGTCCACATATCAACTAGCAGAATCCAAAGAAAGAGAGTTTCAAAAGTGCTCCATCAACAGGATTGTTCACCTCTGTGAGTTGAATGCAGTCATCACAGGAAATATTCTGAGAATGCTTCTGTCTAGGTTTGATGTGAAGATATACCCGTTTCGAAGGAAGGCCACAAAGTGGTCCAAATATCCACTTGCAGATTCCACAAAAAGAGTGTTTGAAAGCTGAACTATGAAAGCAAGGTTCAACTCTGTGAGTTGAATGCAAACATCACAAAGAAGTTTCTCACAATGCTTCCGTGTAGTTCTGGGAAGTTTATGCCGTTTCCAACGAAATCCTCAGAGAAGTCCAAATATCCACTTGCAGATTCTACAGAAAGTGGGTTTGGAAACTGCTCCATCTAAAGGAATGTTCAGCTCTGTTAGTTCAATCCAATGATCACTAAGAATTGTCTGTGAATGCTTCCGTTTGGTTTTTAGATGAAGTTATTTCCTTTACTACAGTAGGCCTCAAAGCAGTCCAAATCTCCAATCGCAGATTCTACAAAATGATTGTTTACAACCTGCTCTATCTATAGGAATGTTCAACTCTGTGAGTCGAATGCAATCATCACAAAGTAGTTTCTGAGAATGCTTCCATCTAGTTTTTATGTGAAGATTTTCCTTTTCCACCACAGACCTCAAAGCCCTCCAAATGTCCACTTGCAGATTCTAGAAAAAAAAAAGGGTTTCAGAGCTGCTCTGTCAAGAGGAAAGTTCAATTCTTGAAGTTGAACACAAACATCATAAAGCAGTTTCTGAGAATGCTTCTGTTTAGTTTTTCTGTGAAGATGAACCCTTTTCCAACGAGATCTTCACAGAGGTCCACATATCAACATGCAGATTCCAAACAAAGAGAGTTTCAAAACTGCTCCATCAACAGGATTGTTCACCTCTGTGAGTTGAATGCAGTCATCACAGGAAACATTCTGAGAATGCTTCTGTCTAGGTTTGATGTGAAGATATACCCGTTTCGAAGGAAGGCCACAAATTGGTCCAAATATCCACTTGCAGATTCTACAAAAAGAGTGTTTGAAAGCTGAACTATGAAAGCAGGGTTCAACTCTGTGAGTTGAATGCAAACATCACAAAGAAGTTTCTCAGAATGCTTCCGTGTAGTTCTGGGAAGTTTATCCCGTTTCCAACGACATCCACAGAGAAGTCCAAATATCCACTTGCAGATTCTACAGAAAGTGTGTTTGGAAACTGCTCCATCTAAAGGAATGTTCAGCTCTGTTAGTTCAATCCAATGATCACTAAGAATTGTCTGTGAATGCTTCCGTTTGGTTTTTAGATGAAGTTATTTCCTTTACTACAGTAGGCCTCAAAGCAGTCCAAATCTCCAATCGCAGATTCTACAAAAAGATTGTTTACAACCTGCTCTATCTATAGGAATGTTCAACTCTGTGAGTCGAATGCAATCATCACAAAGTAGTTTCTGAGAATGCTCCATCTAGTTTTTATGGGAAGATTTTCCTTTTCCACCACAGGCCTCAAAGCCCTCCAAATGTCCACTTGCAGATTCTAGAAAAAGAGGGTTTCAGAGCTGCTCTGTCAAGAGGAAAGTTCAATTCTTGAAGTGGAACACAAACATCACAAAGCAGTTTCTGAGAATGCTTCCTGTTTAGTTTTTCTGTGAAGATGAACCCGTTTCCAACGAAATCTTCACAGAGGTCCACATATCCACTTGCAGAATCCAAAGAAAGAAAGTTTCAAAACTGCTCCATCAGCAGGATTGTTCACCTCCGTGAGTTGAATGCAGTCATCACAGGAAACATTCCGAGAATGCTTCTGTCTAGGTTTGATGTGAAGATATACCCGTTTAGAAGGAAGGCCACAAAGTGGTCCAAATATCCACTTGCAGATTCTACAAAAAGAGTGTTTGAAAGCTGAACTATGAAAGCAAGGTTCAACTCTGTGAGTTGAATGCAAACATCACAAAGAAGTTTCTCACAATTCTTCCGTGTAGTTCTGGGAAGTTTATCCCGTTTCCAACGAAATCCTCAGAGAGGTCCAAATATCCACTTGCAGATTCTACAGAAAGTGTGTTTGGAAACTGCTCCATCTAAAGGAATGTTCAGCTCTGTTAGTTCAATCCAATGATCACTAAGAATTGTCTGTGAATGCTTCCGTTTGGTTTTTAGATGAAGTTATTTCCTTTACTACAGTAGGCCTCAAAGCAGTCCAAATCTCCAATGGCAGATTCTACAAAAAGATTGTTTACAACCTGCTCTATCTATAGGAATGTTCAACTCTGTGAGTCGAATGCAATCATCACAAAGTAGTTTACTGAGAATGCTTCCATCTAGTTTTTATGGGAAGATTTTCCTTTTCCACCACAGGCCTCAAAGCCCTCCAAATGTCCACATGCAGATTATAGAATAAGAGGGTTTCAGAGCTGCTCTGTCAAGAGGAAAGTTCAATTCCTGAAGTGGAACACAAACATCACAAAGCAGTTTCTGAGAATGCTTCCTGTTTAGTTTTTCTGTGAAGATGAACCCGTTTCCAACGAAATCTTCACAGAGGTCCACATATCCACTTGCAGAATCCAAAGAAAGAGAGTTTCAAAACTGCTCCATCAACAGGATTGTTCACATCTGTGAGTTGAATGCAGTCATCACAGGAAACATTCTGAGAATGCTTCTGTCTAGGTTTGATGTGAAGATATACCCGTTTCGAAGGAAGGCCACAAAGTGCTCCAAATATCCACTTGCAGATTCTACAAAAAGTGTGTTTGAAAGCTGAACTATGAAAGCAAGGTTCAACTCTGTGAGTTGAATGCAAACATCACAAAGAAGTTTCTCAGAATGCTTCCGTGTAGTTCTGGGAAGTTTATCCCTTTTCCAACGAAATCCTCAGAGAAGTCCAAATATCCACTTGCAGATTCTACAGAAAGTGTGTTTGGAAACTGCGCCATCTAAAGGAATGTTCAGCTCTGTTAGTTCAATGCAATGATCACTAAGAATTGTCTGTGAATGCTTCCGTTTGGTTTTTAGATGAAGTTATATCCTTTACTACAGTAGGCCTCAAAGCAGTCCAAATCTCCAATCGCAGATTCTACAAAAAGATTGTTTACAACCTGCTCTATCTATAGGAATGTTCAACTCTGTGAGTCGAATGCAATCAACACAAAGTAGTTTCTGAGAATGCTTCCATCTAGTTTTTATGTGAAGATTTTCCTTTTCCACCACAGGCCTCAAAGCCCTCCAAATGTCCACTTGCAGATTCTAGAAAAAGAGGGTTTCAGAGCTGCTCTGTCAAGAGGAAAGTTCAATTCTTGAAGTGGAACACAAACATCACAAAGCAGTTTCTGAGAATGCTTCTGTTTAGTTTTTCTGTGAAGATGAACCCGTTTCCAACGAAATCTTCACAGAGGTCCACATATCAACTTGCAGAATCCAAAGAAAGAGAGTTTCAAAACTGCTCCATCAACAGGATTGTTCACCTCTGTGAGTTGAATGCAGTCATCACAGGAAACATTCTGAGAATGCTTCTGTCTAGGTTTGATGTGAAGATATACCCGTTTCGAAGGAAGGCCACAAAGTGGTCCAAATATCCACTTGCAGATTCTACAAAAAGAGTGTTTGAAAGCTGAACTATGAAAGCAAGTTTCAACTCTGTGAGTTGAATGCAAACATCACAAAGAAGTTTCTCAGCATGCTTCCGTGTAGTTCTGGGAAGTTTATCCCGTTTCCAACGAAATCCTCAGAGAGGTCCAAATATCCACTTGCAGATTCTACAGAAAGTGTGTTTGGAAACTGCTCCATCTAAAGGAATGTTCAGCTCTGTTAGTTCAATCCAATGATCACTAAGAATTGTCTGTGAATGCTTCCGTTTGGTTTTTAGATGAAGTTATTTCCTTTACTACAGTAGGCCTCAAAGCAGTCCAAATCTCCAATCGCAGATTCTACAAAAAGATTGTTTACAACCTGCTCTATCTATAGGAATGTTCAACTCTGTGAGTCGAATGCAATCATCACAAAGTAGTTTCTGAGAATGCTTCCATCTAGTTTTTATGTGAAGATTTTCCTTTTCCACCACAGGCCTCAAAGCCCTCCAAATGTCCACTTGCAGATTCTAGAAAAAGAGGGTTTCAGAGCTGCTCTATCAAGAGGAAAGTTCAATTCCTGAAGTGGAACACAAACATCACAAAGCAGTTTCTGAGAATGCTCCTGTTTAGTTTTTCTGTGAAGATGAACCCGTTTCCAACGAAATCTTCACAGAGATCCACATATCCACTTGCAGAATCCAAAGAAAGAGAGTTTCAAAACTGCTCCATCAACAGGATTGTTCACCTCTGTGAGTTGAATGCAGTCATCACAGGAAACATTCTGAGAATGCTTCTGTCTAGGTTTGATGTGAAGATATACCCGTTTCGAAGGAAGGCCAGAAAGTGGTCCAAATATCCACTTGCAGATTCTACAAAAAGAGTGTTTGAAAGCTGAACTATGAAAGCAAGGTTCAACTCTGTGAGTTGAATGCAAACATCACAAAGAAGTTTCTCAGAATGCTTCCGTGTAGTTCTGGGAAGTTTATCCCGTTTCCAACGAAATCCTCAGAGAGGTCCAAATATCCACTTGCAGATTCTACAGAAAGTGTGTTTGGAAACTGCGCCATCTAAAGGAATGTTCAGCTCTGTTAGTTCAATGCAATGATCACTAAGAATTGTCTGTGAATGCTTCCGTTTGGTTTTTAGATGAAGTAATTTCCTTTACTACAGTAGGCCTCAAAGCAGTCCAAATCTCCAATCGCAGATTCTACAAAAAGATTGTTTACAACCTGCTCTATCTATAGGAATGTTCAACTCTGTGAGTCGAATGCAATCATCACAAAGAAGTTTCTGAGAATGCTTCCAGCTAGTTTTTATGGGAAGATTTTCCTTTTCCACCACAGGCCTCAAAGCCCTCCAAATGTCCACTTGCAGATTCTAGAAAAAGAGGGTTTCAGAGCTGCTCTGTCAAAAGGAAAGTTCAATTCTTCAAGTGGAACACAAACATCACAAAGCAGTTTCTGAGAATGCTTCTGTTTAGTTTTTCTGTGAAGATGAACCCGTTTCCAACGAAATCTTCACAGAGGTCCACATATCAACTTGCAGAATCCAAAGAAAGAGAGTTTCAAAAGTGCTCCATCAACAGGATTGTTCACCTCTGTGAGTTGAATGCAGTCATCACAGGAAACATTCTGAGAATGCTTCTGTCTAGGTTTGATGTGAAGATATACCCGTTTCGAAGGAAGGCCACAAAGTGGTCCAAATATCCACTTGCAGATTCTACAAAAAGAGTGTTTGAAAGCTGAACTAAGAAAGCAAGGTTCAACTCTGTGAGTTGAATGCAAACATCACAAAGAAGTTTCTCAGAATGCTTCCGAGTAGTTCTGGGAAGTTTATCCCGTTTCCAACGAAATCCTCAGAGAGGTCTTAATATCCACTTGCAGATTCTACAGAAAGTGTGTTTGGAAACTGCGCCATCTAAAGGAATGTTCAGCTCTGTTAGTTCAATCCAATGATCACTAAGAATGGTCTGTGAATGCTTCCGTTTGGTTTTTAGATGAAGTTATTTCCTTTACTACAGTAGGCCTCAAAGCAGTCCAAATCTCCAATCGCAGATTCTACAAAAAGATTGTTTACAACCTGCTCTATCTATAGGAATGTTCAACTCTGTGAGTCGAATGCAATCATCACAAAGGAGTTTGTGAGAATGCTTCCATCTAGTTTTTATGTGAAGATTTTCCTTTTCCACCACAGGCCTCAAAGCCCTCCAAATGTCCACTTGCAGATTCTAGAATAAGAGGGTTGCAGAGCTGCTCTGTCAAGAGGAAAGTTCAATTCCTGAAGTGGAACACAAACATCACAAAGCAGTTTCTGAGAATGCTTCTGTTTAGTTTTTCTGTGAAGATGAACCCGTTTCCAACGAAATCTTCACAGAGGTCCACATATCCACTTGCAGAATCCAAAGAAAGAGAGTTTCAAAACTGCTCCATCAACAGGATTGTTCACCTCTGTGAGTTGAATGCAGTCATCACAGGAAACATTCTGAGAATGCTTCTGTCTAGGTTTGATGTGAAGATATACCCGTTTCAAAGGAAGGCCACAAAGTGGTCCAAATATCCACTTTCAGATTCTACAAAAAGAGTGTTTGAAAGCTGAACTATGAAAGCAAGGTTCAACTCTGTGAGTTGAATGAAAACATCACAAAGATGTTTCTCACAATGCTTCCGTGTAGTTCTGGGAAGTTTATCCCGTTTCCAACGAAATCCTCACAGAAGTCCAAATATCCACTTGCAGAATCTACAGAAAGTGGGTTTGGAAACTGCTCCATCTAAAGGAATGTTCAGCTCTGTTAGTTCAATGCAATGATCACTAAGAATTGTCTGTGAATGCTTCCGTTTGGTTTTTAGATGAAGTTATTTCCTTTACTACAGTAGGCCTCAAAGCAGTCCAAATCTCCAATCGCAGATTCTACAAAAAGATTGTTTACAACCTGCTCTATCTATAGGAATGTTCAACTCTGTGAGTCGAATGCAATCATCACAAAGAAGTTTCTGAGAATGCTTCCATAAAGTTATTATGTGAAGATTTTCCTTTTCCACCACAGGCCTCAAAGCCCTCCAAATGTCCACTTGCAGATTCTAGAAAAAGAGGGTTTCAGAGCTGCTCTGTCAAGAGGAAAGTTCAATTCTTGAAGTGGAACACAAACATCACAAAGCAGTTTCTGAGAATGCTCCTGTTTAGTTTTTCTGTGAAGATGAACCCGTTTCCAACGAAATCTACACAGAGGTCCACATATCCACTTGCAGAATCCAAAGAAAGAGAGTTTCAAAACTGCTCCATCAGCAGGATTGTTCACCTCTGTGAGTTGAATGCAGTCATCACAGGAAACATTCTGAGAATGCTTCTGTCTAGGTTTGATGTGAAGATATACCCTTTTCGAAGGAAGGCCACAAAGTGGTCCAAATATCCACTTGCAGATTCTACAAAAAGAGTGTTTGAAAGCTGAACTATGAAAGCAAGGTGCAAATCCTGTGAGTTGAATGCAAACATCACAAAGAAGTTTCTCAGAATGCTTTCCGTGTAGTTCTGGGAAGTTTATCCCGTTTCCAACGAAATCCTCAGAGAAGTCCAAATATCCACTTGCAGATTCTACAGAAAGTGGGTTTGGAAACTGCTCCATCTAAAGGAATGTTCAGCTCTGTTAGTTCAATCCAATGATCACTAAGAATTGTCTGTGAATGCTTCCGTTTGGTTTTTAGATGAAGTTATTTCCTTTACTACAGTAGGCCTCAAAGCAGTCCAAATCTCCAATCGCAGATTCTACAAAAAGATTGTTTACAACCTGCTCTATCTATAGGAATGTTCAACTCTGTGAGTCGAATGCAATCATCACAAAGTAGTTTCTGAGAATGCTTCCATCTAGTTTTTATGTGAAGATTTTCCTTTTCCACCACAGGCCTCAAAGCCCTCCAAATGTCCACTTGCAGATTCTAGAATAAGAGGGTTTTAGAGCTGCTCTGTCAAGAGGAAAGTTCAATTCCTGAAGTGGAACACAAACATCACAAAGCAGTTTCTGAGAATGCTTCTGTTTAGTTTTTCTGTGAAGATGAACCCGTTTCCAACGAAATCTTTACAGAGGTCCACATATCCACTTGCAGAATCCAAAGAAAGAGAGTTTCAAAACTGCTCCATCAGCAGGATTGTTCACCTCTGTGAGTTGAATGCAGTCATCACAGGAAACATTCTGAGAATGCTTCTGTCTAGGTTTGATGTGAAGATATACTCGTTTCGAAGGAAGGCCACAAAGTGGTCCAAATATCCACATGCAGATTCTACAAAAAGAGTGTTTGAAAGCTGAACTATGAAAGCAAGGTTCAACTCTGTGAGTTGAATGCAAACATCACAAAGAATTTTCTCACAATGCTTCCGTGTAGTTCTGGGAAGTTTATCCCGTTTCCAACGAAATCCTCAGAGAAGTCCAAATATCCACTTGCAGATTCTACAGAAAGTGTGTTTGGAAACTGCGCCATCTAAAGGAATGTTCAGCTCTGTTAGTTCAATGCAATGATCACTAAGAATTGTCTGTGAATGCTTCCGTTTGGTTTTTAGATGAAGTTATTTCCTTTACTACAGTAGGCCTCAAAGCAGTCCAAATCTCCAATCGCAGATTCTACAAAAAGATTGTTTACAACCTGCTCTATCTATAGGAATGTTCAACTATGTGAGTCGAATGCCATCATCACAAAGTAGTTTCTGAGAATGCTTCCATCTAGTTTTTATGTGAAGATTTTCCTTTTCCACCACAGGCCTCAAAGCCCTCCAAATGTCCACTTGCAGATTCTAGAATAAGAGGGTTTCAGAGCTGCTCTGTCAAGAGGAAAGTTCAATTCCTGAAGTGGAACACAAATATCACAAAGCAGTTTCTGAGAATGCTCCTGTTTAGTTTTTCTATGAAGATGAACCCGTTTCCAACGAAATCTTCACAGAGGTCCACATATCCACCTGCAGAATCCAAAGAAAGAGAGTTTCAAAACGGCTCGATCAACAGGATTGTTCACCTCTGTGAGTTGAATGCAGTCATCACAGGAAACATTCTGAGAATGCTTCTGTCTAGGTTTGATGTGAAGATATACCCGTTTCGAAGGAAGGCCACAAAGTGGTCCAAATATCCACTTGCAGATTCTACAAAAAGAGTGTTTGAAAGCTGAACTATGAAAGCAAGGTTCCACTCTGTGAGTTGAATGCAAACATCACAAAGAAGTTTCTCAGCATGCTTCCGTGTAGTTCTGGGAAGTTTAGCCCGTTTCCAACGAAATCCTCAGAGAGGTCCAAATATCCAGTGGCAGATTCTACAGAAAGTGTGTTTGGAAACTGCGCCATCTAAAGGAATGTTCAGCTCTGTTAGTTCAATCCAATGATCACTAAGAATTGTCTGTGAATGCTTCCGTTTGGTTTTTAGATGAAGTTATTTCCTTTACTACAGTAGGCCTCAAAGCAGTCCAAATCTCCAATCGCAGATTCTACAAAAAGATTGTTTACAACCTGCTCTATCTATAGGAATGTTCAACTCTGTGAGTCGAATGCAATCATCACAAAGTAGTTTCTGAGAGTGTTTCCATCTAGTTTTTATGTGAACATTTTCCTTTTCCACCACAGGCCTCAAAGCCCTCCAAATGTCCACTTGCAGATTCTAGAAAAAGAGGGTTTCAGAGCTGTTCTGTCAAGAGGAAAGTTCAATTCTTGAAGTGGAACACAAACATCACAAAGCAGTTTCTGAGAATGCTTCTGTTTAGTTTTTCTGTGAAGATGCACCCGTTTCCAACGAAATCTTCACAGAGGTCCACATATCCACTTGCAGAATCCAAAGAAAGAGAGTTTCAAAACAGCTCCATCAGCAGGATTGTTCACCTCTGTGAGTTGAATGCAGTCATCACAGGAAACATTCTGAGAATGCTTCTGTCTAGGTTTGATGTGAAGATATACCCGTTTCGAAGGAAGGCCACAAAGTGGTCCAAATATCCACTTGCAGATTCTACAAAAAGAGTGTTTGGAAGCTGAACTATGAAAGCAAGGTTCAACTCTGTGAGTTGAATGCAAACATCACAAAGAAGTTTCTCAGAATGCTTCCGTGTAGTTCTGGGAAGTTTATCCCATTTCCAACGAAATCCTCAGAGAAGTCCAAATATCCACTTGCAGATTCTACAGAAAGTGTGTTTGGAAACTGTTCCATCTAAAGGAATGTTCAGCTCTGTTAGTTCAATCCAATGATCACTAAGAATTTTCTGTGAATGCTTCCGTTTGGTTTTTAGATGAAGTTATTTCCTTTACTACAGTAGGCCTCAAAGCAGTCCAAATCTCCAATCGCAGATTCTACAAAAAGATTGTTTACAACCTGCTCTATCTATAGGAATGTTCAACTCTGTGAGTCGAATGCAATCATCACAAAGTAGTTTCTGAGAATGCTTCCATCTAGTTTTTATGTGAAGATTGTCCTTTTCCACCACAGGCCTCAAAGCCCTCCAAATGTCCACTTGCAGATTCTAGAATAAGAGGGTTTCAGAGCTGCTCTGTCAAGAGGAAAGTTCAATTCTTGAAGTGGAACACAAATATCACAAAGCAGTTTCTGAGAATGCTTCTGTTTAGTTTTTCTGTGAAGATGAACCCGTTTCCAACGAAATCTTCACAGAGGTCTACATATCCACTTGCAGAATCCAAAGAAAGAGAGTTTCAAAACTGCACCATCAACAGGATTGTTCACCTCTGTGAGTTGAATGCAGTCATCACAGGAAACATTCTGAGAATGCTTCTGTCTAGGTTTGATGTGAAGATATACCCGTTTCGAAGGAAGGCCACAAAGTGGTCCAAATATCCACTTGCAGATTCTACAAAAAGAGTGTTTGAAAGCTGAACTATGAAAGCAAGGTTCAACTCTGTGAGTTGAATGCAAACATCACAAAGAAGTTTCTCACAATGCTTCCGTGTAGTTCTGGGAAGTTTATCCCGTTTCCAACGAAATCCTCAGAGAAGTCCGAATATCCACTTGCAGATTCTACAGAAAGTGGGTTTGGAAACTGCTCCATCTAAAGGAATGTTCAGCTCTGTTAGTTCAAACCAATGATCACTAAGAATTGTCTGTGAATGATTCCGTTTGGTTTTTAGATGAAGTTATTTCCTTTACTACAGTAGGCCTCAAAGCAGTCCAAATTTCCAATCGCAGATTCTACAAAAAGATTGTTTACAACCTGCTCTATCTATAGGAATGTTCAACTCTGTGAGTCGAATGCAATCATCACAAAGTAGTTTCTGAGAATGCTTCCATCTAGTTTTTATGTGAAGATTTTCCTTTTGCACCACAGGCCTCAAAGCCCTCCAAATGTCCACTTGCAGATTCTAGAAAAAGAGGGTTTCAGAGCTGCTCTGTCAAGAGGAAAGTTCAATTCTTGATGTGGAACACAAACATCACAAAGCAGTTTTCTGAGAATGCTCCTGTTTAGTTTTTCTGTGAAGATGAACCCGTTTCCAACGAAATCTTCACAGAGGTCCACATATCCACTTGCAGAATCCAAAGGAAGAGAGTTTCAAAACTGCTCCATCAACAGGATTGTTCACCTCTGTGAGTTGAATGCAGTCATCACAGGAAACATTCTGAGAATGCTTCTGTCTAGGTTTGATGTGAAGATATACCCGTTTCGAAGGAAGGCCACAAAGTGGTCCAAATATCCACTTGCAGATTCTACAAAAAGAGTGTTTGAAAGCTGAACTATGAAAGCAAGGTTCAACTCTGTGAGTTGAATGCAAACATCACAAAGAAGTTTCTCACAATGCTTCCGTGTAGTTCTGGGAAGTTTATCCCGTTTCCAACGAAATCCTCAGAGAAGTCCAAATATCCAGTTGCAGATTCTACAGAAAGTGTGTTTGGAAACTGCTCCATCTAAAGGAATGTTCAGCTGCTGTTAGTTCAATCCAATGATCACTAAGAATTGTCTGTGAATGCTTCCGTTTGGTTTTTAGATGAAGTTATTTCCTTTACTACAATAGGCCTCAAAGCAGTCCAAATCTCCAATCACAGATTCTACAAAAAGATTGTTTACAACCTGCTCTATCTATAGGAATGTTCAACTCTGTGAGTCGAATGCAATCATCACAGAGTACTTTCTGAGAATGCTTCCATCTAGTTTTTATGTGAAGATTTTCCTTTTCCACCACAGGCCTCAAAGCCCTCCAAATGTCCACTTGCAGATTCTAGAAAAAGAGGGTTTCAGAGCTGCTCTGTCAAGAGGAAAGTTCAATTCGTGAAGTGGAACACAAACATCACAAAGCAGTTTCTGAGAATGCTTCTGTTTAGTTTTTCTGTGAAGATGAACCCGTTTCCAAAGAAATCTTCACAGAGGTCCACATATCCACTTGCAGAATCCAAAGAAAGAGAGTTTCAAAACTGCTCCATCAGCAGGATTGTTCACCTCTGTGAGTTGAATGCAGTCATCACAGGAAACATTCTGAGAATGCTTCTGTCTAGGTTTGATGTGAAGATATACCCGTTTCGAAGGAAGGCCACAAAGTGGTCCAAATATCCACTTGCAGATTCTACAAAAAGAGTGTTTGAAAGCTGAACTATGAAAGCAAGGTTCAACTCTGTGAGTTGAATGCAAACATCACAAAGAAGTTTCTCAGAATGCTTCCGTGTAGTTCTGGGAAGTTTATCCCGTTTGCAACGAAATCCTCAGAGAGGTCCAAATATCCACTTGCGGATTCTACAGAAAGTGTGTTTGGAAACTGCTCCATCTAAAGGAATGTTCAGCTCTGTTAGTTCAATGCAATGATCACTAAGAATTGTCTGTGAATGCTTCCATTTTGGTTTTTAGATGAAGTTATTTCCTTTACTACAGTAGGCCTCAAAGCAGTCCAAATCTCCAATCGCAGATTCTACAAAAAGATTGTTTACAACCTGCTCTATCTATAGGAATGTTCAACTCTGTGAGTCGAATGCAATCATCACAAAGTAGTTTCTGAGAATGCTTCCATCTAGTTTTTATGTGAAGATTTTCCTTTTCCGCCACATGCCTCAAAGCCCTCCAAATGTCCACTTGCAGATTCTAGAAAAAGAGGGTTTCAGAGCTGGTCTGTCAAGAGGAAAGTTCAATTCTTGAAGTGGAACACAAACATCACAAAGTAGTTTCTGAGAATGCTCCTGTTTAGTTTTTCTGTGAAGATGAACCCGTTTCCAACGAAATCTTCACAGAGGTCCACATATCCACTTGCAGAATCCAAAGAAAGAGAGTTTCAAAACTGCTCCATCAGCAGGATTGTTCACCTCTGTGAGTTGAATGCAGTCATCACAGGAAACATTCTGAGAATGCTTCTGTCTAGGTTTGATGTGAAGATATACCCGTTTCGAAGGAAGGCCACAAAGTGGTCCAAATATGCACTTGCAGATTCTACAAAAAGAGTGTTTGAAAGCTGAACTATGAAAGCAAGGTTCAACTCTGTGAGTTGAATGCAAACATCACAAAGAATTTTCTCACAATGCTTCCGTGTAGTTCTGGGAAGTTTATCCCGTTTCCAACGAAATCCTCAGAGAGGTCCAAATATCCACTTGCAGATTCTACAGAAAGTGTGTTTGGAAACTGCGCCATCTAAAGGAATGTTCAGCTCTGTTAGTTCAATGCAATGATCACTAAGAATTGTCTGTGAATCCTTCCGTTTGGTTTTTAGATGAAGTTATTTCCTTTACTACAGTAGGCCTCAAAGCAGTCCAAATCTCCAATCGCAGATTCTACAAAAAGATTGTTTACAACCTGCTCTATCTATAGGAATGTTCAACTCTGTGAGTCGAATGCAATCATCAGAAAGTAGTTTCTGAGAATGCTTCCATCTAGTTTTTATGTGAAGATTTTCCTTTTCCACCACAGGCCTCAAAGCCCTCCAAATGTCCACTTGCAGATTCTAGAAAAAGAGGGTTTCAGAGCTGCTCTGTCAAGAGGAAAGTTCAATTCTTGAAGTGGAACACAAACATCACAAAGCAGTTTCTGAGAATGCTTCTGTTTAGTTTTTCTGTGAAGATGAACCCGTTTCCAACGAAATCTTCACAGAGGTCCACATATCCACTGGCAGAATCCAAAGAAAGAGAGTTTCAAAACTGCTCCATCAACAGGATTGTTCACCTCTGTGAGTTGAATGCAGTCATCACAGGAAACATTCTGAGAATGCTTCTGTCTAGGTTTGATGTGAAGATATACCCGTTTCGAAGGAAGGCCACAAAGTGGTCCAAATATCCACTTGCAGATTCTACAAAAAGAGTGTTTGAAAGCTGAACTATGAAAGCAAGGTTCAACTCTGTGAGTTGAATGCAAACATCACAAAGAAGTTTCTCAGAATGCTTCCGTGTAGTTCTGGGAAGTTTATCCCGTTTCCAACGAAATCCTCAGAGAAGTCCAAATATCCACTTGCAGATTCTACAGAAAGTGTGTTTGGAAACTGCTCCATCTAAAGGAATGTTCAGCTCTGTCAGTTCAATGCAATGATCACTAAGAATTGTCTGTGAATGCTTCCGTTTGGTTTTTAGATGAAGTTATTTCCTTTACTACAGTAGGCCTCAAAGCAGTCCAAATCTCCAATCACAGATTCTACAAAAAGACTGTTTACAACCTGCTCTATCTATAGGAATGTTCAACTCTGTGAGTTGAATGCAATCATCACAAAGTAGTTTCTGAGAATGCTTCCATCTAGTTTTTATGTGAAGATTTTCCTTTTCCACCACAGGCCTCAAAGCCCTCCAAATGTCCACTTGCAGATTCTAGAATAAGAGGGTTTTAGAGCTGCTCTGTCAAGAGGAAAGTTCAATTCCTGAAGTGGAACACAAACATCACAAAGCAGTTTCTGAGAATGCTCCTGTTTAGTTTTTCTGTGAAGATGAACCCGTTTCCAACGAAATCTTCACAGAGGTCCACATATCCACTTGCAGAATCCAAAGAAAGAGAGTTTCAAAACTGCTCCATCAACAGGATTGTTCACCTCTGTGAGTTGAATGCAGTCATCACAGGAAACATTCTGCGAATGCTTCTGTCTAGGTTTGATGTGAAGATATACCCGTTTCGAAGGAAGGCCACAAAGTGGTCCAAATATCCACTTGCAGATTCTACAAAAAGAGTGTTTGAAAGCTGAACTATGAAAGCAAGGTTCAACTCTGTGAGTTGAATGCAAACATCACAAAGAAGTTTCTCAGAATGCTTCCGTGTAGTTCTCAGAAGTTTATCCCGTTTCCAACGAAATCCTCAGAGAAGTCCAAATATCCACTTGCAGATTCTACAGAAAGTCTTTTGGAAACTGCGCCATCTAAAGGAATGTTCAGCTCTGTTAGTTCAATCCAGTGAACACTAAGAATTGTCTTTGAATGCTTCCGTTTGGTTTTTAGATGAAGTTATTTCCTTTACTACAGTAGGCCTCAAAGCAGTCCAAATCTCCAATCGCAGATTCTACAAAAAGATTGTTTACAACCTGCTCTATCTATAGGAATGTTCAACTCTGTGAGTCGAATGCAATCATCACAAAGTAGTTTCTGAGAATGCTTCCATAAAGTTTTTATGTGAAGATTTTCCTTTTCCACCACAGGCCTCAAAGCCCTCCAAATGTCCACTTGCAGATTCTAGAAAAAGAGGGTTTCAGAGCTGCTCTGTCAAGAGGAAAGTTCAATTCTTTAAGTGGAACACAAACATCACAAAGCAGTGTCTGAGAATGCTCCTGTTTAGTTTTTCTGTGAAGATGAACCCGTTTCCAACGAAATCTTCACAGAGGTCCACATATCCACTTGCAGAATCCAAAGAAAGAGAGTTTCAAAACTGCTCCATCAGCAGGATTGTTCACCTCTGTGAGTTGAATGCAGTCATCACAGGAAACATTCTGAGAATGCTTCTGTCTAGGTTTGATGTGAAGATATACCCGTTTCGAAGGAAGGCCACAAAGTGGTCCAAATATCCACTTGCAGATTCTACAAAAAGAGTGTTTGAAAGCTGAACTATGAAAGCAAGGTTCAACTCTGTGAGTTGAATGAAAACATCACAAAGAAGTTTCTCAGAATGCTTCCGTGTAGTTCTGGGAAGTTTATCCCGTTTCCAACGAAATCCTCAGAGAAGTCCAAATATCCACTTGCAGATTCTACAGAAAGTGGGTTTGGAAACTGCTCCATCTAAAGGAATGTTCAGCTCTGTTAGTTCAATCCAATGATCACTAAGAATTGTCTGTGAATGCTTCCGTTTGGTTTTTAGATGAAGTTATTTCCTTTACTACAGTAGGCCTCAAAGCAATCCAAATCTCCAATCGCAGATTCTACAAAAACATTGTTTACAACCTGCTCTATCTATAGGAATGTTCAACTCTGTGAGTCGAATGCAATCATCACAAAGTAGTTTCTGAGAATGCTTCCATCTAGTTTTTATGTGAAGATTTTCCTTTTCCACCACAGGCCTCAAAGCCCTCCAAATGTCCACTTGCAGATTCTAGAAAAAGAGGGTTTCAGAGCTGCTCTGTCAAGAGGAAAGTTCAATTCTTGAAGTGGAACACAAACATCACAAAGCAGTTTCTGAGAATGCTTCTGTATAGTTTTTCTGTGAAGATGAACCCGTTTCCAACGAAATCTTCACAGAGGTCCACATATCAACTTGCAGAATCCAAAGAAAGAGAGTTTCAAAACTGGTCCATCAGCAGGATTGTTCACCTCTGTGAGTTGAATGCAGTCATCACAGGAAACATTCTGAGAATGCTTCTGTCTAGGTTTGATGTGAAGATATACCCGTTTCGAAAGAAGGCCACAAAGTGGTCCAAATATCCACTTGCAGATTCTACAAAAAGAGGGTTTGAAAGCTGAACTATGAAAGCAAGTTTCAACTCTGTGAGTTGAATGCAAACATCACAAAGAAGTTTCTCAGAATGCTTCCGTGTAGTTCTGGGAAGTTTATCCCGTTTCCAACGAAATCCTCAGAGAGGTCCAAATATCCACTTGCAGATTCTACAGAAAGTGTGTTTGGAAACTACGCCATCTAAAGGAATGTTCAGCTCTGTTAGATCAATGCAATGTTCACTAAGAATTGTCTGTGAATGCTTCCGTTTGGTTTTTAGATGAAGTTATTTCCTTTACTACAGTAGGCCTCAAAGCAGTCCAAATCTCCAATCGCAGATTCTACAAAAAGATTGTTTACAACCTGCTCTATCTATAGGAATGTTCAACTCTGTGAGTCGAATGCAATCATCACAAACTAGTTTCTGAGAATGCTTCCATCTAGTTTTTATGTGAAGATTATCCTTTTCAACCACAGGCCTCAAAACCCTCCAAATGTCCACTTGCAGATTCTAGAATAAGAGGGCTTCAGAGCTGCTCTGTCAAGAGGAAAGTTCAATTCCTGAAGTGGAACAAAAACATCACAAAGCAGTTTCTGAGAATGCTTCTGTTTAGTTTTTCTGTGAAGATGAACCCGTTTCCAACGAAATCTTCACAGAGGTCCACATATCAACTTGCAGAATCCAAAGAAAGAGAGTTTCAAAACTGCTCCATCAACAGGATTGTTCACCTCTGTGAGTTGAATGCAGTCATCACAGGAAACATTCTGAGAATGCTTCTGTCTAGGTTTGATGTGAAGATATACCCGTTTCGAAGGAAGGCCACAAAGTTGTCCAAATATCCACTTGCAGATTCTACAAAAAGAGTGTTTGAAAGCTGAACTATGAAAGCAAGGTTCAACTCTGTGAGTTGAATGCAAACATCACAAAGATGTTTCTCAGAATACTTCCGTGTAGTTCTGGGAAGTTTATAACCTTTCCAACGAAATCCTCAGTGATGTCCAAATATCCACTTGCAGATTCTACAGAAAGTGTGTTTGGAAACTGCTCCATATAAAGGAATGTTCAGCTCTGTTAGTTCAATCCAATGATCACTAAGAATTGTCTGTGAATGCTTCCGTTTGGTTTTTAGATGAAGTTATTTCCTTTGCTACAGTAGGCCTCAAAGCAGTCCAAATCTCCAATCGCAGATTCTACAAAAAGATTGTTTACAACCTGCTCTATCTATAGGAATGTTCAACTCTGTGAGTCGAATGCAATCATCACAAAGTAGTTTCTGAGAATGCTTCCGTCTAGTTTTTATGTGAAGAGTTTCCTTTTCCACCACAGGCCTCAAAGCCCTCCAAATGTCCACTTGCAGATTCTAGAAAAAGAGGGTTTCAGAGCTGCTCTCTCAAGAGGAAATTTCAATTCCTGAAGTGGAACACAAACATCACAAAGCAGTTTCTGAGAATGCTCCTGTTAAGTTTTTCTGTGAAGATGAACCCGTTTCCAACGAAATCTTCACAGAGGTCCACATATCCAATTGCAGAATCCAAAGAAAGAGAGTTTCAAAACTGCTCCATCAGCAGGATTGTTCACCTCTGTGAGTTGAATGCAGTCATCACAGGAAACATTCTGAGAATGCTTCTGTCTATGTTTGATGTGAAGATATACCCGTTTCGAAGGAAGGCCACAAAGTGGTCCAAATATCCACTTGCAGATTCTACAAAAAGAGTGTTTGAAAGCTGAACTATGAAAGCAAGGTTCAACTCTGTGAGTTGAATGCAAACATCACAAAGAAGTTTCTCAGCATGCTTCCGTGTAGTTCTGGGAAGTTTATCCCGTTTCCAACGAAATCCTCAGAGAGGTCCAAATATCCAGTTGCAGATTCTACAGAAAGTGTGTTTGGAAACTGCGCCATCTAAAGGAATGATCAGCTCTCTTAGTTCAAACCAACCATCACAAAGAATTGTCTGTGAATGCTTCCGTTTGATTTTTAGATGAAGTTATTTCCTTTACTACAGTAGGCCTCAAAGCAGTCCAAATCTCCAATCGCAGATTCTACAAAAAGATTGTTTACATCCTGCTCTATCTATAGGAATGTTCAACATTGTGAGTCGAATGCAATCATCACAAAGTAGTTTCTAAGAATGCTTCCATCTAGTTTTTATGTGAAGATTTTCCTTTTCCACCACAGGCCTCAAAGCCCTCCAAATGTCCACTTGCAGATTATAGAAAAAGAGGGTTTCAGAGCTGCTCTGTCAAGAGGAAAGTTCAATTCTTGAAGTGGAACACAAACATCACAAAGCAGTTTCTGAGAATGCTCCTGTTTAGTTTTTCTGTGCAGTTGAACCCGTTTCCAACGAAATCTTCACAGAGGTCCACATATCCACTTGCAGAATCCAAAGAAAGAGAGTTTCAAAACTGCTCCATCAACAGGATTGTTCACCTCTGTGAGTTGAATGCAGTCATCACAGGAAACATTCTCAGAATGCTTCTGTCTAGGTTTGATGTGAAGATATACCCGTTTCGAAGGAAGGCCACAAAGTGGTCCAAATATCCACTTTCTGTAGATTCTACAAAAAGAGTGTTTGAAAGCTGAACTATGAAAGCAAGGTTCAACTCTGTGAGTTGAATGCAAACATCACAAAGAAGTTTCTCAGAATGCTTCCGTGTAGTTCTGGGAAGTTTATCCCGTTTCCAACGAAATCCTCAGAGAGGTCCAAATATCCACTTGCAGATTCTACAGAAAGTGTGTTTGGAAACTGCTCCATCTAAAGGAATGTTCAGCTCTGTTAGTTCAATCCAATGATCACTAAGAATTGTCTGTGAATGCTTCCGTTGGGTTTTTACATGAAGTTATTTCCTTTACTACAGTAGGCCTCAAAGCAGTCCAAATCTCCAATCGCAGATTCTACAAACAGATTGTTTACAACCTGCTCTATCTGTAGGAAAGTTCAACTCTGTGAGTCGAATGCAATCATCAGAAAGTAGTTTCTGAGAATGCTTCCATCTAGTTTTTATGTGAAGATTTTCCTTTTCCACCACAGGCCTCACAGCCCTCCAAATGTCCACTTGCAGATTCTAGAAAAAGAGGGTTTCAGAGCTGCTCTGTCAAGAGGAAAGTTCAATTCCTGAAGTGGAACACAAACATCACAAAGCAGTTTCTGAGAATGCTTCTGTTTAGTTTTTCTGTGAAGATGAACCCGTTTCCAACGAAATCTTCACAGAGGTCCACATATCCACTTGCAGAATCCAAAGAAGGAGAGTTTCAAAACTGCTCCATCAGCAGGATTGTTCACCTCTGTGAGTTGAATGCAGTCATCACAGGGAAACATTCTGAGAATGCTTCTGTCTAGGTTTGATGTGAAGATATACCCGTTTCGAAGGAAGGCCACAAAGTGGTCCAAATATCCACTTGCAGATTCTACAAAAAGAGTGTTTGAAAGCTGAACTATGAAAGCAAGGTTCAACTCTGTGAGTTGAATGCAAACATCACAAAGAAGTTTCTCAGCATGCTTCCGTGTAGTTCTGGGAAGTTTATCCCGTTTCCAACGAAATCCTCAGAGAAGTCCAAATATCCACTTGCAGATTCTGCAGAAAGTGTGTTTGGAAACTGCTCCATCTAAAGGAATGTTCAGCTCTGTTAGTTCAATCCAATGATCACTAAGAATTGTCTGTGAATGCTTCCGTTTGGTTTTTAGATGAAGTTATTTCCTTTACTACAGTAGGCCTCAAAGCAGTCCAAATCTCCAATCGCAGATTCTACAAAAAGATTGTTTACAACCTGCTCTATCTATAGGAATGTTCAACTCTGTGAGTCGAATGCAATCATCACAAAGTAGTTTCCTGAGAATGCTTCCATCTAGTTTTTATGTGAAGATTTCCTTTTCCACCACAGGACCCAAAACCCTCCAAATGTCCACTTGCAGATTCTAGAAAAAGAGGTTTTCAGAGCTGCTCTATCAAGAGGAAAGTTCAATTCCTGAAGTGGAACACAAACATCACAAAGCAGTTTCTGAGAATGCTCCTGTTTAGTTTTTCTGTGAAGATGAACCCGTTTCCAACGAAATCTTCACAGAGGTCCACATATCCACTTGCAGAATCCAAAGAAAGAGAGTTTCAAAACTGCTCCATCAGCAGGATTGTTCACCTCTGTGAGTTGAATGCAGTCATCACAGGAAACATTCTGAGAATGCTTCTGTCTAGGTTTGATGTGAAGATATACCCGTTTCGAAGGAAGGCCACAAAGTGGTCCAAATATCCACTTGCAGATTCTACAAAAAGAGTGTTTGAAAGCTGAACTATGAAAGCAAGGTTCAACTCTGTGAGTTGAATGCAAACATCACAAAGAAGTTTCTCAGAATGCTTCCGTGTAGTTCTGGGAAGTTTATCCCGTTTCCAACGAAATCCTCAGAGAAGTCCAAATATCCACTTGCAGATTCTACAGAAATTGTGTTTGGAAACTGCTCCATCTAAAGGAATGTTCAGCTCTGTTAGTTCAATCCAATGATCACTAAGAATTGTCTGTGAATGCTTCCGTTTGGTTTTTAGATGAAGTTATTTCCTTTACTACAGTAAGCCTCAAAGCAGTCCAAATCTCCAATCGCAGATTCTACAAAAAGATTGTTTACAACCTGCTCTATCTATAGGAATGTTCAACTCTGTGAGTCGAATGCAATCATCACAAAGTAGTTTCTGAGAATGCTTCCATCTAGTTTTTATGTGAAGATTTTCCTTTTCCACCACAGGCCTCAAAGCCCTCCAAATGTCCACTTGCAGATTCTACAAAAAGAGGGTTTCAGAGCTGCTCTGTCAAGAGGAAAGTTCAATTCCTGAAGTGGAACACAAACATCACAAAGCAGTTTCTGAGAATGCTTCTGTTTAGTTTTTCTGTGAAGATGAACCCGTTTCCAACGAAATCTTCACAGAGGTCCACATATCAACTTGCAGAATCCAAAGAAAGAGAGTTTCAAAACTGCTCCATCAACAGGATTGTTCACCTCTGTGAGTTGAATGCAGTCATCACAGGAAACATTCTGAGAATGCTTCTGTCTAGGTTTGATGTGAAGATATACCCGTTTCGAAGGAAGGCCACAAAGTGGTCCAAATATCCACTTGCAGATTCTACAAAAAGAGTGTTTGAAAGCTGAACTATGAAAGCAAGGTTCAACTCTGTGAGTTGAATGCAAACATCACAAATAAGTTTCTCAGCATGCTTCCGTGTAGTTCTGGGAAGTTTATCCCGTTTCCAACGAAATCCTCAGAGAAGTCCAAATATCCACTTGCAGATTCTACAGAAAGTGTGTTTGGAAACTGCTCCATCTAAAGGAATGTTCAGCTCTGTTAGTTCAATGCAATGATCACTAAGAATTGTCTGTGAATGCTTCCGTTTGGTTTTTAGATGAAGTTATTTCCTTTACTACAGTAGGCCTCAAAGCAGTCGAAATCTCCAATCGCAGATTCTACAAAAAGATTGTTTACAACCTGCTCTATCTATAGGAATGTTCAACTCTGTGAGTCGAATGCAATCATCACAAAGTAGTTTCTGAGAATGCTTCCATCTAGTTTTTATGTGAAGATTTTCCTTTTCCACCACAGGCCTCAAAGCCCTCCAAATGTCCACTTGCAGATTCTAGAAAAAGAGGGTTTCAGAGCTGCTCTGTCAAGAGGAAAGTTCAATTCCTGAAGTGGAACAAAAACTTCACAAAGCAGCTTCTGAGAATGCTCCTGTTTAGTTTTTCTGTGAAGATGAACCCGTTTCCAACGAAATCTTCACAGAGGTCCACATATCCAGCTGCAGAATCCAAAGAAAGAGAGTTTCAAAACTGCTCCATCAGCAGGATTGTTCACCTCTGTGAGTTGAATGCAGTCATCACAGGAAACATTCTGGGAATGCTTCTGTCTAGGTTTGATGTGAAGATATACCCGTTTCGAAGGAAGGCCACAAATTGGTCCAAATATCCACTTGCAGATTCTACAAAAAGAGTGTTTGAAAGCTGAACTATGAAAGCAAGGTTCAACTGTGTGAGTTGAATGCAAACATCACAAAGAAGTTTCTCAGAATGCTCCGTGTAGTTCTGGGAAGTTTATCCCGTTTCCAACGAAATCTTCAGAGAGGTCCAAATATCCACTTGCAGATTCTACAGAAAGTGTGTTTGGAAACTGCGCCATCTAAAGGAATGTTCAGCTCTCTGAGTTCAAACCAACCATCACAAAGGATTGTCTGTGAATGCTTCCGTTTGGTTTTTAGATGAAGTTATTTCCTTTACTACAGTAGGCCTCAAAGCAGTCCAAATCTCCAATCGCAGATTCTACAAAAAGATTGTTTACAACCTGCTCTATCTATAGGAATGTTCAACTCTGTGAGTCGAATGCAATCATCACAAAGTAGTTTCTGAGAATGCTTCCATCTAGTTTTTATGTGAAGATTTTCCTTTTCCACCACAGGCCTCAAACCCCTCCAAATGTCCACTTGCAGATTCTAGAAAAAGAGGGTTTCAGAGCTGCTCTGTGAAGAGGAAAGTTCAATTCTTGAAGTGGAACACAAACATCACAAAGCAGTTTCTGAGAATGCTTCTGTTTAGTTTTTCTGTGAAGATGAACCCGTTTCCAACCAAATCTTCACAGTGGTCCACATATCAACTTGCAGAATCCAAAGAAAGAGAGTTTCAAAACTGCTTCATCAACAGGGATTGTTCACCTCTGTGAGTTGAATGCAGTCATCACAGGAAACATTCTGAGAATGCTTCTGTCTAGGTTTGATGTGAAGATATACCCGTTTCGAAGGAAGGCCACAAAGTGGTCCAAATATCCACTTGCAGATTCTACAAAAAGAGTGTTTGAAAGCTGAACTATGAAAGCAAGGTTCAACTCTGTGAGTTGAATGCAAACATCACAAAGAAGTTTCTCAGAATGCTTCCGTGTAGTTCTGGGAAGTTTATCCCGTTTCCAACGAAATCCTCAGAGAAGTCCAAATATCCACTTGCAGATTCTACAGAAAGTGGGTTTGGAAACTGCTCCATCTAAAGGAATGTTCAGCTCTGTTAGTTCAATCCAATGATCACTAAGAATTGTCTGTGAATGCTTCCGTTTGGTTTTTAGATGAAGTTATTTCCTTTACTACAGTAGGCCTCAAAGCAGTCCAAATCTCCAATCGCAGATTCTACAAAAAGATTGTTTACAACCTGCTCTATCTATAGGAATGTTCAACTCTGTGAGTCGAATGCAATCATCACAAAGTAGTTTCTGAGAATGCTTCCATCTAGTTTTTATGTGAAGATTTTCCTTTTCCACCACAGGCCTCAAAGCCCTCCAAATGTCCACTTGCAGATTCTAGAATAAGAGGGTTGCAGAGCTGCTCTGTCAAGAGGAAAGTTCAATTCCTGAAGTGGAACACAAACATCACAAAGCAGTTTCTGAGAATGCTTCTGTTTAGTTTTTCTGTGAAGATGAACCCGTTTCCAACGAAATCTTCACAGAGGTCCACATATCCACTTGCAGAATCCAAAGAAAGAGAGTTTCGAAACTGCTCCATCAGCAGGATTGTTCACCTCTGTGAGTTGAATGCAGTCATCACAGGAAACATTCTGAGAATGCTTCTGTCTAGGTTTGATGTGAAGATATACCCGTTTCGAAGGAAGGCCACAAAGTGGTCCAAATATCCACTTGCAGATTCTACAAAAAGAGTGTTTGAAAGCTGAACTATGAAAGCAAGGTTCAACTCTGTGAGTTGAATGCAAACATCACAAAGAAGTTTCTCACAATGCTTCCGTGTAGTTCTGGGAAGTATATCCCGTTTCCAACGAAATCTTCAGAGAGGTCCAAATATCCACTTGCACATTCTACAGAAAGTGGGTTTGGAAACTGCTCCATCTAAAGGAATGTTCAGCTCTGTTAGTTCAATCCAATGATCACTAAGAATTGTCTGTGAATGCTTCCGTTTGGTTTTTAGATGAAGTTATTTCCTTTACTACAGTAGGCCTCAAAGCAGTCCAAATCTCCAATCGCAGATTCTACAACAAGATTGTTTACAACCTGCTCTATCTATAGGAATGTTCAACTCTGTGAGTCGAATGCAATCATCACAAAGTAGTTTCTGAGAATGCTTCCATCTAGTTTTTATGTGAAGATTTTCCTTTTCCACCACAGGCCTCAAAGCCCTCCAAATGTCCACTTGCAGATTCTAGAATAAGAGGGTTTGAGAGCTGCTCTGTCAAGAGGAAAGTTCAATTCTTGAAGTGGAACACAAACATCACAAAGCAGTTTCTGAGAATGCTTCTGTTTAGTTTTTCTGTGAAGATGAACCCGTTTCCAACGAAATCTTCACAGAGGTCCACATATCCACTTGCAGAATCCAAAGAAAGAGAGTTTCAAAACTGCTCCATCAGCAGGATTGTTCACCTCTGTGAGTTGAATGCAGTCATCACAGGAAACATTCTGAGAATGCTTCTGTCTAGGTTTGATGTGAAGATATACCCGTTTCGAAGGAAGGCCACAAAGTGGTCCAAATATCCACTTGCAGATTCTACAAAAAGAGTGTTTGAAAACTGAACTATGAAAGCAAGGTTCAACTCTGTGAGTTGAATGCAAACATCACAAAGAAGTTCTCAGAATACTTCCGTGTAGTTCTGGGAAGTTTAGCCCGTTTCCAACGAAATCCACAGAGAGGTCCAAATATCCACTTGCAGATTCTACAGAAAGTGTGTTTGGAAACTGCTCCATCTAAAGGAATGTTCAGCTCTGTTAGTTCAATCCAATGATCACTAAGAATTTTCTGTGAATGCTTCCGTTTGGTTTTTAGATGAAGTTATTCCCTTTACTACAGTAGGCCTCAAAGCAGTCCAAATCTCCAATCGCAGATTCTACAAAAAGATTGTTTACAACCTGCTCTATCTATAGGAATGTTCAACTCTGTGAGTCGAATGCAATCATCACAAAGTAGTTTCTGAGAATGCTTCCATCAAGTTTTTATGTGAAGATTTTCCTTTTCCACCACAGGCCTCACAGCCCTCCAAATGTCCACTTGCAGATTCTAGAAAAAGAGGGTTTCAGAGCTGCTCTGTCAAGAGGAAAGTTCAATTCTTGAAGTGGAACACAAACATCACAAAGCAGTTTCGGAGAATGCTT
This sequence comes from Homo sapiens, assembly GCF_000001405.40. Taxonomy (NCBI): domain Eukaryota; kingdom Metazoa; phylum Chordata; class Mammalia; order Primates; family Hominidae; genus Homo; species Homo sapiens. The sequence goes on along the minus strand of NC_000011.10, from coordinate 54,265,706 downwards.
CTGTTTAGTTTTTCTGTGAAGATGAACCCGTTTCCAACGAAATCTTCACAGAGGTCCACATATCCACTTGCAGAATCCAAAGAAAGGGAGTTTCAAAACTGCTCCATCAGCAGGATTGTTCACCTCTGTGAGTTGAATGCAGTCATCACAGGAAACATTCTGAGAATGCTTTCTGTCTAGGTTTGATGTGAAGATATACCCGTTTCGAAGGAAGGCCACAAAGTGGTCCAAATATCCACTTGCAGATTCTACAAAAAGAGTGTTTGAAAGCTGAACTATGAAAGCAAGGTTCAACTCTGTGAGTTGAATGCAAACATCACAAAGAAGTTTCTCAGAATGCTTTCGTGTAGTTCTGGGAAGTTTATCCCGTTTCCAACGAAATCCTCAGAGAAGTCCAAATATCCACTTGCAGATTCTACAGAAAGTGGGTTTGGAAACTGCTCCATCTAAAGGAATGTTCAGCTCTGTTAGTTCAATCCAATGATCACTAAGAATTGTCTGTGAATGCTTCCGTTTGGTTTTTAGATGAAGTTATTTCCTTTACTACAGTAGGCCTCAAAGCAGTCCAAATCTCCAATCGCAGATTCTACAAAAAGATTGTTTACAACCTGCTCTATCTATAGGAATGTTCAACTCTGTGAGTCCAATGCAATCATCACAAAGTAGTTTCTGAGAATGCTTCCATCTAGTTTTTATGTGAAGATTTTCCTTTTCCACCACAGGCCTCAAAGCCCTCCAAATGTCCACTTGCAGATTCTAGAAAAAGAGGGTTTCAGAGCTGCTCTGTCAAGAGGAAAGTTCAATTCCTGAAGTGGAACACAAACATCACAAAGCAGTTTCTGAGAATGCTCCTGTTTAGTTTTTCTGTGAAGATGAACGCGTTTCCAACGAAATCTTCACAGAGGTCCACATATCCACTTGCAGAATCCAAAGAAAGAGAGTTTCAAAACTGCTCCATCAGCAGGATTGTTCACCTCTGTGAGTTGAATGCAGTCATCACAGGGAAACATTCTGAGAATGCTTCTGTCTAGGTTTGATGTGAAGATATACCCGTTTCGAAGGAAGGCCACAAAGTGGTCCAAATATCCACTTGCAGATTCTACAAAAAGAGTGTTTGAAAGTTGAACTATGAAAGCAAGGTTCAACTCTGTGAGTTGAATGCAAACATCACAAAGAAGTTTCTCAGAATGCTTCCGTGTAGTTCTGGGATGTTTATCCCATTTCCAACGAAATCCTCAGAGAGGTCCAAATATCCACTTGCAGATTCTACAGAAAGTGTGTTTGGAAACTGCGCCATCTAAAGGAATGTTCAGCTCTGTTAGTTCAATCCAATGATCACTAAGAATTGTCTGTGAATGCTTCCGTTTGGTTTTTAGATGAAGTTATTTCCTTTACTACAGTAGGCCTCAAAGCAGTGCAAATCTCCAATCGCAGATTCTACAAAAAGATTCGTTTACAACCTGCTCTATCTATAGGAATGTTCAACTCTGTGAGTCGAATGCAATCATCACAAAGTAGTTTCTGAGAATGCTTCCATCTAGTTTTTATGTGAAGATTTTCCTTTTCCACCACAGGACTCAAAGCCCTCCAAATATCCACTTGCAGACTCTAGAAAAAGAGGGTTTCAGAGCTGCTCTGTCAAGAGGAAAGTTCAATTCCTGAAGTGGAACACAAACATCACAAAGCAGTTTCTGAGAATGCTTCTGTTTAGTTTTTCTGTGAAGATGAACCCGTTTCCAACGAAATCTTCCCAGAGGTCCACATATCAACTTGCAGAATCCAAAGAAAGAGAGTTTCAAAACTGCTCCATCAACAGGATTGTTCACCTATGTGAGTTGAATGCAGTCATCACAGGAAACATTCTGAGAATGCTCTGTCTAGGTTTGATGTGAAGATATACCCGTTTCGAAGGAAGGCCACAAAGTGGTCCAAATATCCACTTGCAGATTCTACAAAAAGAGTGTTTGAAAGCTGAACTATGAAAGCAAGGTTCAACTCTGTGAGTTGAATGCAAACATCACAAAGAAGTTTCTCAGAATGCTTTCCGTGTAGTTCTGGGAAGTTTATCCCGTTTCCAACGAAATCCTCAGAGAGGTCCAAATATCCACTTGCAGATTCTACAGAAAGTGGGTTTGGAAACTTCTCCATCTAAAGGAATGTTCAGCTCTGTTAGTTCAATCCAATGATCACTAAGAATTGTCTGTGAATGCTTCCGTTTGGTTTTTAGATGAAGTTATTTCCTTTACTACAGTAGGCCTCAAAGCAGTCCAAATCTCCAATCGCAGATTCTACAAAAAGATTGTTTACAACCTGCTCTATCTATAGGAATGTTCAACTCTGTGAGTCGAATGCAATCATCACAAAGTAGTTTCTGAGAATGCTTCCATGTAGTTTTTATGTGAAGATTTTCCTTTTCCACCACAGGCCTCAAAGCCCTCCAAATGTCCACTTGCAGATTCTAGAATAAGAGGGTTTCAGAGCTACTCTGTCAAGAGGAAAGTTCAATTCCTGAAGTGGAACACAAACATCACAAAGCAGTTTCTGAGAATGCTTCCTGTTTAGTTTTTCTGTGAAGATGAACCCGTTTCCAAAGAAATCTTCACAGAGGTCCACATATCCACTTGCAGAATCCAAAGAAAGAGAGTTTCAAAACTGCTCCATCAGCAGGATTGTTCACCTCTGTGAGTTGAATGCAGTCATCACAGGAAACATTGTGAGAATGCTTCTGTCTAGGTTTGATGTGAAGATATACCCGTTTCGAAGGAAAGCCACAAAGTGGTCCAAATATCCACTTGCAGATTCTACAAAAAGAGTGTTTGAAAGTTGAACTATGAAAGCAAGTTTCAACTCTGTGAGTTGAATGCAAACATCACAAAGAAGTTTCTCAGAATGCTGCCGTGTAGTTCTGGGATGTTTATCCCGTTTCCAGCGAAATCCTCAGAGAAGTCCAAATATCCACTTGCAGATTCTACAGAAAGTGTGTTTGGAAACTGCGCCATCTAAACTAATGTTCAGCTCTGTTAGTTCAATCCAATGATCACTAAGAATTGTCTTTGAATACCTCCGTTTGGTTTTTAGATGAAGTTATTTCCTTTACTACAGTAGACTTCAAAGCAGTCCAAATCTCCAATCGCAGATTCTACAAAAAGATTGTTTACAACCTGCTCTATCTATAGGAATGTTCAACTCTGTGAGTCGAATGCAATCATCACAAAGTAGTTTCTGAGAATGCTTCCATCTAGTTTTTATGTGAAGATTTTCCTTTTCCACCACAGGCCTCAAAGCCCTCCAAATGTCCACTTACAGATTCTAGAAAAAGAGGGTTTCAGAGCTGCTCTGTCAAGAGGAAAGTTCAATTCTTGAAGTGGAACACAAACATCACAAAGTAGTTTCTGAGAATGCTTCTGTTTAGTTTTTCTGTGAAGATGAACCCGTTTCCAACGAAATCTTCAAAGAGGTCCACATATCCACTTGCAGAATCCAAAGAAAGAGAGTTTCAAAACTGCTCCATCAACAGGATTGTTCACCTCTGTGAGTTGAATGCAGTCATCACAGGAAACATTCTGAGAATGCTTCTGTCTAGGTTTGATGTGAAGATATACCCGTTTCGAAGGAAGGCCACAAAGTGGTCCAAATATCCACATGCAGATTCTACAAAAAGAGTGTTTGAAAGCTGAACTATGAAAGCAAGTTTCAACTCTGTGAGTTGAATGCAAACATCACAAAGAAGTTTCTCAGAATGCTTCCGTGTAGTTCTGGGAAGTTTATCCCGTTTCCAACGAAATCCTCAGAGAGGTCCAAATATCCACTTGCAGATTCTACAGAAAGTGTGTTTGGAAACTGCTCCATCTAAAGGAATGTTCAGCTCTGTTAGTTCAATCCAATGATCACTAAGAATTGTCTGTGAATGCTTCCGTTTGGTTTTTAGATGAAGTTATTTCCTTTACTACAGTAGGCCTCAAAGCAATCCAAATCTCCAATCGCAGATTCTACAAAAACATTGTTTACAACCTGCTCTATCTATAGGAATGTTCAACTGCTGTGAGTCGAATGCAATCATCACAAAGTAGTTTGCTGAGAATGCTTCCATCTAGTTTTTATGTGAAGATTTTCCTTTTCCACCACAGGCCTCAAAGCCCTCCAAATGTCCACTTGCAGATTCTAGAAAAAGAGGGTTTCAGAGCTGGTCTGTCAAGAGGAAAGTTCAATTCCTGAAGTGGAACACAAACATCACAAAGCAGTTTCTGAGAATGCTCCTGTTTAGTTTTTCTGTGAAGATGAACCCGTTTCCAACGAAATCTTCACAGAGGTCCACATATCCACATGCAGAATCCAAAGAAAGAGAGTTTCAAAACTGCTCCATCAACAGGATTGTTCACCTCTGTGAGTTGAATGCAGTCATCACAGGAAACATTCTGAGAATGCTTCTGTCTAGGTTTGATGTGAAGATATACCCGTTTCGAAGGAAGGCCAAAAAGTGGTCCAAATATCTACTTGCAGATTCTACAAAAAGAGTGTTTGAAAGCTGAACTATGAAAGCAAGGTTCAACTCTGTGAGTTGAATGCAAACATCACAAAGAAGTTTCTCAGAATGCTTCCGTGTAGTTCTGGGAAGTTTATCCCGTTTCCAACGAAATCCTCAGAGAAGTCCAAATATCCACTTGCAGATTCTACAGAAAGTGTGTTTGGAAACTGCTCCATCTAAAGGAATGTTCAGCTCTGTTAGTTCAATCCAATGATCACTAAGAATTGTCTGTGAATGCTTCCGTTTGGTTTTTAGATGAAGTTATTTCCTTTACTACAGTAGGCCTCAAAGCAGTCCAAATCTCCAATCGCAGATTCTACAAAAAGATTGTTTACAACCTGCTCTATCTATAGGAATGTTCAACACTGTGAGTCGAATGCAATCATCAAAAAGTACTTTCTGAGAATGCTTCCATCTAGTTTTTATGTGAAGATTTTCCTTTACCACCACAGGCCTCAAAGCACTCCAAATGTCCACTTGCAGATTCTAGAAAAAGAGGGTTTCAGAGCTGCTCTGTCAAGAGGAAAGTTCAATTCCTGAAGTGGAACACAAACATCACAAAGCAGTTTCTGAGAATGCTTCTGTTTAGTTTTTCTGTGAAGATGAACCCGTTTCCAACGAAATCTTCACAGAGGTCCACATATCCACTTGCAGAATCCAAAGAAAGAGAGTTTCAAAACTGCTCCATCAACAGGATTGTTCACCTCTGTGAGTTGAATGCAGTCATCACAGGAAACATTCTGAGAATGCTTCTGTCAAGGTTTGATGTGAAGATATACCCGTTTCGAAGGAAGGCCACAAAGTGGTCCAAATATCCACTTGCAGATTCTACAAAAAGAGTGTTTGAAAGCTGAACCATGAAAGCAAGGTTCAACTCTGTGAGTTGAATGCAAACATCACAAAGAAGTTTCTCAGAATGCTTCAGTGTAGTTCTGGGAAGTTTATCCCGTTTCCAACGAAATCCTCAGAGAAGTCCAAATATCCACTTGCAGATTCTACAGAAAGTGGGTTTGGAAACTGCTCCATCTAAAGGAATGTTCAGCTCTGTTAGTTCAATCCAATGATCACTAAGAATTGTCTGTGAATGCTTCCGTTTGGTTTTTAGATGAAGTTATTTCCTTTACTACAGTAGGCCTCAAAGCAGTCCAAATCTCCAATCGCAGATTCTACAAAAAGATTGTTTACAACCTGCTCTATCTATAGGAATGTTCAACTCTGTGAGTCGAATGCAATCATCCCAAAGTAGTTTCTGAGAATGCTTCCATCTAGTTTTTATGTGAAGATTTTCCTTTTCCACCACAGGCCTCAAAGCCCTCCAAATGTCCACTTGCAGATTCTAGAAAAAGAGGGTTTCAGAGCTGCTCTGTCAAGAGGAAAGTTCAATTCCTGAAGTGGAACACAAACATCACAAAGCACTTTCTGAGAATGCTCCTGTTTAGTTTTTCTGTGAAGATGAACCCGTTTCCAACGAAATCTTCACAGAGGTCCACATATCCACTTGCAGAATCCAAAGAAAGAGAGTTTCAAAACTGCTCCATCAGCAGGATTGTTCACCTGCTGTGAGTTGAATGCAGTCATCACAGGAAACATTCTGAGAATGCTTCTGTCTAGGTTTGATGTGAAGATATACCCGTTTCGAAGGAAGGCCACAAAGTGGTCCAAATATCCACTTGCAGATTCCACAAAAAGAGTGTTTGAAAGCTGAACTATGAAAGCAAGGTTCAACTCTGTGAGTTGAATGCAAACATCACAAAGAAGTTTCTCACAATGCTTCCGTGTAGTTCTGGGAAGTTTATCCCGTTTCCAACGAAATCCTCAGAGAAGTCCAAATATCCACTTGCAGATTCTACAGAAAGTGTTTTTGGAAACTGCTCCATCTAAAGGAATGTTCAGCTCTGTTAGTTCAATCCAATGATCACTAAGAATTGTCTGTGAATGCTTCCGTTTGGTTTTTAGATGAAGTTATTTCCTTTACTACAGTAGGCCTCAAAGCAGTCCAAATCTCCAATCGCAGATTCTACAAAAAGATTGTTTACAACCTGCTCTATCTATAGGAATGTTCAACTCTGTGAGTCGAATGCAATCATCACAAAGTAGTTTCTGAGAATGCTTCCATCTAGTTTTTATGTGAAGATTTTCCTTTTCCACCACAGGCCTCAAAGCCCTCCAAATGTCCACATGCAGATTCCAGAAAAAGAGGGTTTCAGAGCTGCTCTGTCAAGAGGAAAGTTCAATTCCTGAAGTGGAACACAAACATCACAAAGCAGTTTCTGAGAATGCTCCTGTTTAGTTTTTCTGTGAAGATGAACCCGTTTCCAACGAAATCTTCACAGAGGTCCACATATCCACTTGCAGAATCCAAAGAAAGAGAGTTTCAAAACTGCTCCATCACCAGGATTGTTCACCTCTGTGAGTTGAATGCAGTCATCACAGGAAACATTCTGAAAATGCTTCTGTCTAGGTTTGATGTTTAGATATACCCGTTTCGAAGGAAGGCCACAAAGTGGTCCAAATATCCACTTGCAGATCCTACAAAAAGAGTGTTTGAAAGCTGAACTATGAAAGCAAGGTTCAACTCTGTGAGTTGAATGCAAACATCACAAAGAATTTTCTCAGAATGATTCCGTGTAGTTCTGGGAAGTTTAGCCCGTTTCCAACGAAATCCTCACAGAGGTCCAAATATCCACTTGCAGATTCTACAGAAAGTGTGTTTGGAAACTGCTCCATCTAAAGGAATGTTCAGCTCTGTTAGTTCAATCCAATGATCACTAAGAATTGTCTGTGAATGCTTCCGTTTGGTTTTTAGATGAAGTTATTTCCTTTACTACAGTAGGCCTCAAAGCAGTCCAAATCTCCAATCACAGATTCTACAAAAAGATTGTGTACAACCTGCTCTATCTATAGGAATGTTCAACTCTGTGAGTCGAATGCAATCATCACAAAGTAGTTTCTGAGAATGCTTCCATCTAGTTTTTATGTGAAGATTTTCCTTTTCCACCACAGGCCTCAAAGCCCTCCAAATGTCCACTTGCAGATTCTAGAAAAGAGGGTTTCAGAGCTGCTCTGTCAAGAGTAAAGTTCAATTCCTGTAGTGGAACACAAACATCACAAAGCAGTTTCTGAGAATGCTCCTGCTTAGTTTTTCTGTGAAGATGAACCCGTTTCCAACGAAATGTTCACAGAGGTCCACATATCCACTTGCAGAATACAAAGAAAGAGAGTTTCAAAACTGGCCCATCAGCAGGATTGTTCACCTCTGTGAGTTGAATGCAGTCATCACAGAAAACATTCTGAGAATGCTTCTGTCTAGGTTTGATGTGAAGATATACCCGTTTCGAAGGAAGGCCACAAAGTGGTCCAAATATCCACTTGCAGATTCTACAAAAAGAGTGTTTGAAAGCTGAACTATGAAAGCAAGGTTCAACTCTGTGAGTTGAATGCAAACATCACAAAGAAGTTTCTCAGAATGCTTCCGTGTAGTTCTGGGAAGTTTATCCCGTTTCCAACGAAATCCTCAGAGAAGTCCAAATATCCACTTGCAGATTCTACAGAAAGTGGGTTTGGAAACTGCTCCATCTAAAGGAATGTTCAGCTCTGTTAGTTCAATCCAATGATCACTAAGAATTGTCTGTGAATGCTTCCGTTTGGTTTTTAGATGAAGTTATTTCCTTTACTACAGTAGGCCTCAAAGCAGTCCAAATCTCCAATCGCAGATTCTACAAAAAGATTGTTTTCAACCTGCTCTATCTATAGGAATGTTCAACTCTGTGAGTCGAATGCAATCATCACAAAGTAGTTTCTGAGAATGCTTCCATCTAGTTTTTATGTGAAGATTTTCCTTTTCCACCACAGGCCTCAAAGCCCTCCAAATGTCCACTTGCAGATTCTAGAAAAAGAGGGTTTCAGAGCTGCTCTGTCAAGAGGAAAGTTCAATTCCTGAAGTGGAACACAAACATCACAAAGCAGTTTCTGAGAATGCTTCTGTTTAGTTTTTCTGTGAAGATGAACCCGTTTCCAACGAAATCTTCACAGAGGTCCACATATCCACTTGCAGAATCCAAAGAAAGAGAGTTTCAAAACTGCTCCATCAGCAGGATTGTTCACCTCTGTGAGTTGAATGCAGTCATCACAGGAAACATTCTGAGAATGCTTCTGTCTAGGTTTGATGTGAAGATACACCCGTTTCGAAGGAAGGCCACAAAGTGGTCCAAATATCCACTTGCAGATTCTACAAAAAGAGTGTTTGAAAGCTGAACTATGAAAGCAAGGTTCAACTCTGTGAGTTGAATGCAAACATCACAAAGAAGTTTCTCAGAATGCTTCCGTGTAGTTCTGGGAAGTTTATCCCGTTTCCAACGAAATCCTCAGAGAAGTCCAAATATCCACTTGCAGATTCTACAGAAAGTGGGTTTGGAAACTGCTCCATCTAAAGGAATGTTCAGCTCTGTTAGTTCAATCCAATGATCACTAAGAATTGTCTGTGAATGCTTCCATTTGGTTTTTAGATGAAGTTATTTCCTTTACTACAGTAGGCCTCAAAGCAGTCCAAATCTCCAATTGCAGATTCTACAAAAAGATTGTTTACAACCTGCTCTATCTATAGGAATGTTCAACTCTGTGAGTCGAATGCAATCATCACAAAGTAGTTTCTGAGAATGCTTCCATCTAGTTTTTATGTGAAGATTTTCCTTTTCCACCACAGGCCTCCAAGCCCTCCAAATGTCCACTTGCAGATTCTAGAAAAAGAGGGTTTCAGAGCTGCTCTGTCAAGAGGAAAGTTCAATTCTTGAAGTGGAACACAAACATCACAAAGCAGTTTCTGAGAATGCTCCTGTTTAGTTTTTCTGTGAAGATGAACCCGTTTCCAACGAAATCTTCACAGAGGTCCACATATCCACTTGCAGAATCCAAAGAAAGAGAGTTTCAAAACTGCTCCATCAGCAGGATTGTTCACCTCTGTGAGTTGAATGCAGTCATCACAGGAAACATTCTGAGAATGCTTCTGTCTAGGTTTGATGTGAAGATATACCCGTTTCGAAGGAAGGCCACAAAGTGTTCGAAATATCCTCTTGCAGATTCTACAAAAAGAGTGTTTGAAAGCTGAACTATGAAAGCAAGGTTCAACTCTGTGTGTTGAATGCAAACATCACAAAGAAGTTTCTCAGAATGCTTCCGTGTAGTTCTGGGAAGTTTATCCCGTTTCCAACGAAATCCTCAGAGAGGTCCAAATATCCACTTGCAGATTCTACAGAAAGTGTGTTTGGAAACTGCTCCATCTAAAGGAATGTTCAGCTCTGTTAGTTCAATCCAATGATCACTAAGAATTGTCTGTGAATGCTTCCGTTTGGTTTTTAGATGAAGTTATTTCCTTTACTACAGTAGGCCTCAAAGCAGTCCAAATCTCCAATCGCAGATTCTACAAAAACATTGTTTACAACCTGCTCTATCTATAGGAATGTTCAACTCTGTGAGTCGAATGCAATCATCACAAAGTAGTTTCTGAGAATGCTTCCATCTAGTTTTTATGGGAAGATTTTCCTTTTCCACCACAGGCCTCAAAGCCCTCCAAATGTCCACTTGCAGATTCTAGAAAAAGAGGGTTTCAGAGCTGCTCTGTCAAGAGGAAAGTTCAATTCTTGAAGTGGAACACAAACATCACAAAGCAGTTTCTGAGAATGCTCCTGTTTAGTTTTTCTGTGAAGATGAACCCGTTTCCAACGAAATCTTCACAGAGGTCCACATATCCACTTGCAGAATCCAAAGAAAGAGAGTTTCAAAACTGCTCCATCAACAGGATTGTTCACATCTGTGAGTTGAATGCAGTCATCACAGGAAACATTCTGAGAATGCTTCTGTCTAGGTTTGATGTGAAGATATACCCGTTTCGAAGGAAGGCCACAAAGTGGTCCAAATATCCACTTGCAGATTCTACAAAAAGAGTGTTTGAAAGCTGAACTATGAAAGCAAGGTTCAACTCTGTGAGTTGAATGCAAACATCACAAAGAAGTTTCTCAGAATGCTTCCGTGTAGTTCTGGGAAATTTATCCCGTTTCCGACGAAATCCTCAGAGAGGTCCAAATATCCACTTGCAGATTCTACAGAAAGTGTGTTTGGAAACTGCGCCATCTAAAGGAATGTTCAGCTCTGTTAGTTCAATCCAATGATCACTAAGAATTGTCTGTGATTGCTTCCGTTTGGTTTTTAGATGAAGTTATTTCCTTTACTACAGTAGGCCTCAAAGCAGTCCAAATCTCCAATCGCAGATTCTACAAAAAGATTGTTTACAACCTGCTCTATCTATAGGAATGTTCAACTCTGTGAGTCGAATGCAATCATCACAAAGTAGTTTCTGAGAATGCTTCCATCTAGTTTTTATGTGAAGATTTTCCTTTTCCACCACAGGCCTCAAAGCCCTCCAAATGTCCACTTGCAGATTCTAGAATAAGAGGGTTTCAGAGCTGCTCTGTCAAGAGGAAAGTTCAATTCCTGAAGTGGAACACAAACATCACAAAGCAGTTTCTGAGAATGCTTCTGTTTAGTTTTTCTGTGAAGATGAACCCGTTTCCAACGAAATCTTCACAGAGGTCCACATATCCACTTGCAGAATCCAAAGAAAGAGAGTTTCAAAACTGCTCCATCAGCAGGATTGTTCACCTCTGTGAGTTGAATGCAGTCATCACAGGAAACATTCTGAGAATGCTTCTGTCTAGGTTTGATGTCAAGATATACCCGTTTCGAAGGAAGGCCACAAAGTGGTCCAAATATCCACTTGCAGATTCTACAAAAAGAGTGTTTGAAAGCTGAACTATGAAAGCAAGGTTCAACTCTGTGAGTTGAATGCAAACATCACAAAGAAGTTTCTCACAATGCTTCCGTGTAGTTCTGGGAAGTTTATCCCGTTTCCAACGAAATCCTCAGAGAGGTCCAAATATCCACTTGCAGATTCTACAGAAAGTGTGTTTGGAAACTGCGCCATCTAAAGGAATGTTCAGCTCTGTTAGTTCAATGCAATGATCACTAAGAATTGTCTGTGAATGCTTCCGTTTGGTTTTTAGATGAAGTTATTTCTTTTACTACAGTAGGCCTCAAAGCAGTCCAAATCTCCAATCGCAGATTCTACAAAAAGATTGTTTACAACCTGCTCTATCTATAGGAATGTTCAACTCTGTGGGTCGAATGCAATCATCAAAAAGTACTTTCTGAGAATGCTTCCATCTAGTTTTTATGTGAAGATTTTCCTTTTCCACCACACACCTCAAAGCCCTCCAAATGTCCACTTGCAGATTCTAGAAAAAGAGGGTTTCAGAGCTGCTCTGTCAAGAGGAAAGTTCAATTACTTGAAGTGGAACACAAACATCACAAAGCAGTTTCTGAGAATGCTCCTGTTTAGTTTTTCTGTGAAGATGAACCCGTTTCCAACGAAATCTTCACAGAGGTCCACATATCCACTTGCAGAATCCAAAGAAAGAGAGTTTCAAAACTGCTCTATCAGCAGGATTGTTTACCTCTGTGAGTTGAATGCAGTCATCACAGGAAACATTCTGAGAATGCTTCTGTCTAGGTTTGATGTGAAGATATACCCGTTTCGAAGGAAGGCCACAAAGTGGTCCAAATATCCACTTGCAGATTCTACAAAAAGAGTGTTTGAAAGCTGAACTATGAAAGCAAGGTTCAACTCTGTGAGTTGAATGCAAACATCACAAAGAAGTTTCTCAGAATGCTTCCGTGTAGTTCTGGGAAGTTTATCCCGTTTCCAACGAAATCCTCAGAGAAGTCCAAATATCCACTTGCAGATTCTACAGAAAGTGTGTTTGGAAACTGCTCCATCTAAAGGAATGTTCAGCTCTGTTAGTTCAATCCAATGATCACTAAGAATTGTCTGTGAATGCTTCCGTTTGGTTTTTAGATGAAGTTATTTCCTTTACTACAGTAGGCCTCAAAGCAGTCCAAATCTCCAATCGCAGATTCTACAAAAAGATTGTTTACAACCTGCTCTATCTATAGGAATGTTCAACTCTGTGAGTCGAATGCAATCATCACAAAGTAGTTTCTGAGAATGCTTCCATCTAGTTTTTATGTGAAGATTTTCGTTTTCCACCACAGGCCTCAAAGCCCTCCAAATGTCCACTTGCAGATTCTAGAATAAGAGGGTTTCAGAGCTGCTCTGTCAAGAGGAAAGTTCAATTCCTGAAGTGGAACACAAACATCACAAAGCAGTTTCTGAGAATGCTTCTGTTTAGTTTTTCTGTGAAGATGAACCCGTTTCCAACGAAATCTTCACCGAGGTCCACATATCCACTTGCAGAATCCAAAGAAAGAGAGTTTCAAAACTGCTCCATCAGCAGGATTGTTCACCTCTGTGAGTTGAATGCAGTCATCACAGGAAACATTCTGAGAATGCTTCTGTCTAGGTTTGATGTGAAGATATACCCGTTTCGAAGGAAGGCCACAAAGTGCTCCAAATATCCACTTGCAGATTCTACAAAAAGAGTGTTTGAAAGCTGAACTATGAAAGCAAGTTTCAACTCTGTGAGTTGAATGCAAACATCACAAAGAAGTTTCTCAGCATGCTTCCGTGTAGTTCTGGGAAGTATATCCCGTTTCCAACGAAATCCTCAGAGAAGTCCAAATATCCACTTGCAGATTCTACAGAAAGTGGGTTTGGAAACTGCTCCATCTAAAGGAATGTTCAGCTCTGTTAGTTCAATCCAATGATCACTAAGAATTGTCTGTGAATGCTTCCGTTTGGTTTTTAGATGAAGTTATTTCCTTTACTACAGTAGGCCTCAAAGCAGTCCAAATCTCCAATCCCAGATTCTACAAAAAGATTGTTTACAACCTGCTCTATCTATAGGAATGTTCAACTCTGTGAGTCGAATGCAATCATCACAGAGTAGTTTCTGAGAATGCTTCCATCTAGTTTTTATGTGAAGATTTTCCTTTTCCACCACAGGCCTCAAAGCCCTCCAAATGTCCACTTGCAGATTCTAGAAAAAGAGGGTTTCAGAGCTGCTCTGTCAAGAGCAAAGTTCAATTCTTGAAGTGGAACACAAACATCACAAAGCAGTTTCTGAGAATGCTTCTGTTTAGTTTTTCTGTGAAGATGAACCCGTTTCCAACGAAATCTTCACAGAGGTCCACATATCCACTTGCAGAATCCAAAGAAAGAGAGTTTCAAAACTGCTCCATCAGCAGGATTGTTCACCTCTGTGAGTTGAATGCAGTCATCACAGGAAACATTCTGAGAATGCTTCTGTCTAGGTTTGATGTGAAGATATACCCGTTTCGAAGGAAGGCCACAAAGTGGTCCAAATATCCACTTGCAGATTCTACAAAAAGAGTGTTTGAAAGCTGAACTATGAAAGCAAGGTTCAACTCTGTGAGTTGAATGCAAACATCACAAAGAAGTTTCTCACAATGCTTCCGTGTAGTTCTGGGAAGTTTATCCCGTTTCCAACGAAATCCTCAGAGAGGTCCAAATATCCACTTGCAGATTCTACAGAAAGTGTGTTTGGAAACTGCGCCATCTAAAGGAATGTTCAGCTCTGTTAGTTCAATGCAATGATCACTAAGAATTGTCTGTGAATGCTTCCGTTTGGTTTTTAGATGAAGTTATTTCCTTTACTACAGTAGGCCTCAAAGCAATCCAAATCTCCAATCGCAGATTCTACAAAAACATTGTTTACAACCTGCTCTATCTATAGGAATGTTCAACTCTGTGAGTCGAATGCAATCATCACAAAGTAGTTTCTGAGAATGCTTCCATCTAGTTTTTATGTGAAGATTTTCCTTTTCCACCACAGGCCTCAAAGCCCTCCAAATGTCCACTTGCAGATTCTAGAATAAGAGGGTTTCAGAGCTGCTCTGTCAAGAGGAAAGTTCAATTCCTGAAGTGGAACACAAACATCACAAAGCAGTTTCTGAGAATGCTCCTGTTTAGTTTTTCTGTGAAGATGAACCCGTTTCCAACGAAATCTTCACAGAGGTCCACATATCCACTTGCAGAATCCAAAGAAAGAGAGTTTCAAAACTGCTCCATCAGCAGGATTGTTCACCTCTGTGAGTTGAATGCAGTCATCACAGGAAACATTCTGAGAATGCTTCTGTCTAGGTTTGATGTGAAGATATACCCGTTTCGAAGGAAGGCCACAAAGTGGTCCAAATATCCACTTGCAGATTCTACAAAAAGAGTGTTTGAAAGCTGAACTATGAAAGCGAGGTTCAACTCTGTGAGTTGAATGAAAACATCACAAAGAACTTTCTCAGAATGCTTCCGTGTAGTTCTGGGAATTTTTTCCCGTTTCCAACGAAATCCTCAGAGAAGTCCAAATATCCACTTGCAGATTCTACAGAAAGTGTGTTTGGAAACTGCTCCATCTAAAGGAATGTTCAGCTCTGTTAGTTCAATGCAATGATCACTAAGAATTGTCTGTGAATGCTTCCGTTTGGTTTTTAGATGAAGTTATTTCCTTTACTACAGTAGGCCTCAAAGCAGTCCAAATCTCCAATCGCAGATTCTACAAAAAGATTGTTTACAACCTGCTCTATCTATAGGAATGTTCAACTCTGTGAGTCGAAAGCCATCATCACAAAGTAGTTTCTGAGAATGCTTCCATCTAGTTTTTATGTGAAGATTTTCCTTTTCCACCACAGGCCTCAAAGCCCTCCAAATGTCCACTTGCAGATTCTAGAATAAGAGCGTTTCAGAGCTGCTCTGTCAAGAGGAAAGTTCAATTCCTGAAGTGGAACACAAACATCACAAAGCAGTTTCTGAGAATACTTCTGTTTAGTTTTTCTGTGAAGATGAACCCGTTTCCAACGAAATCTTCACAGAGGTCCACATATCCACTTGCAGAATCCAAAGAAAGAGAGTTTCAAAACTGCTCCATCAGCAGGATTGTTCACCTCTGTGAGTTGAATGCAGTCATCACAGGAAACATTCTGAGAATGCTTCTGTCCAGGTTTGATGTGAAGATATAACCGTTTCGAAGGAAGGCCACAAAGTGGTCCAAATATCCATTGGAGATTCTACAAAAAGAGTGTTTGAAAGCTGAACTATGAAAGCAAGGTTCAACTCTGTGAGTTGAATGCAAACATCACAAAGAAGTTTCTCAGCATGCTTCCGTGTAGTTCTGGGAAGTTTATCCCGTTTCCAACGAAATCCTCAGAGAAGTCCAAATATCCACTTGCAGATTCTACAGAAAGTGTGTTTGGAAACTGCTCCATCTAAAGGAATGTTCAGCTCTGTGAGTTCAATCCAATGATCACTAAGAATTGTCTGTGAATGCTTCCGTTTGGTTTTTAGATGAAGTTATTTCCTTTACTACAGTAGGCCTCAAAGCAGTCCAAATCTCCAATTGCAGATTCTACAAAAAGATTGTTTACAACCTGCTCTATCTATAGGAATGTTCAACTCTGTGAGCCGAATGCAATCATCACAAAGTAGTTTCTGAGAATGCTTCCATCTAGTTTTTATGTGAAGATTTTCCTTTTCCACCACAGGCCTCAAAGCCCTCCAAATGTCCACTTGCAGATTCTAGAATAAGAGGGTTTCAGAGCTGCTCTGTCAAGAGGAAAGTTCAATTCCTGAAGTGGAACACAAACATCACAAAGCAGTTTCTGAGAATGCTCCTGTTTAGTTTTTCTGTGAAGATGAACCCGTTTCCAACGAAATCTTCACAGGGGTCCACATATCCACTTGCAGAATCCAAAGAAAGAGAGTTTCAAAACTGCTCCATCTGCAGGATTGTTCACCTCTGTGAGTTGAATGCAGTCATCACAGGAAACATTCTGAGAATGCTTCTGTCTAGGTTTGATGTGAAGATATACCCGTTTCGAAGGAAGGCCACAAAGTGGTCCAAATATCCACTTGCAGATTCTACAAAAGGAGTGTTTGAAAGCTGAACTATGAAAGCAAGGTTCAACTCTGTGAGTTGAATGCAAACATCACAAAGAAGTTTCTCACAATGCTTCTGTGTAGTTCTGGGAAATTTAGCCCGTTTCCAGCGAAATCCTCAGAGAGGTTCAAATATCCACTTGCAGATTCTACAGAAAGTGTGTTTGGAAACTGCTCCATCTAAAGGACTGTTCAGCTCTGTTAGTTCAATCCAATGATCACTAAGAATTGTCTGTGAATGCTTCCGTTTGGTTTTTAGATGAAGTTATTTCCTTTACTACAGTAGGCCTCAAAGCAGTCCAAATCTCCAATCGCAGATTCTACAAAAAGATTGTTTACAACCTGCTCTATGTATAGGAATGTTCAACTCTGTGAGTCGAATGCAATCATCACAAAGTAGTTTCTGAGAATGCTTCCATCTAGTTTTTATGTGAAGATTTTCCTTTTCCACCGCAGGCCTCAAAGCCCTCCAAATGTCAACTTGCAGATTCTAGAAAAAGAGGGTTTCAGAGCTGCTCTGTCAAGAGGAAAGTTCAATTCCTGAAGTGGAACACAAACATCACAAAGCAGTTTGCTGAGAATGCTTCCTGTTTAGTTTTTCTGTGAAGATGAACCCGTTTCCAACGAAATCTTCACAGAGGTCCACATATCCACTTGCAGAATCCAAAGAAAGAGAGTTTCAAAACTGCTCCATCAGCAGGATTGTTCACCTCTGTGAGTTGAATGCAGTCATCACAGGAAACATTCTGAGAATGCTTCTGTCTAGGTTTGATGTGAAGATATACCAGTTTCGAAGGAAGGCCACAAAGTGGTCCAAATATCCACTTGCAGATTCTACAAAAAGAGTGTTTGAAAGCTGAACTATGAAAGCAAGGTTCAACTCTGTGAGTTGAATGCAAACATCACAAAGAAGTTTCTCAGAATACTTCCGTGTAGTTCTGGGAAGTTTATCCCGTTTTCAACGAAATCTTCATAGAAGTCCAAATATCCACTTGCAGATTCGACAGAAAGTGTGTTTGGAAACTACTCCATCTAAAGGAATGTTCAGCTCTGTTAGTTCAATCCAATGATCACTAAGAATTGTCTGTGAATGCTTCCGTTTGGTTTTTAGATGAAGTTATTTCCTTTACTACAGTAGGCCTCAAAGCATTCCAAATCTCCAATCGCAGATTCTACAAAAAGATTGTTTACAACCTGCTCTATCTATAGGAATGTTCAACTCTGTGAGTCGAATGCAATCATCACAAAGTAGTTTACTGACAATGCTTATCCATCTAGTTTTTATGTGAAGATTTTACCTTTCCACCACAGGCCTCAAAGCCCTCCAAATGTCCACTTGCAGATTCTAGAATAAGAGGATTTCAGAGCTGCTCTGTCAAGAGGAAAGTTCAATTCCTGAAGTGGAACACAAACATCACAAAGCAGTTTCTGAGAATGCTTCTGTTTAGTTTTTCTGTGAAGATGAACCCGTTTCCAACGAAATCTTCACAGAGGTCCACATATCCACTTGCAGAATCCAAAGAAAGAGAGTTTCAAAACTGCTCCATCAGCAGGATTGTTCACCTCTGTGAGTTGAATGCAGTCATCACAGGAAACATTCTGAGAATGCTTCTGTCTAGGTTTGATGTGAAGATACACCCTTTTCAAAGGAAGGCCACAAAGTGGTCCAAATATCCACTTGCAGATTCTAGAAAAAGAGTGTTTGAAAGCTGAACTATGAAAGCAAGGTTCAACTCTGTGAGTTGAATGCAAACATCACAAAGAAGTTTCTCAGAATGCTTCCGTGTAGTTCTGGGAAGTTTATCCCGTTTCCAACGAAATCCTCAGAGAGGTCCAAATATCCACTTGCAGATTCTACAGAAAGTGTGTTTGGAAACTGCGCCATCTAAAGGAATGTTCAGCTCTGTTTGTTCAATCCAATGATCACTAAGAATTGTCTGTGAATGCTTCCGTTTGGTTTATAGATGAAGTTATTTCCTTTACTACAGTAGGCCTCAAAGCAGTCCAAATTTCCAATCGCAGATTCTACAAAAAGATTGTTTACAACCTGCTCTATCTATAGGAATGTTCAACTCTGTGAGTCGAATGCAATCATCACAAAGTAGTTTCTGAGAATGCTTCCATAAAGTTTTTATGTGAAGATTTTCCTTTTCCACCACAGGCCTCAAAGCCCTCCAAATGTCCGCTTGCAGATTCTAGAAAAAGAGGGTTTCAGAGCTGCTCTGTCAAGAGGAAAGTTCAACTCTTGAAGTGGAACACAAACATGATAATGCAGTTTCTGAGAATGCTTCTGTTTAGTTTTTCTGTGAAGATGAACCCGTTTCCAACGAAATCTTCACAGAGGTCCACATATCCACTTGCAGAATCCAAAGAAAGAGAGTTTCAAAACTGCTCCATCAGAAGGATTGTTCACCTCTGTGAGTTGAATGCAGTCATCACAGGAAACATTCTGAGGAATGCTTCTGTCTAGGTTTGATGTGAAGATATACCCGTTTCGAAGGAAGGCCAAAAAGTGGTCCAAATATCCACTTGCAGATTCTGCAAAAAGAGTGTTTGAAAGCTGAACTATGAAAGCAAGGTTCAACTCTGTGAGTTGAATGCAAACATCACAAAGAAGTTCTGAGAATGCTTCCGTGTATTTCTGGGAAGTTTATCCCATTTCCAACGAAATCCTCAGAGAGGTCCAAATATCCACTTGCAGATTCTACAGAAAGTGTGTTTGGAAACTGTGCCATCTAAAGGAATGTTCAGCTCTCTTAGTTCAATCCAATCATCACAAAGAATTTTCTGAGTGCTTCCGTTTGGTTTTTAGATGAAGTTATTTCCTTTACTACAGTAGGACTCAAAGCAGTCCAAATCTCCAATCGCAGATTCTACAAAAAGATTGTTTACAACCTGCTCTATCTATAGGAATGTTCAACTCTGTGAGTCGAATGCAATCATCACAAAGTAGTTTCTGAGAATGCTTCCATCTAGTTTTTATGTGAAGATTTTCCTTTTCCACCACAGGCCTCAAAGCCCTCCAAATGTCCACTTGCAGATTCTAGAAAAAGAGGGTTTCAGAGCTGCTCTGTCAAGAGGAAAGTTCAATTCTTGAAGTGGAACACAAACATCACAAAGTAGTTTCTGAGAATGCTTCTGTTTAGTTTTTCTGTGAAGATGAACCCGTTTCCAACGAAATCTTCACAGAGGTCCACATATCCACTTGCAGAATCCAAAGAAAGAGAGTTTCAAAACTGCTCCATCAGCAGGATTGTTCACCTCTGTGAGTTGAATGCAGTCATCACAGGAAACATTCTGAGAATGCTTCTGTCTAGGTTTGATGTGAAGATATACCCGTTTCGAAGGAAGGCCACAAAGTGGTCCAAATATCCACTTGCAGATTCTACAAAAAGAGTGTTTGAAAGCTGAACTATGAAAGCAAGGTTCAACTCTGTGAGTTGAATGCAAACATCACAAAGAAGTTTCTCACAATGCTTCCGTGTAGTTCTGGGAAGTTTATCCCGTTTCCAACGAAATCCTCAGAGAAGTCCAAATATCCACTTGCAGATTCTACAGAAAGTGGGTTTGGCAACTGCTCCATCTAAAGGAATGTTCAGCTCTGTTAGTTCAATCCAATGATCACTAAGAATTGTCTGTGAATGCTTCCGTTTGGTTTTTAGATGAAGTTATTTCCTTTACTACAGTAGGCCTCAAAGCAATCCAAATCTCCAATCGCAGATTCTACAAAAACATTGTTTACAACCTGCTCTATCTATAGGAATGTTCAACTCTGTGAGTCGAATGCAATCATTACAAAGTATTTTCTGAGAATGCTTCCATCTAGTTTTTATGTGAAGATTTTCCTTTTCCACCACAGGCCTCAAAGCCCTCCAAATGTCCACTTGCAGATTCTAGAATAAGAGGATTTCAGAGCTGCTCTGTCAAGAGGAAAGTTCAATTCCTGAAGTGGAACACAAACATCACAAAGCAGTTTCTGAGAATGCTTCTGTTTAGTTTTTCTGTGAAGATGAACCCGTTTCCAACGAAATCTTCACAGAGGTCCACATATCAACTTGCAGAATCCAAAGAAAGAGAGTTTCAAAAGTGCTCCATCAACAGGATTGTTCACCTCTGTGAGTTGAATGCAGTCATCACAGGAAACATTCTGAGAATGCTTCTGTCTAGGTTTGATGTGAAGATATACCCGTTTCGAAGGAAGGCCACAAACTGGTCCAAATATCCACTTGCAGATTCTACAAAAAGAGTGTTTGAAAGCTGAACTATGAAAACAAGGTTCAACTCTGTGAGTTGAATGCAAACATCACAAAGAAGTTTCTCAGAATGCTTCCGTGTAGTTCTGGGAAGTTTATCCCGTTTCCAACGAAATCCTCAGAGAGGTCCAAATATCCACTTGCAGATTCTACAGAAAGTGTGTTTGGAAACTGCTCCATCTAAAGGAATGTTCAGCTCTGTTAGTTCAATCCAATGATCACTAAGAATTGTCTGTGAATGCTTCCGTTTGGTTTTTAGATGAAGTTATTTCCTTTACTACAGTAGGCCTCAAAGCAGTCCAAATCTCCAATCGCAGATTCTACAAAAAGATTGTTTTCAACCTGCTCTATCTATAGGAATGTTCAACTCTGTGAGTCGAATGCAATCATCACAAAGTAGTTTCTGAGAATGCTTCCATAAAGTTTTTATGTGAAGATTTTCCTTTTCCACCACAGGCCTCAAAGCCCTCCAAATGTCCGCTTGCAGATTCTAGAAAAAGAGGGTTTCAGAGCTGCTCTGTCAAGAGGAAAGTTCAACTCTTGAAGTGGAACACAAACATGATAATGCAGTTTCTGAGAATGCTCCTGTTTAGTTTTTCTGTGAAGATGAACCCGTTTCCAACAAAATCTTCACAGAGGTCCACATATCCACTTGCAGAATCCAAAGAAAGAGAGTTTCAAAACTGCTCCATCAGCAGGATTGTTCACCTCTGTGAGTTGAATGCAGTCATCATAGGAAACATTCTGAAAATGCTTCTGTCTAGGTTTGATGTGAAGATATACCCGTTTCGAAGGAAGGCCACAAAGTGGTCCAAATATCCACTTGCAGATTCTACAAAAGGAGTGTTTGAAAGCTGAACTATGAAAGCAAGGTTCAACTCTGTGAGTTGAATGCAAACATCACAAAGAAGTTTCTCACAATGCTTCCCTGTAGTTCTGGGAAGCATATCCCGTTTCCAACGAAATCCTCAGAGAAGTCCAAATATCCACTTGCAGATTCTACAGAAAGTGGGTTTGGAAACTGCTCCATCTAAAGGAATGTTCAGCTCTGTTAGTTCAATGCAATGATCACTAAGAATTGTCTGTGAATGCTTCCGTTTGGTTTTTAGATGAAGTTATTTCCTTTACTACAGTAGGCCTCAAAGCAGTCCAAATCTCCAATCGCAGATTCTACAAAAAGATTGTTTACAACCTGCTCTATGTATAGGAATGTTCAACTCTGTGAGTCGAATGCAATCATCACAAAGTAGTTTCTGAGAATGCTTCCATAAAGTTTTTATGTGAAGATTTCCCTTTTCCACCACAGGCCTCAAAGCCCTCCAAATGTCCACTTGCAGATTCTAGAAAAAGAGGGTTTCAGAGCTGCTCTGTCAAGAGGAAAGTTCAATTCTTGAAGTGGAACACAAACATCACAAAGTAGTTTCTGAGAATGCTTCTGTTTAGTTTTTCTGTGAAGATGAACCCGTTTCCAACGAAATCTTCACAGAGGTCCACATATCCACTTGCAGAATCCAAAGAAAGAGAGTTTCAAAACTGCTCCATCAGCAGGATTGTTCACCTCTGTGAGTTGAATGCAGTCATCACAGGAAACATTCTGAGAATGCTTCTGTCTAGGTTTGATGTGAAGATATACCCGTTTCGAAGGAAGGCCACAAATTGGTCCAAATATCCACTTGCAGATTCTACAAAAAGAGTGTTTGAAAGCTGAACTATGAAAGCAAGGTTCAACTCTGTGAGTTGAATGCAAACATCACAAAGAAGTTTCTCAGAATGCTTCCGTGTAGTTCTGGGAAGTTTATCCCGTTTCCAACGAAATCCTCAGAGAGGTCCAAATATCCACTTGCAGATTCTACAGAAAGTGTGTTTGGAAAGTGCTCCATCTAAAGGAATGTTCAGCTCTGTTAGTTCAATCCAATGATCACTAAGAATTGTCTGTGAATGCTTCCGTTTGGTTTTTAGATGAAGTTATTTCCTTTACTACAGTAGGCCTCAAAGCAGTCCAAATCTCCAATCGCAGATTCTACAAAAAGATTGTTTACAACCTGCTCTATGTATAGGAATGTTCAACTCTGTGAGTCGAATGCAATCATCACAAAGTAGTTTCTGAGAATGCTTCCATCTAGTTTTTATGGGAAGATTTTGCTTTTCCACCACAGGCCTCAAAGCCCTCCAAATGTCCACTTGCAGATTCTAGAAAAAGAGGGTTTCAGAGCTGCTCTGTCAAGAGGAAAGTTCAATTCTTGAAGTGGAACACAAACATCACAAAGCAGTTTACTGAGAATGCTCCTGTTTAGTTTTACTGTGAATATGAACCCGTTTCCAACGAAATCTTCAGAGAGGTCCACATATCCACTTGCAGAATCCAAAGAAAGAGAGTTTCAAAACTGCTCCATCAGCAGGATTGTTCACCTCTGTGAGTTGAATGCAGTCATCACAGGAAACATTCTGAGAATGCTTCTGTCTAGGTTTGATGTGAAGATATACCCGTTTCGAAGGAAGGCCACAAAGTGGTCCAAATATCCACTTGCAGATTCTACAAAAAGAGTGTTTGAAAGCTGAACTATGAAAGCAAGGTTCAACTCTGTGAGTTGAATGCAGACGTCACAAAGAAGTTTCTCAGAATGCTTCCGTGTAGTTCTGGGAAGTTTATCCCGTTTCCAACGATATCCTCAGAGAGGTCCAAATATCCACTTGCAGATTCTACAGAAAGTGTGTTTGGAAACTGCTCCATCTAAAGGAATGTGCAGCTCTGTTAGTTCAATCCAATGATCACTAAGAATTGTCTGTGAATGCTTCCGTTTGGTTTTTAGATGAAGTTATTTCCTTTACTACAGTAGGCCTCAAAGCAGTCCAAATCTCCAATCGCAGATTCTACAAAAAGATTGTTTACAACCTGCTCTATCTATAGGAATGTTCAACTCTGTGAGTCGAATGCAATCATCACAAAGTACTTTCTGAGAATGCTTCTATCTAGTTTTTATCTGCAGATATTTACGTTTCCGCCACAGGCCTCAAAGCCCTCCAAATGTCCACTTGCAGATTCAAGAAAAGCAATGTTTCATAGATGCTCTGTCAAGAGGAAAGTTCAACTCTGCAAGTTGAACACAAACATCACAAAGTAGTTTCTGAGACTGCTTCCATCTAGGTTTTATGAGAAGATATCTCCTTTTCCACCACAGGCCTCAAAGCCCTCCAAATGTCCACTTGCAGATTCTAGAAAAAGAGGGTTTCAGAGCTGCTCTGTCAAGAGGAAAGTTCAATTCTTGAAGTGGAACACAAACATCACAAAGCAGTTTCTGAGAATGCTCCTGTTTAGTTTTTCTGTGAAGATGAACCCGTTTCCAACGAAATCTTCACAGAGGTCCACATATCCACTTGCAGAATCCAAAGAAAGAGAGTTTCAAAACTGCTCCAACAGCAGGATTGTTCACCTCTGTGAGTTGAATGCAGTCATCACAGGAAACATTCTGAGAATGCTTCTGTCTAGGTTTGATGTGAAGATATACCCGTTTCGAAGGAAGGCCACAAAGTGGTCCAAATATCCACTTGCAGATTCTACAAAAAGAGTGTTTGAAAGCTGAACTATGAAAGCAAGGTTCAACTCTGTGAGTTGAATGCAAACATCACAAAGAAGTTTCTCAGAATGCTTCCGTGTAGTTCTGGGAAGTTTATCCTGTTTCCAACGAAATCCTCAGAGAGGTCCAAATATCCACTTGCAGATTCTACAGAAAGTGTGTTTGGAAACTGCGCCATCTAAAGGAATGTTCAGCTCTGTTAGTTCAATGCAATGATCACTAAGAATTGTCTGTGAATGGTTCAGTTTGGTTTTTAGATGAAGTTATTTCCTTTACTACAGTAGGCCTCAAAGCAGTCCAAATCTCCAATCGCAGATTCTACAAAAAGATTGTTTACAACCTGCTCTATCTATAGGAATGTTCAACTGTGTGTCGAATGCAATCATCACAAAGTAGTTTCTGAGAATGCTTCCATCTAGTTTTTATGTGAAGATTTTCCTTTTCCACCACAGGCCTCAAAGCCCTCCAAATGTCCACTTGCAGATTCTAGAAAAAGAGGGTTTCAGAGCTGCTCTGTCGAGAGGAAAGTTCAATTCCTGAAGTGGAACACAAACATCACAAAGCAGTTTCTGAGAATGCTCCTGTTTAGTTTTTCTGTGAAGATGAACCCGTTTCCA
Source organism: Homo sapiens (assembly GCF_000001405.40). Lineage (NCBI taxonomy): Eukaryota > Metazoa > Chordata > Mammalia > Primates > Hominidae > Homo > Homo sapiens. The sequence continues at coordinate 54,240,840 of NC_000011.10, read as the reverse complement.
AAGAAATCTTCACAGAGGTCCACATATCCACCTGCAGAATCCAAAGAAAGAGAGTTTCAAAACTGCTCCATCAGCAGGATTGTTCACCTCTGTGAGTTGAATGCAGTCATCACAGGAAACATTCTGAGAATGCTTCTGTCTAGGTTTGATGTGAAGATATACCCGTTTCGAAGGAAGGCCACAAAGTGGTCCAAATATCAACTTGCAGATTCTACAAAAAGAGTGTTTGAAAGCTGAACTATGAAAGCAAGGTTCAACTCTGTGAGTTGAATGCAAACATCACTAAGAAGTTTCTCAGAATACTTTCCGTGTAGTTCTGGGAAGTTTATCCCGTTTCCAACGAAATCCTCAGAGAGGTCCAAATATCCACTTGCAGATTCCACAGAAAGTGTGTTTGGAAACTGCTCCATCTAAAGGAATGTTCAGCTCTGTTAGTTCAATCCAGTGATCACTAAGAATTGTCTGTGAATGCTTCCGTTTGGTTTTTAGATGAAGTTATTTCCTTTACTACAGTAGGCCTCAAAGCAGTCCAAATCTCCAATCGCAGATTCTACAAAAAGATTGTTTACAACCTGCTCTATCTATAGGAATGTTCAACTCTGTGAGTCGAATGCAATCATCACAAAGTAGTTTCTGAGAATGCTTCCATCTAGTTTTTATGTGAAGATTTTCCTTTTCCACCACAGGCCTCAAAGCCCTCCAAATGTCCACTTGCAGATTCTAGAATAAGAGGGTTTTAGAGCTGCTCTGTCAAGAGGAAAGTTCAATTCCTGAAGTGGAACACAAACATCACAAAGCAGTTTCTGAGAATGCTCCTGTTTAGTTTTTCTGTGAAGATGAACCCGTTTCCAACGAAATCTTCACAGAGGTCCACATATCCACTTGCAGAATCCAAAGAAAGAGAGTTTCAAAACTGCTCCATCAGCAGGATTGTTCACCTCTGTGAGTTGAATGCAGTCATCACAGGAAACATTCTGAGAATGCTTCTGTCTAGGTTTGATGTGAAGATATACCCGTTTCGAAGGAAGGCCACAAAGTGGTCCAAATATCCACTTGCAGATTCTACAAAAAGAGTGTTTGAAAGCTGAACTATGAAAGCAAGGTTCAACTCTGTGAGTTGAATGCAAACATCACAAAGAAGTTTCTCAGAATGCTTCCGTGTAGTTCTGGGAAGTTTATCCCGTTTCCAACGAAATCCTCAGAGAGGTCCAAATATCCACTTGAAGATTCTACAGAAAGTGTGTTTCGAAACTGCGCCATCTAAAGGAATGTTCAGCTCTGTTAGTTCAATCCAATGATCAATAAGAATTGTCTGTGAATGCTTCCGTTTGGTTTTCAGATGAAGTTATTTCCTTTACTACAGTAGGCCTCAAAGCAGTCCAAATCTCCAATCGCAGATTCTACAAAAAGATTGTTTACAACCTGCTCTATCTATAGGAATGTTCAACTCTGTGAGTCGAATGCAATCATCACAAAGTAGTTTCTGAGAATGCTTCCATCTAGTTTTTATGTGAAGATTTTCCTTTTCCACCACAGGCCTCAAAGCCCTCCAAATGTCCACTTGCAGATTCTAGAAAAAGAGGGTTTCAGACCTGCTCTGTCAAGAGGAAAGTTCAATTCTTGAAGTGGAACACAAACATCACAAAGCAGTTTCTGAGAATGCTTCTGTTTAGTTTTTCTGTGAAGATGAACCCGTTTCCAACGAAATCTTCACAGAGGTCCACATATCCACTTGCAGAATCCAAAGAAAGAGAGTTTCAAAACTGCTCCATCAGCAGATTGTTCACCTCTGTGAGTTGAATGCAGTCATCACAGGAAACATTCTGAGAATGCTTCTGTCTAGGTTTGATGTGAAGATATACCCGTTTCGAAGGAAGGCCAGAAAGTGGTCCAAATATCCACTTGCAGATTCTACAAAAAGAGTGTTTGAAAGCTGAACTATGAAAGCAAGGTTCAACTCTGTGAGTTGAATGCAAACATCACAAAGAAGTTTCTCAGAATGCTTCCGTGTAGTTCTGGGAAGTTTATCCCGTTTCCAACGAAATCCTCAGAGAAGTCCAAATATCCACTTGCAGATTCTACAGAAAGTGTGTTTGGAAACTGCTCCATCTAAAGGAATGTTCAGCTCTGTTAGTTCAATCCAATGATCACTAAGAATTGTCTGTGAATGCTTCCGTTTGGTTTTTAGATGAAGTTATTTCCTTTACTACAGTAGGCCTCAAAGCAGTCCAAATCTCCAATCGCAGATTCCACAAAAAGATTGTTTTCAACCTGCTCTATCTATAGGAATGTTCAACTCTGTGAGTCGAATACAATCATCACAAAGTAGTTTCTGAGAATGCTTCCGTCTAGTTTTTATGTGAAGATTTTCCTTTTCCACCACAGGCCTCAAAGCCCTCCAAATGTCCACTTGCAGATTCTAGAAAAAGAGGGTTTCAGAGCTGCTCTGTCAAGAGGAAAGTTCAATTCTTGAAGTGGAACACAAACATCACAAAGCAGTTTCTGAGAATGCTCCTGTTTAGTTTTTCTGTGAAGATGAACCCGTTTCCAATGAAATCTTCACAGAGGTCCACATATCCAATGGCAGAATCCAAAGAAAGAGAGTTTCAAAACTGCTCCAACAGCAGGATTGTTCACCTCTGTGAGTTGAATGCAGTCATCACAGGAAACATTCTGAGAATGCTTCTGTCTAGGTTTGATGTGAAGATATACCCGTTTCGAAGGAAGGCCACAAAGTGGTCCAAATATCCACTTGCAGATTCTACAAAAAGAGTGTTTGAAAGCTGAACTATGAAAGCAAGGTTCAACTCTGTGAGTTGAATGCAAACATCACAAAGAAGTTTCTCAGAATGCTTCCTTGTAGTTCTGGGAAGTTTATCCCGTTTCCAACGAAATCCTCAGAGAGGTCCAAATATCCACTTGCAGATTCTACAGAAAGTGTGTTTGGAAACTGCTCCATCTAAAGGAATGTTCAGCTCTGTTAGTTCAATCCAATGATCACTAAGAATTGTCTGTGAATGCTTCCGTTTGGTTTTTAGATGAAGTTATTTCCTTTACTAAAGTAGGCCTCAAAGCAGTCCAAATCTCCAATCGCAGATTCTACAAAAAGATTGTTTTCAACCTGCTCTATCTATAGGAATGTTCAACTCTGTGAGTCGAATGCAATCATCACAAAGTAGTTTCTGAGAATGCTTCCATCTATTTTTTATGTGAAGATTTTCCTTTTCCACCACAGGCCTCAAAGCCCTCCAAATGTCCACTTGCAGATTCTAGAATAAGAGGGTTGCAGAGCTGCTCTGTCAAGAGGAAAGTTCAATTCCTGAAGTGGAACACAAACATCACAAAGCAGTTTCTGAGAATGCTTCTGTTTAGTTTTTCTGTGAAAATGAACCCGTTTCCAACGAAATCTTCACAGAGGTCCACATATCCACTTGCAGAATCCAAAGAAAGAGAGTTTCAAAACTGCTCCATCAAAAGGATTGTTCACCTCTGTGAGTTGAATGCAGTCATCACAGGAAACATTCTGAGAATGCTTCTGTCTAGGTTTGATGTGAAGATATACCCGTTTCGAAGGAAGGCCACAAAGTGGTCCAAATATCCACTTGCAGATTCTACAAAAAGAGTGTTTGAAAGCTGAACTATGAAAGCAAGGTTCAACTCTGTGAGTTGAATGCAAACATCACAAAGAAGTTTCTCAGAATGCTTCCGTGGAGTTCTGGGAAGTTTATCCCGTTTCCAACGAAATCCTCAGAGAGGTCCAAATATCCACTTTCAGATTCTACAGAAAGTGTGTTTGGAAACTGCGCCATCTAAAGGAATGTTCAGCTCTGTTAGTTCAATGCAATGATCACTAAGAATTGTCTGTGAATGCTTCCGTTTGGTTTTTAGATGAAGTTATTTCCTTTACTACAGTAGGCCTCAAAGCAGTCGAAATCTCCAATCACAGATTCTACAAAAAGATTGTTTACAACCTACTCTATCTATACGAATGTTCAACTCTGTGAGTCGAATGCAATCATCACAAAGGAGTTTGTGAGAATGCTTCCATCTAGTTTTTATGTGAAGATTTTCCTTTTCCACCACAGGCCTCAAAGCCCTCCAAATGTCCACTTGCAGATTCTAGAAAAAGAGGGTTTCAGAGCTGCTCTGTCAAGAGGAAAGTTCAATTCTTGAAGTGGAACACAAACATCACAAAGCAGTTTCTGAGAATGCTTCTGTTTAGTTTTTCTGTGAAGATGAACCCGTTTCCAACGAAATCTTCACAGAGGTCCACATATCCACTTGCAGAATCCAAAGAAAGAGAGTTTCAAAACTGCTCCATCAGCAGGATTGTTCACCTCTGTGAGTTGAATGCAGTCATCAAAGGAAACATTCTGAGAATGCTTCTGTCTAGGTTTGATGTGAAGATATACCCGTTTCGAAGGAAGGCCACAAAGTGGTCCAAATATCCACTTGCAGATTCTACAAAAAGAGTGATTGAAAGCTGAACTATGAAAGCAAGGTTCAACTCTGTGAGTTGAATGCAAACATCACAAAGAAGTTTCTCAGAATGCTTCCGTGTAGTTCTGGGAATTTTATCCCGTTTCCAACGAAATCCTCAGAGAGGTCCAAATATCCACTTGCAGATTCTACAGAAAGTGTGTTTGGAAACTGCTCCATCTAAAGGAATGTTCAGCTCTGTTAGTTCAATCCAATGATCACTGAGAATTGTCTGTGAATGCCTCCGTTTGGTTTTTAGATGAAGTTATTTCCTTTACTACAGTAGGCCTCAAAGCAGTCCAAATCTCCAATCGCAGATTCTACAAAAAGATTGTTTACAACCTGCTCTATCTATAGGAATGTTCAACTCTGTGAGTCGAATGCAATCATCACAAAGTAGTTTCTGAGAATGCTTCCATCTAGTTTTTATGTGAAGATTTTCCTTTTCCACCACAGGCTTCAAAGCCCTCCAAATGTCCACTTGCAGATTCTAGAAAAAGAGGGTTTCAGAGCTGCTCTGACAAGAGGAAAGTTCAATTCCTGAAGTGGAACACAAACATCACAAAGCAGTTTCTGAGAATGCTTCTGTTTAGTTTTTCTGTGAAGATGAACCCGTTTCCAACGAAATCTTCACAGAGGTCCACATATCCACTTGCAGAATCCAAAGAAAGAGAGTTTCAAAACTGCTCCATCAGCAGGATTGTTCACCTCTGTGAGTTGAATGCAGTCATCACAGGAAACATTCTGAGAATGCTTCTGTCTAGGTTTGATGTGAAGATATACCCGTTTCGAAGGAAGGCCACAAAGTGGTCCAAATATCCACTTGCAGATTCTACAAAAAGAGTGTTTGAAAGCTGAACTATGAAAACAAGGTTCAACTCTGTGAGTTGAATGCAAACATCACAAAGAAGTTTCTCACAATGCTTCCGTGTAGTTCTGGGAAGTTTATCCCGTTTCCAACGAAATCCTCAGAGAAGTCCAAATATCCACTTGCAGATTCTACAGAAAGTGGGTTTGGAAACTGCTCCATCTAAAGGAATGTTCAGCTCTGTTAGTTCAATCCAATGATCACTAAGAATTGTCTGTGAATGCTTCCCGTTTGGTTTTTAGATGAAGTTATTTCCTTTACTACAGTAGGCCTCAAAGCAGTCGAAATCTCCAATCGCAGATTCTACAAAAAGATTGTTTACAACCTGCTCTATCTATAGGAATGTTCAACTCTGTGAGTCGAATGCAATCATCACAAAGTAGTTTGTGAGAATGCTTCCATCTAGTTTTTATGTGAAGATTTTCCTTTTCCACCACAGGCCTCAAAGCCCTCCAAATGTCCACTTGCATACTCTAGAAAAAGAGGGTTTCAGAGCTGCTCTGTCAAGAGGAAAGTTCAATTCTTGAAGTGGAACACAAACATCACAAAGCAGTTTCTGAGAATGCTTCTGTTTAGTTTTTCTGTGAAGATGAACCCGTTTCCAACGAAATCTTCACAGAGGTCCACATATCCACTTGCAGAATCCAAAGAAAGGGAGTATCAAAACTGCTCCATCAGCAGGATTGTTCACCTCTGTGAGTTGAATGCAGTCATCACAGGAAACATTCTGAGAATGCTTCTGTCTAGGTTTGATGTGAAGATATACCCGTTTCGAAGGAAGGCCACAAAGTGGTCCAAATATCCACTTGCAGATTCTACAAAAAGAGTGTTTGAAAGCTGAACTATGAAAGCAAGGTTCAACTCTGTGAGTTGAATGCAAACATCACAAAGAAGTTTCTCAGAATACTTCCGTGTAGTTCTGGGAAGTTTATCCCGTTTCCAACGAAATCCTCAGAGAAGTCCAAATATCCACTTGCAGATTCTACAGAAAGTGTGTTTGGAAACTGCGCCATCTAAAGGAATGTTCAGCTCTGTTAGTTCAATGCAATGATCACTAAGAATTGTCTGTGAATGCTTCCGTTTGGTTTTTAGATGAAGTTATTTCCTTTACTACAGTAGGCCTCAAAGCAGTCCAAATTTCCAATCGCAGATTCTACAAAAAGATTGTTTACAACCTGCTCTATCTATAGGAATGTTCAACTCTGTGAGTCGAATGCAATCATCACAAAGTAGTTTCTGAGAATGCTTCCATCTAGTTTTTATGTGAAGATTTTCCTTTTCCAACACAGGCCTCAAAGCCCACCAAATGTCCACTTGCAGATTCTAGAATAAGAGGGTTTCAGAGCTGCTCTGTCAAGAGGAAAGTTCAATTCCTGAAGTGGAACAAAAACATCACAAAGCAGTTTCTGAGAATGCTTCTGTTTAGTTTTTCTGTGAAGATGAACCCGTTTCCAACGAAATCTTCACAGAGGTCCACATATCAACTTGCAGAATCCAAAGAAAGAGAGTTTCAAAAGTGCTCCATCAACAGGATTGTTCACCTCTGTGAGTTGAATGCAGTCATCACAGGAAACATTCTGAGAATGCTTCTGTCTAGGTTTGATGTGAAGATATACCCGTTTCGAAGGAAGGCCACAAAGTGGTCCAAATATCCACTTGCAGATTCTACAAAAAGAGTGTTTGAAAGCTGAACTATGAAAGCAAGGTTCAACTCTGTGAGTTGAATGCAAACATCACAAAGAAGTTTCTCAGAATGCTTCCGTGTAGTTCTGGGAAGTTTATCCCGTTTCCAACGAAATCCTCAGAGAAGTCCAAATATCCACTTGCAGATTCTGCAGAAAGTGTGTTTGGAAACTGCTCCATCTAAAGGAATGTTCAGCTCTGTTAGTTCAATCCAATGATCACTAAGAATTGTCTGTGAATGCTTCCGTTTGGTTTTTAGAAGAAGTTATTTCCTTTACTACAGTAGGCCTCAAAGCAGTCCAAATCTCCAATCGCAGATTCTACAAAAAGATTGTTTACAACCTGCTCTATCTATAGGAATGTTCAACTCTGTGAGTCGAATGCAATCATCACAAAGTAGTTTCTGAGAATGCTTCCATCTAGTTTTTATGTGAAGATTTTCCTTTTCCACCACAGGCCTCAAAGCCCTCCAAATGTCCACTTGCAGATTCTAGAATAAGAGGGTTGCAGAGCTGCTCTGTCAAGAGGAAAGTTCAATTCCTGAAGTGGAACACAAACATCACAAAGCAGTTTCTGAGAATGCTCCTGTTTAGTTTTTCTGTGAAGATGAACCCGTTTCCAACGAAATCTTCACAGAGGTCCACATATCCACTTGCAGAATCCAAAGAAAGAGAGTTTCCAAACTGCTCCATCAGCAGGATTGTTCACCTCTGTGAGTTGAATGCAGTCATCACAGGAAACATTCTGAGAATGCTTCTGTCTAGGTTTGATGTGAAGATATACCCGTTTCGAAGGAAGGCCCCAAAGTGGTCCAAATATCCACTTGCAGATTCTACAAAAAGAGTGTTTGAAAGCTGAACTATGAAAGCAAGGTTCAACTCTGTAAGTTGAATGCAAACATCACAAAGAAGTTTCTCAGAATGCTTCCGTGTAGTTCTGGGAAGTTTATCCCGTTTCCAACGAAATCCTCAGAGAAGTCCAAATATCCACTTGCAGATTCTACAGAAAGTGGGTTTGGAAACTGCTCCATCTAAAGGAATGTTCAGCTCTGTTAGTTCAATGCAATGATCACTAAGAATTGTCTGTGAATGCTTCCGTTTGGTTTTTAGATGAAGTTATTTCCTTTACTACAGTAGGCCTCAAAGCAGTCCAAATCTCCAATCGCAGATTCTACAAAAAGATTGTTTACAACCTGCTCTATCTATAGGAATGTTCAACTCTGTGAGTCGAATGCAATCATCACAAAGTAGTTTCTGAGAATGCTTCCATCTAGTTTTTATGTGAAGATTTTCCTTTTCCACCACAGGCCTCAAAGCCCTCCAAATGTCCACTTGCAGATTCTAGAAAAAGAGGGTTTCAGAGCTGCTCTGTCAGGAGGAAAGTTCAATTCTTGAAGTGGAACACAAACATCACAAAGCAGTTTCTGAGAATGCTTCTGTTTAGTTTTTCTGTGAAGATGAACCCGTTTCCAACGAAATCTTCACAGAGGTCCACCTATCCACTTGCAGAATCCAAAGAAAGAGAGTTTCAAAACTGCTCCATCAACAGGATTGTTCACCTCTGTGAGTTGAATGCAGTCATCACAGGAAACATTCTGAGAATGCTTCTGTCTAGGTTTGATGTGAAGATATACCCGTTTCGAAGGAAGGCCACAAAGTTGTCCAAATATCCACTTGCAGATTCTACAAAAAGAGTGTTTGAAAGCTGAACTATGAAAGCAAGGTTCAACTCTGTGAGTTGAATGCAAACATCACAAAGAAGTTTCTCAGAATGCTTCCGTGTAGTTCTGGGAAGTTTATCCCGTTTCCAACGAAATCCTCAGAGAAGTCCAAATATCCACTTGCAGATTCTACAGAAAGTGTGTTTGGAAACTGCTCCATCTAAAGGAATGTTCAGCTCTGTTAGTTCAATGCAATGATCACTAAGAATTGTCTGTGAATGCTTCCGTTTGGTTTTTAGATGAAGTTATTTCCTTTACTACAGTAGGCCTCAAAGCAGTCCAAATCTCCAATCGCAGATTCTACAAAAAGATTGTTTACAACCTGCTCTATCTATAGGAATGTTCAACTCTGTGAGTCGAATGCAATCATCACAAAGTAGTTTCTGAGAATGCTTCCATCTAGTTTTTATGTGAAGATTTTCCTTTTCCACCACAGGCCTCAAAGCCCTCCAAATGTCCACTTGCAGATTCTAGAAAAAGAGGGTTTCAGAGCTGCTCTGTCAAGAGGAAATTTCAATTCCTGAAGTCGAACACAAACATCACACAGCAGTTTCTGAGAATGCTTCTGTTTAGTTTTTCTGTGAAGATGAACCCGTTTCCAACGAAATCTTCACAGAGGTCCACATATCCACTTGCAGAATCCAAAGAAAGAGAGTTTCAAAACTGCTCCATCAGCAGGATTGTTCACCTCTGTGAGTTGAATGCAGTCATCACAGGAAACATTCTGAGAATGCTTCTGTCTAGGTTTGATGTGAAGATATACCCGTTTCGAAGGAAGGCCACATATGGTCCAAATATACACTTGCAGATTCTACAAAAAGAGTGTTTGAAAGCTGAACTATGAAAGCAATGTTCAACTCTGTGAGTTGAATGCAAACATCACAAAGAAGTTTCTCACAATGCTTCCGTGTAGTTCTGGGAAGTTTATCCTGTTTCCAACGAAATCCTCAGAGAAGTCCAAATATCCACTTGCAGATTCTACAGAAAGTGGGTTTGGAAACTGCTCCATCTAAAGGAATGTTCAGCTCTGTTAGTTCAATGCAATGATCACTAAGAATAGTCTGTGAATGCTTCCGTTTGGTTTTTAGATGAAGTTATTTCCTTTACTGCAGTAGGCCTCAAAGCATTCCAAATCTCGAATCGCAGATTCTACAAAAAGATTGTTTACAACCTGCTCTATCTATAGGAATGTTCAACTCTGTGAGTCGAATGCAATCATCACAAAGTAGTTTCTGAGAATGCTCCATCTAGTTTTTATGTGAAGATTTTCCTTTTGCACCACAGGCCTCAAAGCCCTCCAAATGTCCACTTGCAGATTCTAGAAAAAGAGGGTTTCAGAGCTGCTCTGTCAAGAGGAAAGTTCAATTCTTGAAGTGGAACACAAACATCACAAAGCAGTTTCTGAGAATGCTCTCTGTTTAGTTTTTCTGTGAAGATGAACCCGTTTCCAACGAAATCTTCACAGAGGTCCACATATCCACTTGCAGAATCCAAAGAAAGAGAGTTTCAACACTGCTCCATCAGCAGGATTGTTCACCTCTGTGAGTTGAATGCAGTCATCACAGGAAACATTCTGAGAATGCTTCTGTCTAGGTTTGATGTGAAGATACACCCTTTTCAAAGGAAGGCCACAAAGTGGTCCAAATATCCACTTGCAGATTCTACAAAAAGAGTGTTTGAAAGCTGAACTATGAAAGCAAGGTTCAAGTCTGTGAGTTGAATGCAAACATCACAAAGAAGTTTCTCACAATGCTTCCGTGTAGTTCTGGGAAGTTTATCCCGTTTCCAACGAAATCCTCAGAGAAGTCCAAATATCCACTTGCAGATTCTACAGAAAGTGTGTTTGGAAACTGCTCCATCTAAAGGAATGTTCAGCTCTGTTAGTTCAATCCAATGATCACTAAGAATTGTCTGTGAATGCTTCCGTTTGGTTTTTAGATGAAGTTATTTCCTTTACTACAGCAGGCCTCAAAGCAGTCCAAATCTCCAATCGCAGATTCTACAAAAAGATTGTTTACAACCTGCTCTATCTATAGGAATGTTCAACTACTGTGAGTCGAATGCAATCATCACAAAGTAGTTTCTGAGAATGCTTCCATCTAGTTTTTATGTGAAGATTTTCCTTTTCCACCACAGGCCTCAAAGCCCTCCAAATGTCCACTTGCAGATTCTAGAATAAGAGGGTTTCAGAGCTGCTCTGTCAAGAGGAAAGTTCAATTCCTGAAGTGGAACACAAACATCACAAAGCAGTTTCTGAGAATGCTTCTGTTTAGTTTTTCTGTGAAGATGAACCCGTTTCCAACGAAATCTTCCCAGAGGTCCACATATCAACTTGCAGAATCCAAAGAAAGAGAGTTTCAAAAGTGCTGCATCAGCAGGATTGTTCACCTCTGTGAGTTGAATGCAGTCATCACAGGAAACATTCTGAGAGTGCTTCTGTCTAGGTTTGATGTGAAGATATACCCGTTTCGAAGGAAGGCCACAAAGTGGTCCAAATATCCACTTGCAGATTCTACAAAAAGAGTGTTTGAAAGCTGAACTATGAAAGCAAGGTTCAACTCTGTGAGTTGAATGCAAACATCACAAAGAAGTTTCTCACAATGCTTCCCTGTAGTTCTGGGAAGCATATCCCGTTTCCAACGAAATCCTCAGAGAAGTCCAAATATCCACTTGCAGATTCTACAGAAAGTGGGTTTGGAAACTGCTCCATCTAAAGGAATGTTCAGCTCTGTTAGTTCAATGCAATGATCACTAAGAATTGTCTGTGAATGCTTCCGTTTGGTTTTTAGATGAAGTTATTTCCTTTACTACAGTAGGCCTCAAAGCAGTCCAAATCTCCAATCGCAGATTCTACAAAAAGATTGTTTACAACCTGCTCTATGTATAGGAATGTTCAACTCTGTGAGTCGAATGCAATCATCACAAAGTAGTTTCTGAGAATGCTTCCATCTAGTTTTTATGTGAAGATTTTCCTTTTCCACCAGAGGCCTCAAAGCCCTCCAAATGTCCACTTGCAGATTCTAGAAAAAGAGGGTTTCAGAGCTGCTCTGTCAAGAAGAAAGTTCAATTCTTGAAGTGGAACACAAACATCACAAAGCAGTTTCTGAGAATGCTCCTGTTTAGTTTTTCTGTGAAGATGAACACGTTTCCAACGAAATCTTCACAGAGGTCCACATATCAACTTGCAGAATCCAAAGAAAGAGAGTTTCAAAAGTGCTCCATCAACAGGATTGTTCACCTCTGTGAGTTGAATGCAGTCATCACAGGAAACATTCTGAGAATGCTTCTGTCTAGGTTTGATGTGAAGATATACCCGTTTCGAAGGAAGGCCACAAAGTGGTCCAAATATCCACTTGCAGATTCTACAAAAAGAGTGTTTGAAAGCTGAACTATGAAAGCAAGGTTCAACTCTGTGAGTTGAATGCAAACATCACAAAGAAGTTTCTCAGAATGCTTCCGTGTAGTTCTGGGAAGTTTATCCCGTTTCCAACGAAATCCTCAGAGAGGTCCAAATATCCACTTGCAGATTCTACAGAAAGTGTGTTTGGAAACTGCGCCATCTAAAGGAATGTTCAGCTCTGTTAGTTCAATGCAATGATCACTAAGAATTGTCTGTGAATGCTTCCGTTTGGTTTTTAGATGAAGTTATTTCCTTTACTACAGTAGGCCTCAAAGCAGTCCAAATCTCCAATCGCAGATTCTACAAAAAGATTGTTTACAACCTGCTCTATCTATAGGAATGTTCAACTCTGTGAGTCGAATGCAATCATCACAAAGTAGTTTCTGAGAATGCTTCCATCTACTTTTTATGTGAAGATTTTCCTTTTCCACCACAGGCCTCATAGCCCTCCAAATGTCCACTTGCAGATTCTAGAATAAGAGGGTTTCAGAGCTGCTCTGTCAAGAGGAAAGTTCAGTTCCTGAAGTGGAACACAAACATCACAAAGCAGTTTCTGAGAATGCTTCTGTTTAGTTTTTCTGTGAAGATGAACCCGTTTCCAACGAAATCTTCACAGAGGTCCACATATCCACTTGCAGAATCCAAAGAAAGAGAGTTTCAAAACTGCTCCATCAGCAGGATTGTTCACCTCTGTGAGTTGAATGCAGTCATCACAGGAAACATTCTGAGAATGCTTCTGTCTAGGTTTGATGTGAAGATATACCCGTTTCGAAGGAAGGCCACAAAGTGGTCCAAATATCCACTTGCAGATTCTACAAAAAGAGTGTTTGAAAGCTGAACTATGAAAGCAAGGTTCAATTCTGTGAGTTGAATGCAAACATCACAAAGAAGTTTCTCAGAATGCTTCCGTGTAGTTCTGGGAAGTTTATCCCGTTTGAAACGAAATCCTCAGAGAGGTCCAAATATCCACTTGCAGATTCTACAGAAAGTGTGTTTGGAAACTACGCCATCTAAAGGAATGTTCAGCTCTGTTAGATCAATGCAATGATCACTAAGAATTGTCTGTGAATGCTTCCGTTTGATTTTTAGATGAAGTTATTTCCTTTACTACAGTAGGCCTCAAAGCAGTCCAAATCTCCAATCGCAGATTCTACAAAAAGATTGTTTACAACCTGCTCTATCTATAGGAATGTTCAACTGTGTGAGTCGAATGCAATCATCACAAAGTAGTTTCTGAGAATGCTTCCATCTAGTTTTTATGTGAAGATTTTCCTTTTCCACCACAGGCCTCAAAGCCCTCCAAATGTCCACTTGCAGATTCTAGAATAAGAGGGTTTCAGAGCTGCTCTGTCAAGAGGAAAGTTCAATTCCTGAAGTGGAACACAAACATCACAAAGCAGTTTCTGAGAATGCTTCTGTTTAGTTTTTATGTGAAGATGAACCCGTTTCCAACGAAATCTTCAAAGAGGTCCACATATCCAGTTGCAGATTCCAAAGAAAGAGAGTTTCAAAACTGCTCCATCAACAGGATTGTTCACCTCTGTGAGTTGAATGCAGTCATCACAGGAAACATTCTGAGAATGCTTCTGTCTAGGTTTGATGTGAAGATATACCCGTTTCGAAGGAAGGCCACAAAGTGGTCCAAATATCCACTTGCAGATTCTACAAAAAGAGTGTTTGAAAGCTGAACTATGAAAGCAAGGTTCAACTCTGTGATTTGAATGCAAACATCACAAAGAAGTTTCTCAGAATGCTTCCGTGTAGTTCTGGGAAGTTTATCCCGTTTCCAACGAAATCCTCAGAGAGGTCCAAATATCCACTTGCAGATTCTACAGAAAGTGTGTTTGGAAACTGTGCCATCTAAGGGAATGTTCAGCTCTGTTAGTTCAATCCAATGATCACTAAGAATTGTCTGTGAATGCTTCCGTTTGGTTTTTAGATGCAGTTATTCCCTTTACTACAGTAGGCCTCAAAGCAGTCCAAATCTCCAATCGCAGATTCTAGAAAAAGATTGTTTACAACCTGCTCTATCTATAGGAATGTTCAACTCTGTGAGTCAAATGCAATCATCACAAAGTAGTTTCTGAGAATGCTTCCATCTAGTTTTTATGTGAAGATTTTCCTTTTCCACCACAGGCCTCAAAGCCCTCCAAATGTCCACTTGCAGATTCTAGAAAAAGAGGGTTTCAGAGCTCCTCTGTCAAGAGGAAAGTTCAATTCTTGAAGAGGAACACAAACATCACGAAGCAGTTTCTGAGAATGCTTCTGTTTAGTTTTTCTGTGAAGATGAACCCGTTTCCAACGAAATCTTCACAGAGGTCCACATATCAACTTGCAGAATCCAAAGAAAGAGAGTTTCAAAAGTGCTCCATCAGCAGGATTGTTCACCTCTGTGAGTTGAATGCAGTCATCACAGGAAACATTCTGAGAGTGCTTCTGTCTAGGTTTGATGTGAAGATATACCCGTTTCGAAGGAAGGCCACAAAGTGGTCCAAATATCCACTTGCAGATTCTACAAAAAGAGTGTTTGAAAGCTGAACTATGAAAGCAAGGTTCAACTCTGTGAGTTGAATGCAAACGTCACAAAGAAGTTTCTCACAATGCTTCCGTGTAGTTCTGGGAAGTTTATCCCGTTTCCAACGAAATCCTCAGAGAGGTCCAAATATCCACTTGCAGATTCTACAGAAAGTGTGTTTGGAAACTGCGCCATCTAAAGGAATGTTCAGCTCTGTTAGTTCAATCCAATAATCACTAAGAATTGTGCTGTGAATGCTTCCGTTTGGTTTTTAGATGAAGTTATTTCCTTTACTACAGTAGGCCTCAAAGCAGTCCAAATCCCCAATCGCAGATTCTACAAAAAGATTGTTTACAACCTGCTCTATCTATAGGAATGTTCAACTCTGTGAGTCGAATGCAATCATCACAAAGTAGTTTCTGAGAATGCTTCCATCTAGTTTTTATGTGAAGATTTTCCTTTTCCACCACAGGCCTCAAAGCCCTCCAAATGTCCACTTGCAGATTCTAGAAAAAGAGGGTTTCAGAGCTGCTCTGTCAGGAGGAAAGTTCAATTCTTGAAGTGGAACACAAACATCACAAAGCAGTTTCTGAGAATGCTCCTGTTTAGTTTTTCTGTGAAGATGAACCCGTTTCCAACGAAATCTTCACAGAGGTCCACATATCCACCTGCAGAATCCAAAGAAAGAGAGTTTCAAAACTGCTCCATCAGCAGGATTGTTCACCTCTGTGAGTTGAATGCAGTCATCACAGGAAACATTCTGAGAATGCTTCTGTCTAGGTTTGATGTGAAGATATACCCGTTTCGAAGGAAGGCCACAAAGTGGTCCAAATATCCACTTGCAGATTCTACAAAAAGAGTGTTTGAAAGCTGAACTATGAAAGCAAGGTTCAACTCTGTGAGTTGAATGCAAACATCACAAAGAAGTTTCTCCCAATGCTTCCGTGTAGTTCTGGGAAGTTTATCCCGTTTCCAACGAAATCCTCAGAGAAGTCCAAATATCCACTTGCAGATTCTACAGAAAGTGTGTTTGGAAACTGCTCCATCTAAAGGAATGTTCAGCTCTGTTAGTTCAATCCAATGATCACTAAGAATTGTCTGTGAATGCTTCCGTTTGGTTTTTAGATGAAGTTATTTCCTTTACTACAGTAGGCCTCAAAGCAGTCCAAATCTCCAATCGCAGATTCTACAAAAAGATTGTTTACAACCTGCTCTATCTATAGGAATGTTCAACTCTGTGAGTCGAATGCAATCATCACAAAGAAGTTTCTGAGAATGCTTCCATCTAGTTTTTATGTGAAGATTTTCCTTTTCCACCACAGGCCTCAAAGCCCTCCAAATGTCCACTTGCAGATTCTAGAATAAGAGGGTTTCAGAGCTGCTCTGTCAAGAGGAAAGTTCAATTCCTGAAGTGGAACACAAACATCACAAAGCAGTTTCTGAGAATGCTTCTGTTTAGTTTTTCTGTGAAGATGAACCCGTTTCCAACGAAATCTTCACAGAGGTCCACATATCCACTTGCAGAATCCAAAGAAAGAGAGTTTCAAAACTGCTCCATCAGCAGGATTGTTCACCTCTGTGAGTTGAATGCAGTCATCACAGGAAACATTCTGAGAATGCTTCTGTCTAGGTTTGATGTGAAGATATACCTGTTTCGAAGGAAGGCCACAAAGTGGTCCAAATATCCACTTGCAGATTCTACGAAAAGAGTGTTTGAAAGCTGAACTATGAAAGCAAGGTTCAACTCTGTGAGTTGAATGCAAACATCACAAAGAAGTTTCTCAGAATGCTTCCGTGTAGTTCTGGGAAGTTTATCCCTTTTCCAATGAAATCCTCAGAGAGGTCCAAATATCCACTTGCAGATTCTACAGAAAGTGTGTTTGGAAACTGCTCCATCTAAAGGAATGTTCAGCTCTGTTAGTTCAATCCAATGATCACTAAGAATTGTCTGTGAATGCTTCCGTTTGGTTTTTAGATGAAGTTATTTCCTTTACTACAGTAGGCCTCAAAGCAGTCCAAATCTCCAATCGCAGATTCTACAAAAAGATTGTTTACAACCTGCTCTATCTATAGGAATGTTCAACTCTGTGAGTCGAATGCAATCATCACAAAGTAGTTTCTGAGAATGCTTCCATCTAGTTTTTATGTGAAGATTTTCCTTTTCCACCACAGGCCTCAAAGCCCTCCAAATGTCCACTTGCAGATTCTAGAATAAGAGGGTTTCAGAGCTGCTCTGTCAAGAGGAAAGTACAATTCCTGAAGTGGAACACAAACATCACAAAGCAGTTTCTGATAATGCTCCTGTTTAGTTTTTCTGTGAAGATGAACCCGTTTCCAACGAAATCTTCACAGAGGTCCACATATCCACTTGCAGAATCCAAAGAAAGAGAGTTTCAAAACTGCTCCATCAGCAGGATTGTTCACCTCTGTGAGTTGAATGCAGTCATCACAGGAAACATTCCGAGAATGCTTCTGTCTCGGTTTGATGTGAAGATATACCCGTTTCGAAGGAAGGCCACAAAGTGGTCCAAATATCCACTTGCAGATTCTACAAAAAGAGTGTTTGAAAGCTGAACTATGAAAGCAAGGTTCAACTCTGTGAGTTGAATGCAAACATCACAAAGAAGTTTCTCACAATGCTTCCGTGTAGTTCTGGGAAGTTTATCCCGTTTCCAAAGAAATCCTCAGAGAGGTCCAAATATCCACTTGCAGATTCTACAGAAAGTGGGTTTGGAAACTGCTCCATCTAAAGGAATGTTCAGCTCTGTTAGTTCAATCCAATGATCACTAAGAATTGTCTGTGAATGCTTCCGTTTGGTTTTTAGATGAAGTTATTTCCTTTACTACAGTAGACCTCAAAGCAGTCCAAATCTCCAATCGCAGATTCTACAAAAAGATTGTTTACAACCTGCTCTATCTATAGGAATGTTCAACTCTGTGAGTCGAATGCAACCATCACAAAGTAGTTTCTGAGAATGCTTCCATCTAGTTTTTATGTGAAGATTTTCCTTTTCCACCACAGGCCTCAAAGCCCTCCAAATGTCCACTTGCAGATTCTAGAAAAAGAGGGTTTCAGAGCTGCTCTGTCAAGAGGAAAGTTCAATTCTTGAAGTGGAACACAAACATCACAAAGCAGTTTCTGAGAATGCTTCTGTTTAGTTTTTCTGTGAAGATGAACCCGTTTCCAACGAAATCTTCACAGAGGTCCACATATCAACTTGCAGAATCCAAAGAAAGAGAGTTTCAAAACTGCTCCATCAACAGGATTGTTCACCTCTGTGAGTTGAATGCAGTCATCACAGGAAACATTCTGAGAATGCTTCTGTCTAGGTTTGATGTGAAGATATACCCGTTTCGAAGGAAGGCCACAAAGTGGTCCAAATATCCACTTGCAGATTCTACAAAAAGAGTGTTTGAAAGCTGAACTATGAAAGCAAGGTTCAACTCTGTGAGTTGAATGCAAACATCACAAAGAAGTTTCTCAGAATGCTTCCGTGTAGTTCTGGGAAGTTTAGCCCGTTTCCAACGAAATCCTCAGAGAGGTCCAAATATCCACTTGCAGATTCTACAGAAAGTGTGTTTGGAAACTGCTCCATCTAAAGGAATGTTCAGCTCTGTTAGTTCAATCCAATGATCACTAAGAATTGTCTGTGAATGCTTCCGTTTGGTTTTTAGATGAAGTTATTTCCTTTACTACAGTAGGCCTCAAAGCAGTCCAAATCTCCAATCACAGATTCTACAAAAAGATTGTTTACAACCTGCTCTATCTATAGGAATGTTCAACTATGTGAGTCGAATGCAATCATCACAAAGTAGTTTCTGAGAATGCTTCCATCTAGTTTTTATGTGAAGATTTTCCTTTTCCACCACAGGCCTCAAAGCCCTCCAAATGTCCACTTGCAGATTCTAGAATAAGAGGGTTTCAGAGCTGCTCTGTCAAGAGGAAAGTTCAATTCCTGAGGTGGAACACAAACATCACAAAGCAGTTTCTGAGAATGCTTCTGTTTAGTTTTTCTGTGAAGATGAACCCGTTTCCAACGAAATCTTCACAGAGGTCCACATATCCACTTGCAGAATCCAAAGAAAGAGAGTTTCAAAACTGCTCCATCAGCAGGATTGTTCACCTCTGCGAGTTGAATGCAGTCATGACAGGAAACATTCTGAGAATGCTTCTGTCTAGGTTTGATGTGAAGATATACCCGTTTCGAAGGAAGGCCACAAAGTGGTCCAAATATCCACTTGCAGATTCTACAAAAAGAGTGTTTGAAAGCTGAACTATGCAAGCAAGTTTCAACTCTGTGAGTTGAATGCAAACATCACAAAGAAGTTTCTCAGAATACTTCCCTGTAGTTCTGGGAAGTTTATCCCGTTTCCAACGAAATCCTCAGAGAAGTCCAAATATCCACTTGCAGATTCTACAGAAAGTGTGTTTGGAAACTGCTCCATCTAAAGGAATGTTCAGCTCTGTTAGTTCAATGCAATGATCACTAAGAATTGTCTGTGAATGCTTCCATTTGGTTTTTAGATGAAGTTATTTCCTTTACTACAGTAGGCCTCAAAGCAGTCCAAATCTCCAATCGCAGATTCTACAAAAAGATTGTTTACAACCTGCTCTATCTATAGGAATGTTCAACTCTGTGAGTCGAATGCAATCATCACAAAGTAGTTTCTGAGAATGCTTCCATCTAGTTTTTATGTGAAGATTTTCCTTTTCCACCACAGGCCTCAAAGCCCTCCAAATGTCCACTTGCAGATTCTAGAATAAGAGGGTTTCAGAGCTGCTCTGTCAAGAGGAAAGTACAATTCCTGAAGTGGAACACAAACATCACAAAGCAGTTTCTGAGAATGCTCCTGTTTAGTTTTTCTGTGAAGATGAACCCGTTTCCAACGAAATCTTCACAGAGGTCCACATATCCACTTGCAGAATCCAAAGAAAGGGAGTTTCAAAACTGCTCCATCAGCAGGATTGTTCACCTCTGTGAGTTGAATGCAGTCATCACAGGAAACATTCTGCGAATGCTTCTGTCTAGGTTTGATGTGAAGATATACCCGTTTCGAAGGAAGGCCACAAAGTGGTCCAAATATCCACTTGCAGATTCTACAAAAAGAGTGTTTGAAAGCTGAACTATGAAAGCAAGGTTCAACTCTGTGAGTTGAATGCAAACATCACAAAGAAGTTTCTCAGAATACTTCCGTGTAGTTCTGGGAAGTTTATCCCGTTTCCAAAGAAATCCTCAGAGAGGTCCAAATATCCACTTGCAGATTCTACAGAAAGTGGGTTTGGAAACTGCTCCATCTAAAGGAATGTTCAGCTCTGTTAGTTCAATCCAATGACCACTAAGAATTGTCTGTGAATGCTTCCGTTTGGTTTTTAGATGAAGTTATTTCCTTTTCTACAGTAGGCCTCAAAGCAGTCCAAATCTCCAATCGCAGATTCTACAAAAAGATTGTTTTCAACCTGCTCTATCTATAGGAATGTTCAACTCTGTGAGTCGAATGCAAACATCACAAAGTAGTTTCTGAGAATGCTTCCATCTAGTTTTTATGTGAAGATTTTCCTTTTCCACCACAGGCCTCAAAGCCCTCCAAATGTCCACTTGCAGATTCTAGAAAAAGAGGGTTTCAGAGCTGCTCTGTCAAGAGGAAAGTTCAATTCCTGAAGTGGAACACAAACATCACAAAGCAGTTTCTGAGAATGCTTCTGTTTAGTTTTTCTGTGAAGATGAACCCGTTTCCAACGAAATCTTCACAGAGGTCCACATATCCACTTGCAGAATCCAAAGAAAGAGAGTTTCAAAACTGCTCCATCAGCAGGATTGTTCACCTCCTGTGAGTTGAATGCAGTCATCACAGGAAACATTCTGAGAATGCTTCTGTCTAGGTTTGATGTGAAGATATACCCGTTTCGAAGGAAGGCCACAAAGTGGTCCAAATATCCACTTGCAGATTCTACAAAAAGAGTGTTTGAAAGCTGAACTATGAAAGCAAGGTTCAACTCTGTGAGTTGAATGCAAACATCACAAAGAAGTTTCTCACAATGCTTCCGTGTAGTTCTGGGAAGTTTAGCCCGTTTCCAACGAAATCCTCAGAGAGTTCCAAATATCCAGTGGCAGATTCTACAGAAAGTGTGTTTGGAAACTGCGCCATCTAAAGGAATGTTCAGCTCTGTTAGTTCAATCCAATGATCACTAAGAATTGTCTGTGAATGCTTCCGTTTGGTTTTTAGATGAAGTTATTTCCTTTACTACAGTAGGCCTCAAAGCAGTCCAAATCTCTAATCGCAGATTCTACAAAAAGATTGTTTACAACCTGCTCTATCTATAGGAATGTTCAACTCTGTGAGTCGAATGCAATCATCGCAAAGTAGTTTCTGAGAATGCTTCCATCTAGTTTTCATGTGAAGATTTTCCTTTTCCACCACAGGCCTCAAAGCCCTCCAAATGTCCACTTGCAGATTCTAGAAAAAGAGGGTTTCAGAGCTGCTCTGTCAAGAGGAAAGTTCAATTCTTGAAGTGGAACACAAACATCACAAAGCAGTTTCTGAGAATGCTTCTGTTTAGTTTTTCTGTGAAGATGAACCCGTTTCCAACGAAATCTTCACAGAGGTCCACATATCCACTTGCAGAATCCAAAGAAAGAGAGTTTCAAAACTGCTCCATCAGCAGGATTGTTCACCTCTGTGAGTTGAATGCAGTCATCACAGGAAACATTCTGAGAATGCTTCTGTCTAGGTTTGATGTGAAGATATACCCGTTTCGAAGGAAGGCCACAAAGTGGTCCAAATATCCACTTGCAGATTCTACAAAAAGAGGGTTTGAAAGCTGAACTATGAAAGCAAGGTTCAACTCTGTGAGTTGAATGCAAACATCACAAAGAAGTTTCTCAGAATGCTTCCGTGTAGTTCTGGGAAGTTTATCCCGTTTCCAACGAAATCCTCAGTGAGGTCCAAATATCCACTTGCAGATTCTACAGAAAGTGTGTTTGGAAACTGCGCCATCTAAAGGAATGTTCAGCTCTGTTAGTTCAATGCAATGATCACTAAGAATTGTCTGTGAATGCTTCCGTTTGGTTTTCACATGAAGTTATTTCCTTTACTACAGTAGGCCTCAAAGCAGTCCAAATCTCCAATCGCAGATTCTACAAAAAGATTGTTTACAACCTGCTCTATCTATAGGAATGTTCAACTCTGTGAGTCGAATGCAATCATCACAAAGTAGTTTCTGAGAATGCTTCCATAAAGTTTTTATGTGAAGATTTTCCTTTTCCACCACAGGCCTCAAAGCCCTCCAAATGTCCACTTGCAGATTCTAGAAAAAGAGGGTTTCAGAGCTGCTCTGTCAAGAGGAAAGTTCAATTCTTGAAGTGGAACACAAACATCACAATGCAGTTTCTGAGAATGCTCCTGTTTAGTTTTTCTGTGAAGATGAACCCGTTTCCAAAGAAATCTTCACAGAGGTCCACATATCCACTTGCAGAATCCAAAGAAAGAGAGTTTCAACACTGCTCCATCAGCAGGATTGTTCACCTCTGTGCGTTGAATGCAGTCATCACAGGAAACATTCTGAGAATGCTTCTGTCTAGGTTTGATGTGAAGATATACCCGTTTCGAAGGAAGGCCACAAAGTGGTCCAAATATCCACTTGCAGATTCTACAAAAAGAGTGTTTGAAAGCTGAACTATGAAAGCAAGGTTCAACTCTGTTAGTTGAATGCAAACATGACAAAGAAGTTTCTCAGAATGCTTCCGTGTAGTTCTGGGAAGTTTATCCCGTTTCCAACGAAATCCTCAGAGAGGTCCAAATATCCACTTGCAGATTCTACAGAAAGTGTGTTTGGAAAGTGCTCCATCTAAAGGAATGTTCAGCTCTGTTAGTTCAATCCAATATCACTAAGAATTATCTGTGAATGCTTCCGTTTGGTTTTTAGATGAAGTTATTTCCTTTACTACAGTAGGCCTCAAAGCAGTCCAAATCTCCAATCGCAGATTCTACAAAAAGATTGTTTACAACCTGCTCTATCTATAGGAATGTTCAACTCTGTGAGTCGAATGCAATCATCACAAAGTAGTTTCTGAGAATGCTTCCATCTAGTTTTTATGTGAAGATTTTCCTTTTCCACCACAGGCCTCAAAGCCCTCCAAATGTCCACTTGCAGATTCTAGAAAAAGAGGGTTTCAGAGCTGCTCTGTCAAGAGGAAAGTTCAATTCTTGAAGTGGAACACAAACATCACAAAGCTGTTTCTGAGAATGCTTCTGTTTAGTTTTTCTGTGAAGATGAACCCGTTTCCAACGAAATCTTCACAGAGGTCCACATATCCACTTGCAGAATCCAAAGAAAGAGAGTTTCAAAACTGCTCCATCAGCAGGATTGTTCACCTCTGTGAGTTGAATGCAGTCATCACAGGAAACATTCTGAGAATGCTTCTGTCTAGGTTTGATGTGAAGATATACCCGTTTCGAAGGAAGGCCACAAAGTGGCCCAAATATCCACTTCCAGATTCTACAAAAGGAGTGTTTGAAAGCTGAACTATGAAAGCAAGGTTCAACTCTGTGAGTTGAATGCAAACATCACAAAGAAGTTTCTCAGAATGCTTCCGTGTAGTTCTGGGAAGTTTATCCCGTTTCCAACGAAATCCTCAGTAGAAGTCCAAATATCCACTTGCAGATTCTACAGAAAGTGTGTTTGGAAACTGCGCCATCTAAAGGAATGTTCAGCTCTGTTAGTTCAATCCAATGATCACTAAGTATTGTCTGTGAATGCTTCCGTTTGGTTTTTAGATGAAGTTATTTCCTTTACTACAGTAGGCCTCAAAGCAGTCCAAATCTCCTATCGCAGATTCTACAAAAAGATTGTTTACAACCTGCTCTATCTATAGGAATGTTCAACTCTGTGAGTCGAATGCAATCATCACAAAGTAGTTTCTGAGAATGCTTCCATCTAGTTTTTATGTGAAGATTTTCCTTTTCCACCACAGGCCTCAAAGCCCTCCAAATGTCCACTTGCAGATTCTAGAAAAAGAGGGTTTCAGAGCTGCTCTGTCAAGAGGAAAGTTCAATTCTTGAAGTGGAACACAAACATCACAAAGCAGTTTCTGAGAATGCTTCTTTTTAGTTTTTCTGGGAAGATGAACCCGTTTCCAACGAAATCTTCACAGAGGTCCACATATCCACTTGCAGAATCCAAAGAAAGAGAGTTTCAAAACTGCTCCATCAGCAGGATTGTTCACCTCTGTGAGTTGAATGCAGTCATCACAGGAAACATTCTGAGAATGCTTCTGTCTAGGTTTGATGTGAAGATATACCCGTTTCGAAGGAAGGCCACAAAGTGGTCCAAATATCCACTTGCAGATTCTACAAAAAGAGTGTTTGAAAGCTGAACTATGAAAGCAAGGTTCAACTCTGTGAGTTGAATGCAAACATCACAAAGAAGTTTCTCACAATGCTTCCGTGTAGTTCTGGGAAGTTTATCCCGTTTCCAAGGAAATCCTCAGAGAGGTCCAAATATCCACTTGCAGATTCTACAGAAAGTGTGTTTGGAAACTGCGCCATCTAAAGGAATGTTCAGCTTCTGTTAGTTCAATGCAATGATCACTAAGAATTGTCTGTGAATGCTTCCGTTTGGTTTTTAGATGAAGTTATTTCCTTTACTACAGTAGGCCTCAAAGCAGTCCAAATCTCCAATCGCAGATTCTACAAAAAGATTGTTTACAACCTGCTCTATCTATAGGAATGTTCAACTCTGTGAGTCGAATGCCATCATCACAAAGTAGTTTGTGAGAATGCTTTCATCTAGTTTTTATGTGAAGATTTTCCTTTTCCACCACAGGCCTCAAAGCCCTTCAAATGTCCACTTGCAGATTCTAGAATAAGAGGGTTTCAGAGCTGCTCTGTCAAGAGGAAAGTTCAATTCCTGAAGTGGAACACAAACATCACAAAACAGTTTCTGAGAATGCTTCTGTTTAGTTTTTCTGTGAAGATGAACCCGTTTCCAACGAAATCTTCACAGAGGTCCACATATCCACTTGCAGAATCCAAAGAAAGAGAGTTTCAAAACTGCTCCATCAGCAGGATTGTTCACCTCTGTGAGTTGAATGCAGTCATCACAGGAAACATTCTGAGAATGCTTCTGTCTAGGTTTGATGTGAAGATATACCCGTTCCGAAGGAAGGCCACAAAGTGGTCCAAATATCCACTTGCAGATTCTACAAAAAGAGTGTTTGAAAGCTGAACTATGAAAGCAAGGTTCAACTCTGTGAGTTGAATGCAAACATCACAAAGAAGTTTCTCAGAATGCTTCCGTGTAGTTCTGGGAAGTTTATCCCGTTTCCAACGAAATCCTCAGAGAGGTCCAAATATCCACTTGCAGATTCTACAGAAAGTGGGTTTGGAAACTGCGCCATCTAAAGCAATGTTCAGCTCTGTTAGTTCAATGCAATGATCACTAAGAATTGTCTGTGAATGCTTCCGTTTGGTTTTTAGATGAAGTTATTTCCTTTACTACAGTAGGCCTCAAAGCAGTCCAAATCTCCAATCGCAGATTCTACAAAAAGATTGTTTACAACCTGCTCTATCTATAGGAATGTTCAACTCCGTGAGTTGAATGCAATCATCACAAAGTAGTTTCTGAGAATGCTTCCATCTAGTTTTTATGTGAAGATTTTCCTTTTCCACCACAGGCCTCAAAGCCCTCCAAATGTCCACTTGCAGATTCTAGAAAAAGAGGGTTTCAGAGCTGCTCTGTCAAGAGGAAAGTTCAATTCTTGAAGTGGAACACAAACATCACAAAGCAGTTTCTGAGAATGCTACTGTTTAGTTTTTCTTTGAAGATGAAACCGTTTCCAACGAAATCTTCAAATAGGTCCACATATCCACTTTCAGATTCCAGAGAAAGAGAGATTCAAAACTGCTCCATCAGCAGGATTGTTCACCTCTGTGCGTTGAATGCAGTAATCACAGGAAACATTGTGAGAATGCTTCTGTCTAGGTTTGATGTGAAGATATACCAGTTTCGAAGGAAGGCCACAAAGTGGTCCAAATATCCACTTGCAGTTTCTACAAAAAGAGTGTTTGAAAGCTGAACTATGAAAGCAAGGTTCAACTCTGTGAGTTGAATGCAACATCACAAAGTAGTTTCTGAGAATGCTTCCGTGTAGTTCTGGGAAGTTTATCCCGTTTCCAACGAAATCCTCAGATAAGTCCACATATCCACTTGCAGATTCTACAGAAAGTGTGTTTGGAAACTGCACCATCTAAAGGAATGTTCAGCTCTGTTAGTTCAATGCAATGATCACTAAGAATTGTCTGTGAATGCTTCCGTTTGGTTTTTAGGTGAAGTTATTTCCTTTACTACAGTAGGCCTCAAAGCAGTCCAAATCTCCAATCGCAGATTCTACAAAAAGATTGTTTACAACCTTCTCTATCTATAGGAATGTTCAACTCTGTGAGTCGAATGCAATCATCACAAAGTAGTTTCTGAGAATGCTTCCATCTAGTTTTTATGTGAAGATTTTCCTTTTCCACCACAGGCCTCAAAGCCCTCCAAATGTCCACTTGCAGATTCTAGAAAAAGAGGGTTTCAGAGCTGCTCTGTCAAGAGGAAAGTTCAATTCTTGAAGTGGAACACAAACATCACAAAGCAGTTTCTGAGAATGTTTCTGTTTAGTTTTTCTGTGAAGATGAACCCGTTTCCAACGAAATCTTCACAGAGGTCCACATATCCACTTGCAGAATCCAAAGAAAGAGAGTTTCAAAACTGCTCCATCAGCAGGATTGTTCACCTCTGTGAGTTGAATGCAGTCATCACAGGAAACATTCTGAGAATGCTTCTGTCTAGGTTTGATGTGAAGATATACCCGTTTCGAAGGAAGGCCACAAAGTGGTCCAAATATCCACTTGCAGATTCTACAAAAAGAGTGTTTGAAAGCTGAACTATGAAAGCAAGGTTCAACTCTGTGAGTTGAATGCAAACATCACAAAGAAGTTTCTCACAATGCTTCCGTGTAGTTCTGGGAAGTTTATCCCGTTTCCAACGAAATCCTCAGAGAGGTCCAAATATCCAGTTGCAGATTCTACAGAAAGTGTGTTTGGAAAGTGCGCCATCTAAAGGAATGTTCAGCTCTGTTAGTTCAATCCAATGATCACTAAGAATTGTCTGTGAATGCTTCCGTTTGGTTTTTAGATGAAGTTATTTCCTTTACTACAGTAGGCCTCAAAGCAGTCCAAATCTCCAATCGCAGATTCTACAAAAAGATTGTTTACAACCTGCTCTATCTATAGGAATGTTCAACTCTGTGAGTCGAATGCAATCATCACAAAGTAGTTTCTGAGAATGCTTCCATCTAGTTTTTATGTGAAGATTTTCCTTTTCCACCACAGGCCTCAAAGCCCTCCAAATGTCCACTTTCAGATTCTAGAATAAGAGGGTTTCAGAGCTGCTCTGTCAAGAGGAAAGTTCAATTCTTGAAGTGGAACACAAACATCACAAAGCAGTTTCTGAGAATGCTCCTGTTTAGTTTTTCTGTGAAGATGAGCCCGTTTCCAACGAAATCTTCACAGAGGTCCACATATCCACTTGCAGAATCCAGAGAAAGAGAGTTTCAAAACTGGTCCATCAGCAGGATTGTTCACCTCTGTGAGTCGAATGCAGTCATCACAGGAAACATTCTGAGAATGCTTCTGTCTATGTTTGATGTGAAGATATACCCGTTTCGAAGGAAGGCCACAAAGTGGTCCAAATATCCACTTGCAGATTCTACAAAAAGAGTGTTTGAAAGCTGAACTATGAAAGCAAGGTTCAACTCTGTGAGTTGAATGCAAACATCACAAAGAAGTTTCTCAGAATGCTTCCGTGTAGTTCTGGGAAGTTTATCCCGTTTCCAACGAAATCCTCAGAGAAGTCCAAATATCCACTTGCAGATTCTACAGAAAGTGTGTTTGGAAACTGCTCCATCTAAAGGAATGTTCAGCTCTGTTAGTTCAATGCAATGATCACTAAGAATTGTCTGTGAATGCTTCCGTTTGGTTTTTAGATGAAGTTATTTCCTTTACTACAGTAGGCCTCAAAGCAGTCCAAATCTCCAATCGCAGATTCTACAAAAAGATTGTTTACAACCTGCTCTATCTATAGGAATGTTCAACTCTGTGAGTTGAATGCAATCATCACAAAGTAGTTTCTGAGAATGCTTCCATCTAGTTTTTATGTGAAGATTTTCCTTTTCCACCACAGGCCTCAAAGCCCTCCAAATGTCCACTTGCAGATTCTAGAATAAGAGGGTTTCAGAGCTGTTCTGTCAAGAGGAAAGTTGAATTCCTGAAGTGGAACACAAACATCACAAAGCAGTTTCTGAGAATGCTTCTGTTTAGTTTTTCTGTGAAGATGAACCCGTTTCCAACGAAATCTTCACAGAGGTCCACATATCCACTTGCAGAATCCAAAGAAAGGGAGTTTCAAAACTGCTCCATCAGCAGGATTGTTCACCTCTGTGAGTTGAATGCAGTCATCACAGGAAACATTCTGAGAATGCTTCTGTCTAGGTTTGATGTGAAGATATACCCGTTTCGAAGGAAGGCCACAAAGTGGTCCAAATATCCACTTGCAGATTCTACAAAAAGAGTGTTTGAAAGCTGAACTATGAAAGCAAGGTTCAACTCTGTGAGTTGAATGCAAACATCACAAAGAAGTTTCTCAGCATGCTTCCGTGTAGTTCTGGGAAGTTTATCCCGTTTCCAACGAAATGCTCAGAGAGGTCCAAATATCCACTTGCAGATTCTACAGAAAGTGTGTCTGGAAACTGCGCCATCTAAAGGAATGTTCAGCTCTGTTAGTTCAATCCAATGATCACTAAGAATTGTCTGTGAATGCTTCCGTTTGGTTTTTAGATGAAGTTATTTCCTTTACTACAGTAGGCCTCAAAGCAGTCCAAATCTCCAATCGCAGATTCTACAAAAAGATTGTTTACAACCTGCTCTACCTATAGGAATGTTCAACTCTGTGAGTCGAATGCAATCATCACAAAGTAGTTTCTGAGAATGCTTCCATCTAGTTTTTATGTGAAGATTTTCCTTTTCCACCACAGGCCTCAAAGCCCTCCAAATGTCCACTTGCAGATTCTAGAATAAGAGGGTTTCAGAGCTGCTCTGTCAAGAGGAAAGTTCAATTCCTGAAGTGGAACACAAACATCACAAAGCAGTTTCTGAGAATGCTCCTGTTTAGTTTTTCTGTGAAGATGAACCCGTTTCCAACGAAATCTTCACAGAGGTCCACATATCAACTTGCAGAATCCAAAGAAAGAGAGTTTCAAAACTGCTCCATCAGCAGGATTGTTCACCTCTGTGAGTTGAACGCAGTCATCACAGGAAACATTCTGAGAATGCTTCTGTCTAGGTTTGATGTGAAGATATACCCGTTTCGAAGGAAGGCCACAAAGTGGTCCCAATATCCACTTGCAGATTCTACAAAAAGAGTGTTTGAAAGCTGAACTATGAAAGCAAGGTTCAACTCTGTGAGTTGAATGCAAACATCACAAAGAAGATTCTCACAATGCTTCCGTGTAGTTCTGGGAAGTTTATCCCGTTTCCAACGAAATCCTCAGAGAAGTCCAAATATCCACTTGCAGATTCTACAGAAAGTGGGTTTGGAAACTGCTCCATCTAAAGGAATGTTCAGCTCTGTTAGTTCAATCCAATGATCACTAAGAATTGTCTGTGAATGCTTCCGTTTGGTTTTTAGATGAAGTTATTTCCTTTACTACAGTAGGCCTCAAAGCAGTCCAAATCTCCAATCGCAAGAATCTACAAAAAGATTGTTTACAACCTGCTCTATTCTATAGGAATGTTCAACTCTGTGAGTCGAATGCAATCATCACAAAGTAGTTTCTGAGAATGCTTTCATCTAGTTTTTATGTGAAGATTTCCCTTTTCCACCACAGGTCTCAAAGCCCTCCAAATGTCCACTTGCAGATTCTAGAATAAGAGGGTTTCAGAGCTGCTCTGTCAAGAGGAAAGTTCAATTCTTGAAGTGGAACACAAACATCACAAAGCAGTTTCTGAGAATGCTCCTGTTTAGTTTTTCTGTGAAGATGAACCCGTTTCCAACGAAATCTTCACAGAGGTCCACATATCCACTTGCAGAATCCAAAGAAAGAGAGTTTCAAAACTGCTCCATCAGCAGGATTGTTCACCTCTGTGAGTTGAATGCAGTCATCACAGGAAACATTCTGAGAATGCTTCTGTCTAGGTTTGATGTGAAGATATACCCGTTTCGAAGGAAGGCCACAAAGTGGTCCAAATATCCACTTGCAGATTCTACAAAAAGAGTGTTTGAAAGCTGAACTATGAAAGCAAGGTTCAACTCTGTGAGTTGAATGCAAACATCACAAAGAAGTTTCTCAGAATGCTTCCGTGTAGTTCTGGGAAGTTTATCCCGTTTCCAACGAAATCCTCAGAGAGGTCCAAATATCCACTTGCAGATTCTACAGAAAGTGTGTTTGGAAACTGCGCCATCTAAAGGAATGTTCAGCTCTCTTAGTTCAATGCAATGATCACTAAGAATTGTCTGTGAATGCTTCCGTTTGGTTTTTAGATGAAGTTATTTCCTTTACTACAGTAGGCCTCAAAGCAGTCCAAATCTCCAATCGCAGATTCTACAAAAAGATTGTTTACAACCTGCTCTATCTATAGGAATGTTCAACTCTGTGAGTCGAATGCAATCATCACAAAGTAGTTTCTGAGAATGCTTCCATCTAGTTTTTATGTGAAGATTTTCCTTTTCCACCACAGGCCTCAAAGCCCTCCAAATGTCCACTTGCAGATTCTAGAATAAGAGGATTTCAGAGCTGCTCTGTCAAGAGGAAAGTTCAATTCCTGAAGTGGAACACAAACATCACAAAGCAGTTTCTGAGAATGCTTCTGTTTAGTTTTTCTGTGAAGATGAACCCGTTTCCAACGAAATCTTCACAGAGGTCCACATATCCACTTGCAGAATCCAAAGAAAGAGAGTTTCAAAACTGCTCCATCAGCAGGATTGTTCACCTCTGTGAGTTGAATGCAGTCATCACAGGAAACATTCTGAGAATGCTTCTGTCTAGGTTTGATGTGAAGATATACCCGTTTCGAAGGAAGGCCACAAAGTGGCCCAAATATCCACTTGCAGATTCTACAAAAGGAGTGTTTGAAAGCTGAACTATGAAAGCAAGGTTCAACTCTGTGAGTTGAATGCAAACATCACAAAGAAGTTTCTCAGAATGCTTCCCTGTAGTTCTGGGAAGTTTATCCCGTTTCCAACGAAATCCTCAGAGAGGTCCAAATATCCACTTGCAGATTCTACAGAAAGTGTGTTTGGAAACTGCGCCATCTAAAGGAATGTTCAGCTCTGTTAGTTCAATGCAATGATCACTAAGAATTGTCTGTGAATGCTTCCGTTTGGTTTTTAGATGAAGTTATTTCCTTTACTACAGTAGGCCTCAAAGCAGTCCAAATCTCCAATCGCAGATTCTACAAAAAGATTGTTTACAACCTGCTCTATCTATAGGAATGTTCAACTCTGTGAGTCGAAAGCCATCATCACAAAGTAGTTTCTGAGAATGCTTCCATCTAGTTTTTATGTGAAGATTTTCCTTTTCCACCACAGGCCTCAAAGCCCTCCAAATGTCCACTTGCAGATTCTACAAAAAGAGGGTTTCAGAGCTGCTCTGTCAAGAGGAAAGTTCAATTCTTGAAGTGGAACACAAACATCACAAAGCAGTTTCTGAGAATGCTCCTGTTTAGTTTTTCTGTGAAGATGAACCCGTTTCCAACGAAATCTTCGCAGAGGTCCACATATCCACTTGCAGAATCCAAAGAAAGAGAGTTTCAAAACTGCTCCATCAACAGGATTGTTCACCTCTGTGAGTTGAATGCAGTCATCACAGGAAACATTCTGAGAATGCTCCTGTTTAGTTTTTCTGTGAAGATGAACCCGTTTCGAAGGAGGGCCCCAAAGTGGTCCAAATATCCACTTGCAGATTCTACAAAAAGAGTGTTTGAAAGCTGAACTTTGAAAGCAAGGTTCAACTCTGTGAGTTGAATGCAAACATCACAAAGAAGTTTCTCAGAATGCTTTCCCGTGTAGTTCTGGGAAGTTTATCCCGTTTCCAACGAAATCCTCAGAGAGGTCCAAATATCCACTTGCAGATTCTGCAGAAAGTGTGTTTGGAAACTGCTCCATCTAAAGGAATGTTCAGCTCTGTTAGTTCAATCCAATGATCACTAAGAATTGTCTGTGAATGCTTCCGTTTGGTTTTTAGATGAAGTTATTTCCTTTACTACAGTAGGCCTCAAAGCAGTCCAAATCTCCAATCGCAGATTCTACAAAAAGACTGTTTACAACCTGCTCTATCTATAGGAATGTTCAACTCTGTGAGTCGAATGCAATCATCACAAAGTAGTTTCTGAGAATGCTTCCATCTAGTTTTTATGTGAAGATTTTCCTTTTCCACCACAGGCCTCAAAGCCCTCCAAATGTCCACTTGCACATTCTAGAAAAAGAGGGTTTCAGAGCCGCTCTGACAAGAGGAAAGTTCAATTCCTGAAGTGGAACACAAACATCACAAAGCAGTTTCTGAGAATGCTTCTGTTTAGTTTTTCTGTGAAGATGAACCCGTTTCCAACGAAATCTTCACAGAGGTCCACATATCCACTTGCAGAATCCAAAGAAAGAGAGTTTCAAAACTGCTCCATCAGCAGGATTGTTCACCTCTGTGAGTTGAATGCAGTCATCACAGGAAACATTCTGAGAATGCTTCTGTCTAGGTTTGATGTGAAGATATACCCGTTTCGAAGGAAGGCCACAAAGTGGTCCAAATATCCACTTGCAGATTCTACAAAAAGAGGGTTTGAAAGCTGAACTATGAAAGCAAGGTTCAACTCTGTGAGTTGAATGCAAACATCACAAAGAAGTTTCTCAGAATGCTTCCCTGTAGTTCTGGGAAGCATATCCCGTTTCCAACGAAATCCTCAGGGAGGTCCAAATATCCACTTGCAGATTCTACAGAAAGTGTGTTTGGAAACTGCGCCATCTAAAGGAATGTTCAGCTCTGTTAGTTCAATGCAATGATCACTAAGAATTGTCTGTGAATGCTTCCGTTTGGTTTTTAGATGAAGTTATTTCCTTTACTACAGTAGGCCTCAAAGCAGTCCAAATCTCCAATCGCAGATTCTACAAAAAGATTGTTTACAACCTGCTCTATCTATAGGAATGTTCAACTCTGTGAGTCGAATGCAATCATCACAAAGTAGTTTCTGAGAATGCTTCCATAAAGTTTTTATGTGAAGATTTCCCTTTTCACCACAGGCCTCAAAGCCCTCCAAATGTCCACTTGCAGATTCTAGAAAAAGAGGGTTTCAGAGCTGCTCTGTCAAGAGGAAAGTTCAATTCTTGAAGTGGAACACAAACATCACAAAGCAGTTTCTGAAAATGCTCCTGTTTAGTTTTTCTGTGAAGATGAACCCGTTTCCAACGAAATCTTCACAGAGGTCCACATATCCACTTGCAGAATCCGAAGAAAGAGAGTTTCAAAACTGCTCCCTCAGCAGGATTGTTCACCTCTGTGAGTTGAATGCAGTCATCACAGGAAACGTTCTGAGAATGCTTCTCTCTAGGTTTGATGTGAAGATATACCCGTTTCGAAGGAAGGCCACAAAGTGGTCCAAATATCCACTTGCAGATTCTACAAAAAGAGTGTTTGAAAGCTGAACTATGAAAGCAAGGTTCAACTCTGTGAGTTGAATGCAAACATCACAAAGAAGTTTCTCACAATGCTTCCCTGTAGTTCTGGGAAGTTTATCCCGTTTCCAACGAAATCCTCAGAGAAGTCCTAATATCCACTTGCAGATTCTACAGAAAGTGTGTTTGGAAACTGCTCCATCTAAAGGAATGTTCAGCTCTGTTAGTTCAATCCAATGATCACTAAGAATTGTCTGTGAATGCTTCCGTTTGGTTTTTAGATGAAGTTATTTCCTTTACTACAGTAGGCCTCAAAGCAGTCCAAATCTCCAATCGCAGATTCTACAAAAAGATTGTTTACAACCTGCTCTATCTATAGGAATGTTCAACTCTGTGAGTCGAATGCAATCATCACAAAGTAGTTTCTGAGAATGCTTCCATCTAGTTTTTATGTGAAGATTTTCCTTTTCCACCACAGGCCTCAAAGCCCTCCAAATGTCCACTTGCAGATTCTAGAATAAGAGGGTTTCAGAGCTGCTCTGTCAAGAGGAAAGTTCAATTCCTGAAGTGGAACACAAACATCACAAAGCAGTTTCTGAGAATGCTTCTGTTTAGTTTTTCTGTGAAGATGAACCCGTTTCCAACGAAATCTTCACAGAGGTCCACATATCCACTTGCAGAATCCAAAGAAAGAGAGTTTCAAAACTGCTCCATCAGCAGGATTGTTCACCTCTGTGAGTTGAATGCAGTCATCACAGGAAACATTCTGAGAATGCTTCTGTCTAGGTTTGATGTGAAGATATACCCGTTTCGAAAGAAGGCCACAAAGTGGTCCAAATATCCACTTGCAGATTCTACAAAAAGAGTGTTTGAAAGCTGAACTATGAAAGCAAGGTTCAACTGTGTGAGTTGAATGCAAACATCACAAAGAAGTTTCTCAGAATGCTTCCGTGTAGTTCTGGGAAGTTTATCCCGTTTCCAACGAAATCCTCAGAGAGGTCCAAATATCCACTTGCAGATTCTACAGAAAGTGTGTTTGGAAACTGCTCCATCTAAAGGAATGTTCAGCTCTGTTAGTTCAATCCAATGATCACTAAGAATTGTACTGTGAATGCTTCCGTTTGGTTTTTAGATGAAGTTATTTCCTTTACTACAGTAGGCCTCAAAGCAGTCCAAATCTCCAATCGCAGATTCTACAAAAAGATTGTTTACAACCTGCTCTATGTATAGGAATGTTCAACTCTGTGAGTCGAATGCAATCATCACAAAGTAGTTTCTGAGAATGCTTCCATCTAGTTTTTATGTGAAGATTTTCCTTTTCCCCACAGGCCTCAAAGCCCTCCAAATGTCCACTTGCAGATTCTAGAATAAGAGGGTTTCAGAGCTGCTCTGTCAAGAGGAAAGTTCAATTCCTGAAGTGGAACACAAACATCACAAAGCAGTTTCTGAGAATGCTCCTGTTTAGTTTTTCTGTGAAGATGAACCCGTTTCCAACGAAATCTTCACAGAGGTCCACATATCCACTTGCAGAATCCAAAGAAAGAGAGTTTCAAAACTGCTCCATCAGCAGGATTGTTCACCTCTGTGAGTTGAATGCAGTCATCACAGGAAACATTCTGAGAATGCTTTCTGTCTAGGTTTGATGTGAAGATATACCCGTTTCGAAGGAAGGCCACAAAGTTGTCCAAATATCCACTTTCTGTAGATTCTACAAAAAGAGTGTTTGAAAGCTGAACTATGAAAGCAAGGTTCAACTCTGTGAGTTGAATGCAAACATCACAAAGAAGTTTCTCAGAATGCTTCCGTGTAGTTCTGGGAAGTTTATCCCTTTTCCAACGAAATCCTCAGAGAGGTCCAAATATCCAGTTGCAGATTCTACAGAAAGTGTGTTTGGAAACTGCGCCATCTAAAGGAATGTTCAGCTCTGTTAGTTCAATCCAATGATCACTAAGAATTGTCTGTGAATGCTTCCGTTTGGTTTTTAGATGAAGTTATTTCCTTTACTACAGTAGGCCTCAAAGCAGTCCAAATCTCCAATCGCAGATTCTACAAAAAGATTGTTTACAACGTACTCTATCTATACGAATGTTCAACTCTGTGAGTCGAATGCAATCATCACAAAGTAGTTTCTGAGAATGCTTCCATCTAGTTTTTATGTGAAGATTTTCCTTTTCCACCACAGGCCTCAAAGCCCTCCAAATGTCCACTTGCAGATTCTAGAAAAAGAGGGTTTCAGAGCTGCTCTGTCAAGAGGAAAGTTCAATTCTTGAAGTGGAACACAAACATCACAAAGCAGTTTCTGAGAATGCTCCTGTTTAGTTTTTCTGTGAAGATGAACCCGTTTCCAACGAAATCTTCACAGAGGTCCACATATCCACTTGCAGAATCCAAAGAAAGAGAGTTTCAAAACTGCTCCATCAGCAGGATTGTTCACCTCTGTGAGTTGAATGCAGTCATCACAGGAAGCATTCTGAGAATGCTTCTGTCTAGGTTTGATGTGAAGATATACCCGTTTCAAAGGAAGGCCACAAAGTGGTCCATATATCCACTTGCAGATTCTACAAAAAGAGTGTTTGAAAGCTGAACTATGAAAGCAAGGTTCAACTCTGTGAGTTGAATGCAAACATCACAAAGAAGTTTCTCACAATGCTTCCGTGTAGTTCTGGGAAGTTTAGACCGTTTCCAACGAAATCCTCAGAGAGGTCCAAATATCCACTTGCAGATTCTACAGAAAGTGTGTTTGGAAACTGCGCCATCTAAAGGAATGTTCAGCTCTGTTAGTTCAATCCAATGATCACTAAGAATTGTCTGTGAATGCTTCCGTTTGGTTTTTAGATGAAGTTATTTCCTTTACTACAGTAGGCCTCAAAGCAGTCCAAATCTCCAATCGCAGATTCTACAAAAAGATTGTTTACAACCTGCTCTATCTATAGGAATGTTCAACTCTGTGAGTCGAAAGCCATCATCACAAAGTAGTTTCTGAGAATGCTTCCATCTAGTTTTTATGTGAAGATTTTCCTTTTCCACCACAGGCCTCAAAGCCCTCCAAATGTCCACTTGCAGATTCTAGAAAAAGAGGGTTTCAGAGCTGCTCTTTCAAGAGGAAAGTTCAATTCCTGATGTGGAACACAAACATCACAAAGCAGTTTCTGAGAATGCTCCTGTTTAGTTTTTCTGTGAAGATGAACCCGTTTCCAACGAAATCTTCACAGAGGTCCACATATCCACTTGCAGAATCCAAAGAAAGAGAGTTTCAAAACTGCTCCATCAGCAGGATTGTTCACCTCTGTGAGTTGAATGCAGTCATCACAGGAAACATTCTGAGAATGCTTATCTGTCTAGGTTTGATGTGAAGATATACCCGTTTCGAAGGAAGGCCACAAAGTGGTCCAAATATCCACTTGCAGATTCTACAAAAAGAGTGTTTGAAAGCTGAACTATGAAAGCAAGGTTCACCTCTGTGAGTTGAATGCAAACATCACAAAGAAGTTTCTCAGAATGCTTCCGTGTAGTTCTGGGAAGTTTATCCCGTTTCCAACGAAATCCTCAGAGAGGTCCAAATATCCACTTGCAGATTCTACAGAAAGTGTGTTTGGAAACTGCGCCATCTAAAGGAATGTTCAGCTCTGTTAGTTCAATCCAATGATCACTAAGAATTGTCTGTGAATGCTTCCGTTGGGTTTTTAGATGAAGTTATTTCCTTTACTACAGTAGGCCTCAAAGCAGTCCAAATCTCCAATCGCAGATTCTACAAACAGATTGTTTACAACCTGCTCTATCTGTAGGAAAGTTCAACTCTGTGAGTCGAATGCAATCATCAGAAAGTAGTTTCTGAGAATGCTTCCATCTAGTTTTTATGTGAAGATTTTCCTTTTCCACCACAGGCCTCAAAGCCCTCCAAATGTCCACTTGCAGATTCTAGAAAAAGAGGGTTACAGAGCTGCTCTGTCAAGAGGAATGTTCAGTTCCTGAAGTGGAACACAAACATCACAAAGCAGTTTCTGAGAATGCTCCTGTTTAGTTTTTCTGTGAAGATGAACCCGTTTCCAACGAAATCTTCACAGAGGTCCACATATCCACTTGCAGAATCCAAAGAAAGAGAGTTTCAAAACTGCTCCATCAGCAGGATTGTTCACCTCTGTGAGTTGAATGCAGTCATCACAGGAAACATTCTGAGAATGCTCTGTCTAGGTTTGATGTGAAGATATACCCGTTTCGAAGGAAGGCCACAAAGTGGTCCAAATATCCACTTGCAGATTCTACAAAAAGAGTGTTTGAAAGCTGAACTATGAAAGCAAGGTTCAACTCTGTGAGTTGAATGCAAACATCACAAAGAAGTTTCTCAGAATGCTTTCCGTGTAGTTCTGGGAAGTTTATCCCGTTTCCAACGAAATCCTCAGAGAAGTCCAAATATCCACTTGCAGATTCTACAGAAAGTGGGTTTGGAAACTGCTCCATCTAAAGGAATGTTCAGCTCTGTTAGTTGAATCCAATGATCACTAAGAATTGTCTGTGAATGCTTCCGTTTGGTTTTTAGATGAAGTTATTTCCTTTACTACAGTAGGCCTCAAAGCAGTCCAAATCTCCAATCGCAGATTCTACAAAAAGATTGTTTTCAACCTGCTCTATCTATAGGAATGTTCAACTCTGTGAGTCGAATGCAATCATCACAAAGTAGTTTCTGAGAATGCTTCCATCTAGTTTTTATGTGAAGATTTTCCTTTTGCACCACAGGCCTCAAAGCCCTCCAAATGTCCACTTGCAGATTCTAGAAAAAGAGGGTTTCAGAGCTGCTCTGTCAAGAGGAAAGTTCAATTCTTGAAGTGGAACACAAACATCACAAAGCAGTTTCTGAGAATGCTCCTGTTTAGTTCTTCTGTGAAGATGAACCCGTTTCCAACGAAATCTTCACAGAGGTCCACATATCCACCTGCAGAATCCAAAGAAAGAGAGTTTCAAAACTGCTCCATCATCAGGATTGTTCACCTCTGTGAGTTGAATGCAGTCATCACAGGAAACATTCTGAGAATGCTTCTGTCTAGGTTTGATGTGAAGATAAACCCGTTTCGAAGGAAGGCCACAAAGTGGTCCAAATATCCACTTGCAGATTCTACAAAAAGAGTGTTTGAAAGCTGAACTATGAAAGCAAGGTTCAACTCTGTGAGTTGAATGCAAACATCACAAAGAAGTTTCTCAGAATGCTTCCGTGTAGTTCTGGGAAGTTTATCCCGTTTCCAACGAAATCCTCAGAGAGGTCCAAATATCCACTTGCAGATTCTACAGAAAGTGGGTTTGGAAACTGCGCCATCTAAAGCAATGTTCAGCTCTGTTAGTTCAATGCAATGATCACTAAGAATTGTCTGTGAATGCTTCCGTTTGGTTTTTAGATGAAGTTATTTCCTTTACTACAGTAGGCCTCAAAGCAGTCCAAATCTCCAATCGCAGATTCTACAAAAAGATTGTTTACAACCTGCTCTATCTATAGGAATGTTCAACTGCTGTGAGTCGAATGCAATCATCACAAAGTAGTTTCTGAGAATGCTTCCATCTAGTTTTTATGTGAAGATTTTCCTTTTCCACCACAGGCCTCAAAGCCCTCCAAATGTCCACTTGCAGATTCTAGAAAAAGAGGGTTTCAGAGCTGCTCTGTCAAGAGGAAAGTTCAATTCTTGGAGTGGAACACAAACATCACAAAGCAGTTTCTGAGAATGCTCCTGTTTAGTTTTTCTGTGAAGATGAACCCGTTTCCAACGAAATCTTCACAGAGGTCCACATATCCACTTGCAGAATCCAAAGAAAGAGAGTTTCAAAACTGCTCCATCAGCAGGATTGTTCACCTCTGTGAGTTGAATGCAGTCATCACAGGAAACATTCTGAGAATGCTTCTGTCTAGGTTTGATGTGAAGATATACCCGTTTCGAAGGAAGGCCACAAAGTGGTCCAAATATCCTCTTGCAGATTCTACAAAAAGAGTGTTTGAAAGCTGAACTATGAAAGCAAGGTTCAACTCTGTGAGTTGAATGCAAACATCACAAAGAAGTTTCTCAGAATGCTTCCGTGTAGTTCTGGGAAGTTTATCCCGTTTCCAACGAAATCCTCAGAGAAGTCCAAATATCCACTTGCAGATTCTACAGAAAGTGGGTTTGGAAACTGCTCCATCTAAAGGAATGTTCAGCTCTGTTAGTTCAATCCAATGATCACTAAGAATTGTCTGTGAATGCTTCCGTTTGGTTTTTAGATGAAGTTATTTCCTTTACTACAGTAGGCCTCAAAGCAGTCCAAATCTCCAATCGCAGATTCTACAAAAAGATTGTTTACAACCTGCTCTATCTATAGGAATGTTCAACTCTGTGAGTCGAATGCAATCATCACAAAGTAGTTTCTGAGAATGCTTCCATCTAGTTTTTATGTGAAGATTTTCCTTTTCCACCACAGGCCTCAAAGCCCTCCAAATGTCCACTTGCAGATTCTAGAATAAGAGGGTTTCAGAGCTGCTCTGTCAAGAGGAAAGTTCAATTCTTGAAGTGGAACACAAACATCACAAAGCAGTTTCTGAGAATGCTTCTGTTTAGTTTTTCTGTGAAGATGAACCCGTTTCCAACGAAATCTTCACAGAGGTCCACATATCCACTTGCAGAATCCAAAGAAAGAGAGTTTCAAAACTGCTCCATCAGCAGGATTGTTCACCTCTGTGAGTTGAATGCAGTCATCACAGGTAACATTCTGAGAATGCTTCTGTCTAGGTTTGATGTGAAGATATACCCGTTTCGAAGGAAGGCCACAAAGTGGTCCAAATATCCACTTGCAGATTCTACAAAAAGAGGGTTTGAAAGCTGAACTATGAAAGCAAGGTTCAACTCTGTGAGTTGAATGCAAACATCACAAAGAAGTTTCTCAGAATGTCCGTGTAGTTCTGGGAAGTTTATCCCGTTTCCAAAGAAATCCTCAGAGAGGTCCAAATATCCACTTGCAGATTCTACAGAAAGTGTGTTTGGAAACTACGCCATCTAAAGGAATGTTCAGCTCTGTTAGTTCAATCCAATGATCACTAAGAATTGTCTGTGAATGCTTCCGTTTGGT
Organism: Homo sapiens; assembly: GCF_000001405.40. NCBI lineage: Eukaryota > Metazoa > Chordata > Mammalia > Primates > Hominidae > Homo > Homo sapiens. Next base: position 54,200,397 of record NC_000011.10, on the reverse strand, counting down.
TTTTAGATGAAGTTATTTCCTTTACTACAGTAGGCCTCAAAGCAGTCCAAATCTCCAATCGCAGATTCTACAAAAAGATTGTTTACAACCTGCTCTATCTATAGGAATGTTCAACTCTGTGAGTCGAATGCAATCATCACAAAGTAGTTTCTGAGAATGCTTCCATCTAGTTTTTATGTGAAGATTTTCCTTTTCCACCACAGGCCTCAAAGCCCTCCAAATGTCCACTTGCAGATTCTAGAATAAGAGGGTTTCAGAGCTGCTCTGTCAAGAGGAAAGTTCAATTCCTGAAGTGGAACACAAACATCACAAAGCAGTTTCTGAGAATGCTCCTGTTTAGTTTTTCTGTGAAGATGAACCCGTTTCCAACGAAATCTTCACAGAGGTCCACATATCAACTTGCAGAATCCAAAGAAAGAGAGTTTCAAAACTGCTCCATTAGCAGGATTGTTCACCTCTGTGAGTTGAATGCAGTCATCACAGGAAACATTCTGAGAATGCTTCTGTCTAGGTTTGATGTGAAGATATACCCGTTTCGAAGGAAGGCAACAAAGTGGTCCAAATATCCACTTGCAGATTCTACAAAAAGAGTGTTTGAAAGCTGAACTATGAAAGCAAGGTTCAATTCTGTGAGTTGAATGCAAACATCACAAAGAAGTTTCTCAGAATACTTCCGTGTAGTTCTGGGAAGTTTATCCCGTTTCCAACGAAATCCTCAGAGAGGTCCAAATATCCACTTGCAGATTCTACAGAAAGTGTGTTTGGAAACTGCGCCATCTAAGGGAATGTTCAGCTCTGTTAGTTCAATCCAATGATCACTAAGAATTGTCTGTGAATGCTTCCGTTTGGTTTTTAGATGAAGTTATTTCCTTTACTACAGTAGGCCTCAAAGCAGTCCAAATCTCCAATCGCAGATTCTACAAAAAGATTGTTTACAACCTGCTCTATCTATAGGAATGTTCAACTCTGTGAGTCGAATGCAATCATCACAAAGTAGTTTCTGAGAATGCTTCCATCTAGTTTTTATGTGAAGAGTTTCCTTTTCCACCACAGGCCTCAAAGCCCTCCAAATGTCCACTTGCAGATTCTAGAAAAAGAGGGTTTCAGAGCTGCTCTGTCAAGAGGAAAGTTCAATTCTTGAAGTGGAACACAAACATCACAAAGCAGTTTCTGAGAATGCTCCTGTTTAGTTTTTCTGTGAAGATGAACCCGTTTCCAACGAAATCTTCACAGAGGTCCACATATCCACTTGCAGAATCCAAAGAAAGAGAGTTTCAAAACTGCTCCATCAGCAGGATTGTTCACCTCTGTGAGTTGAATGCAGTCATCACAGGAAACATTCCGAGAATGCTTCTGTCTAGGGTTGATGTGAAGATATACCCGTTTCGAAGGAAGGCCACAAAGTGGTCCAAATATCCACTTGCAGATTCTACAAAAAGAGTGTTTGAAAGCTGAACTATGAAAGCAAGGTTCAACTCTGTGAGTTGAATGCAAACATCACAAAGAAGTTTCTCAGAATGCTTCCATGTAGTTCTGGGAAGTTTATCCCATTTCCAACGAAATCCTCAGAGAAGTCCAAATATCCACTTGCAGATTCTACAGAAAGTGGGTTTGGAAACTGCTCCATCTAAAGGAATGTTCAGCTCTGTTAGTTCAATCCAATGATCACTAAGAATTGTCTGTGAATGCTTCCGTTTGGTTTTTAGATGAAGTTATTTCCTTTACTACAGTAGGCCTCAAAGCAGTCCAAATCTCCAATCGCAGATTCTACAAAAAGATTGTTTACAACCTGCTCTATCTATAGGAATGTTCAACTCTGTGAGTCGAATGCAATCATCACAAAGTAGTTTCTGAGAATGCTTCCATCTAGTTTTTATGTGAAGATTTTCCTTTTCCACCACAGGCCTCAAAGCCCTCCAAATGTACACTTGCAGATTCTAGAAAAAGAGGGTTTCAGAGCTGCTCTGTCAAGAGGAAAGTTCAATTCTTGAAGTGGAACAAAAGCATCACAAAGCAGTTTCTGAGAATGCTCCTGTTTAGTTTTTCTGTGAAGATGAACCCGTTTCCAACGAAATCTTCACAGAGGTCCACATATCCACTTGCAGAATCCAAAGAAAGAGAGTTTCAAAGCTGCTCCATCAACAGGATTGTTCACCTCTGTGAGTTGAATGCAGTCATCACAGGAAACATTCTGAGAATGCTTCTGTCAAGGTTTGATGTGAAGATATACCCGTTTCGAAGGAAGGCCACAAAGTGGTCCAAATATCCACTTGCAGATTCTACAAAAAGAGTGTTTGAAAGCTGAACTATGAAAGCAAGGTTCAACTCTGTGAGTTGAATGCAAACATCACAAAGAAGTTTCTCAGAATCCTTCCGTGTAGTTCTGGGAAGTTTATCCCGTTTCCAACGAAATCCTCAGAGAGGTCCAAATATCCACTTGCAGATTCTACAGAAAGTGTGTTTGGAAACTGCTCCATCTAAAGGAATGTTCAGCTCTGTTAGTTCAATCCAATGATCACTAAGAATTGTCTGTGAATGCTTCCGTTTGGTTTTTAGATGAAGTTATTTCCTTTACTACAGTAGGCCTCAAAGCAGTCCAAATCTCCAATCGCAGATTCTACAAAAAGATTGTTTACAACCTGCTCTATCTATAGGAATGTTCAACTCTGTGAGTCGAATGCAATCATCACAAAGTAGTTTCTGAGAATGCTTCCATCTAGTTTTTATGTGAAGATTTTCCTTTTGCACCACAGGCCTCAAAGCCCTCCAAATGTCCACTTGCAGATTCTAGAAAAAGAGGGTTTCAGAGCTGCTCTGTCAAGAGGAAAGTTCAATTCTTGATGTGGAACACAAACATCACAAAGCAGTTTCTGAGAATGCTCCTGTTTAGTTTTTCTGTGAAGATGAACCCGTTTCCAACGAAATCTTCACAGAGGTCCACATATCCACTTGCAGAATCCAAAGAAAGAGAGTTTCAAAACTGCTCCATCAGCAGGATTGTTCACCTCTGTGAGTTGAATGCAGTCATCACAGGAAACATTCTGAGAATGCTTCTGTCTAGGTTTGATGTGAAGATATACCCGTTTCGAAGGAAGGCCAGAAAGTGGTCCAAATATCCACTTGCAGATTCTACAAAAAGAGTGTTTGAAAGCTGAACTATGAAAGCAAGGTTCAACTCTGTGAGTTGAATGCAAACATCACAAAGAAGTTTCTCAGAATGCTGCCGTGTAGTTCTGGGAAGTTTATCCCGTTTCCAACGAAATCCTCAGAGAAGTCCAAATATCCACTTGCAGATTCTACAGAAATTGTGTTTGGAAACTGCGCCATCTAAACTAATGTTCAGCTCTGTTAGTTCAATCCAATGATCACTAAGAATTGTCTTTGAATACCTCCGTTTGGTTTTTAGATGAAGTTATTTCCTTTACTACAGTAGGCCTCAAAGCAGTCCAAATCTCCAATCGCAGATTCTACAAAAAGATTGTTTACAACCTGCTCTATCTATAGGAATGTTCAACTCTGTGAGTCGAATGCAATCATCACAAAGTAGTTTCTGAGAATGCTTCCATCTAGTTTTTATGTGAAGATTTTCCTTTTCCACCACAGGCCTCAAAGCCCTCCAAATGTCCACTTGCAGATTCTAGAAAAAGTGGGTTTCAGAGCTGCTCTGTCAAGAGGAAAGTTCAATTCTTGAAGTGGAACACAAAGATCACAAAGCAGTTTCTGAGAATGCTTCTGTTAAGTTTTTCTGTGAAGATGAACCCGTTTCCAACGAAATCTTCACAGAGGTCCACATATCCACTTGCAGAATCCAAAGAAGGAGAGTTTCAAAACTGCTCCATCAGCAGGATTGTTCACCTCTGTGAGTTGAATGCAGTCATCACAGGAAACATTCTGAGAATGCTTCTGTCTAGGTTTGATGTGAAGATATACCCGTTTCGAAGGAAGGCCACAAAGTGGTCCAAATATCCACTTGCAGATTCTACAAAAAGAGTGTTTGAAAGCTGAACTATGAAAGCAAGGTTCAACTCTGTGAGTTGAATGCAAACATCACAAAGAAGTTTCTCAGAATGCTTCCGTGTAGTTCTGGGAAGTTTATCCCGTTTCCAACGAAATCCTCAGAGAGGTCCAAATATCCACTTGCAGATTCTACAGAAAGTGTGTTTGGAAACTGCTCCATCTAAAGGAATGTTCAGCTCTGTTAGTTCAATCCAATGATCACTAAGAATTGTCTGTGAATGCTTCCGTTTGGTTTTTAGATGAAGTTATTTCCTTTACTACAGTAGGCCTCAAAGCAGTCCAAATCTCCAATCGCAGATTCTACAAAAAGATTGTTTACAACCTGCTCTATCTATAGGAATGTTCAACTCTGTGAGTCGAATGCAATCATCACAAAGTAGTTTCTGAGAATGCTTCCATCTAGTTTTTATGTGAAGATTTTCCTTTTCCACCACAGGCCTCAACCCCTCCAAATGTCCACTTGCAGATTCTAGAAAAAGAGGGTTTCAGAGCTGCTCTGTCAAGAGGAAAGTTCAATTCTTGAAGTGGAACACAAACATCACAAAGCAGTTTCTGAGAATGCTTCTGTTTAGTTTTTCTGTGAAGATGAACCCGTTTCCAACGAAATCTTCACAGAGGTCCACATATCAACTTGCAGAATCCAAAGAAAGAGAGCTTCAAAAGTGCTCCATCAACAGGATTGTTCACCTCTGTGAGTTGAATGCAGTCATCACAGGAAACATTCTGAGAATGCCTCTGTCTAGGTTTGATGTGAAGATATACCCGTTTCGAAGGAAGGCCACAAAGTGGTCCAAATATCCACTTGCAGATTCTACAAAAAGAGTGTTTGAAAGCTGAACTATCAAAGCAAGGTTCAACTCTGTGAGTTGAATGCAAACATCACAAAGAAGTTTCTCAGAATGCTTCCGTGTAGTTCTGGGAAGTTTATCCCGTTTCCAACGAAATCCTCAGAGAAGTCCAAATATCCACTTGCAGATTCTACAGAAAGTGGGTTTGGAAACTGCTCCATCTAAAGGAATGTTCAGCTCTGTTAGTTCAATCCAATGATCACTAAGAATTGTCTGTGAATGCTTCCGTTTGGTTTTTAGATGAAGTTATTTCCTTTACTACAGTAGGCCTCAAAGCAGTCCAAATCTCCAATCGCAGATTCTACAAAAAGATTGTTTACAACCTGCTCTATGTATAGGAATGTTCAACTCTGTGAGTCGAATGCAATCATCACAAAGTAGTTTCTGAGAATGCTTCCATCTAGTTTTTATGGGAAGATATTCCTTTTCCACAACAGGCCTCAAAGCCCTCCAAATGTCCACTTGCAGATTCTAGAAAAAGAGGGTTTCAGAGCTGCTCTGTCAAGAGGAAAGTTCAATTCTTGAAGTGGAACACAAACATCACAAAGCAGTTTCTGAGAGTGCTCCTGTTTAGTTTTTCTGTGAAGATGAACCCGTTTCCAACGAAATCTTCACAGAGGTCCACATATCCACTTGCAGAATCCAAAGAAAGAGAGTTTCAACACTGCTCCATCAGCAGGATTGTTCACCTCTGTGAGTTGAATGCAGTCATCACAGGAAACATTCTGAGAATGCTTCTGTCTAGGTTTGATGTGAAGATATACCCGTTTCGAAGGAAGGCCACAAAGTGGTCCAAATATCCACTTGCAGATTCTACAAAAAGAGTGTTTGAAAGCTGAACTATGAAAGCAACGTTCAACTCTGTGAGTTGAATGCAAACATCACAAAGAATTTTCTCACAATGCTTCCGTGTAGTTCTGGGAAGTTTATCCCGTTTCCAACGAAATCCTCAGAGAGGTCCAAATATCCACTTGCAGATTCTACAGAAAGTGTGTTTGGAAACTGCTCCATCTAAAGGAATGTTCAGCTCTGTTAGTTCAATGCAATGATCACTAAGAATTGTCTGTGAATGCTTCCGTTTGGTTTTTAGATGAAGTTATTTCCTTTACTACAGTAGGCCTCAAAGCAGTCCAAATCTCCAATCGCAGATTCTACAAAAAGATTGTTTTCAACCTGCTCTATCTATAGGAATGTTCAACTCTGTGAGTCGAATGCAAACATCACAAAGTAGTTTCTGAGAATGCTTCCATCTAGTTTTTATGTGAAGATTTTCCTTTTCCACCACAGGCCTCAAAGCCCTCCAAATGTCCACTTGCAGATTCTAGAAAAAGAGGGTTTCAGAGCTGCTCTGTCAAGAGGAAAGTTCAATTCCTGAAGTGGAACACAAACATCACAAAGCAGTTTCTGAGAATGCTCCTGTTTAGTTTTTCTGTGAAGATGAACCCGTTTCCAACGAAATCTTCACAGAGGTCCACATATCCACTTGCAGAATCCAAAGAAAGAGAGTTTCAAAACTGCTCCATCAGCAGGATTGTTCACCTCTGTGAGTTGAATGCAGTCATCACAGGAAACATTCTGAGAATGCTTCTGTCTAGGTTTGATGTGAAGATATACCCTTTTCGAAGGAAGGCCACAAAGTGGTCCAAATATCCACTTGCAGATTCTACAAAAAGAGTGTTTGAAAGCTGAACTATGAAAGCAAGGTGCAAATCCTGTGAGTTGAATGCAAACATCACAAAGAAGTTTCTCAGAATGCTTTCCGTGTAGTTCTGGGAAGTTTATCCCGTTTCCAACGAAATCTTCAGAGAGGTCCAAATATCCACTTGCAGATTCTACAGAAAGTGTGTTTGGAAACTGCGCCATCTAAAGCAATGTTCAGCTCTGTTAGTTCAATGCAATGATCACTAAGAATTGTCTGTGAATGCTTCCGTTTGGTTTTTAGATGAAGTTATTTCCTTTACTACAGTAGGCCTCAAAGCAGTCCAAATCTCCAATCGCAGATTCTACAAAAAGATTGTTTACAACCTGCTCTATCTATAGGAATGTTCAACTCTGTGAGTCGAATGCAATCATCACAAAGTAGTTTCTGAGAATGCTTCCATCTAGTTTTTATGTGAAGATTTTCCTTTTCCACCACAGGCCTCAAAGCCCTCCAAATGTCCACTTGCAGATTCTAGAATAAGAGGGTTTCAGAGCTGCTCTGTCAAGAGGAAAATACAATTCCTGAAGTGGAACACAAACATCACAAAGCAGTTTCTGAGAATGCTTCTTTTTAGTTTTTCTGGGAAGATGAACCCGTTTCCAACCAAATCTTCACAGAGGTCCACATATCCACTTGCAGAATCCAAAGAAAGAGAGTTTCAAAACTGCTCCATCAACAGGATTGTTCACCTCTGTGAGTTGAATGCAATCATCACAGGAAACATTCTGAGAATTCTTCTGTCTAGGTTTGATGTGAAGATATACCCGTTTCGAAGGAAGGCCACAAAGTGGTCCAAATATCCACTTGCAGATTCTACAAAAAGAGTGTTTGAAAGCTGAACTATGAAAGCAAGGTTCAACTCTGTGAGTTGAATGCAAACATCACAAAGAAGTTTCTCAGAATGCTTCCGTGTAGTTCTGGGAAGTTTATCCCGTTTCCAACGAAATCCTCAGAGAGGTCCAAATATCCACTTGCAGATTCTACAGAAAGTGTGTTTGGAAACTGCGCCATCTAAAGGAATGTTCAGCTCTGTTAGTTCAATGCAATGATCACTAAGAATTGTCTGTGAATGCTTCCGTTTGGTTTTTAGATGAAGTTATTTCCTTTACTACAGTAGGCCTCAAAGCAGTCCAAATCTCCAATCGCAGATTCTACAAAAAGATTGTTTACAACCTGCTCTATGTATAGGAATGTTCAACTCTGTGAGTCGAATGCAATCATCACAAAGTAGTTTCTGAGAATGCTTCCATCTAGTTTTTATGTGAAGATTTTCCTTTTCCACCACAGGCCTCAAAGCCCTCCAAATGTCCACTTGCAGATTGTAGAATAAGAGGGTTTCAGAGCTGCTCTGTCAAGAGGAAAGTTCAATTCTTGAAGTGGAACACAAACATAACAAAGCAGTTTCTGAGAATGCTTCTGTTTAGTTTTTCTGTGAAGATGAACCCGTTTCCAACGAAATCTTCACAGAGGTCCACATATCCACTTGCAGAATCCAAAGAAAGAGAGTTTCAAAACTGCTCCATCAGCAGGATTGTTCACCTCTGTGAGTTGAATGCAGTCATCACAGGAAACATTCTGAGAGTGCTTCTGTCTAGGTTTGATGTGAAGATATACCCGTTTCGAAGGAAGGCCACAAAGTGGTCCAAATATCCACTTGCAGATTCTACAAAAAGAGTGTTTGAAAGCTGAACTATGAAAGCAAGGTTCAACTCTGTGAGTTGAATGCAAACATCACAAAGAAGTTTCTCACAATGCTTCCGTGTAATTCTGGGAAGTTTATCCCGTTTCCAACGAAATCCTCAGAGAGGTCCAAATATCCACTTGCAGATTCTACAGAAAGTGTGTTTGGAAACTGCGCCATCTAAAGCAATGTTCAGCTCTGTTAGTTCAATGCAATGATCACTAAGAATTGTCTGTGAATGCTTCCGTTTGGTTTTTAGATGAAGTTATTTCCTTTACTACAGTAGGCCTCAAAGCAGTCCAAATCTCCAATCGCAGATTCTACAAAAAGATTGTTTACAACCTGCTCTATCTATAGGAATGTTCAACTCTGTGAGTCGAATGCAATCATCACAAAGGAGTTTCTGAGAATGCTTCCATCTAGTTTTTATGTGAAGATTTTCCTTTTCCACCACAGGCCTCAAAGCCCTCCAAATGTCCACTTGCAGATTCTAGAATAAGAGGGTTTCAGAGCTGCTCTGTCAAGAGGAAAGTTCAATTCCTGAAGTGGAACACAAACATCACAAAGCAGTTTCTGAGAATGCTTCTGTTTAGTTTTTCTGTGAAGATGAACCCGTTTCCAACGAAATCTTCACAGAGGTCCACATATCCACTTGCAGAATCCAAAGAAAGAGAGTTTCAAAACTGCTCCATCAGCAGGATTGTTCACCTCTGTGAGTTGAATGCAGTCATCACAGGAAACATTCTGAGAATGCTTCTGTCTAGGTTTGATGTGAAGATATACCCGTTTCGAAGGAAGGCCACAAAGTGGTCCAAATATCCACTTTCAGATTCTACAAAAAGAGTGTTTGAAAGCTGAACTATGAAAGCAAGGTTCAACTCTGTGAGTTGAATGCAAACATCACAAAGAACTTTCTCAGAATGCTTCCGTGTAGTTCTGGGAAGTTTATCCCGTTTCCAACGAAATCCTCAGAGAGGTCCAAATATCCACTTGCAGATTCTACAGAAAGTGTGTTTGGAAACTGCGCCATCTAAAGGAATGTTCAGCTCTGTTAGTTCAATGCAATGATCACTAAGAATTGTCTGTGAATGCTTCCGTTTGGTTTTTAGATGAAGTTATTTAATTTACTACAGTAGGCCTCAAAGCAGTCCAAATCTCCAATCGCAGATTCTACAAAAAGATTGTTTACAACCTGCTCTATCTATAGGAATGTTGAACTCTGTGAGTCGAATGCAATCATCACAAAGTAGTTTCTGAGAATGCTTCCATCTAGTTTTTATGTGAAGATTTTCCTTTTCCACCACAGGCCTCAAAGCCCTCCAAATGTCCACTTGCAGATTCTAGAAAAAGAGGGTTTCAGAGCTGCTCTGTCAAGAGGAAAGTTCAATTCCTGAAGTGGAACACAAACATCACAAAGCAGTTTCTGAGAATGCTTCTGTTTAGTTTTTCTGTGAAGATGAACCCGTTTCCAACGAAATCTTCACAGAGGTCCACATATCAACTTGCAGAATCCAAAGAAAGAGAGTTTCAAAAGTGCTCCATCAACAGGATTGTTCACCTCTGTGAGTTGAATGCAGTCATCACAGGAAACATTCTGAGAATGCTTCTGTCTATGTTTGATGTGAAGATATACCCGTTTCGAAGGAAGGCCACAAAGTGGTCCAAATATCCACTTGCAGATTCCACAAAAAGAGTGTTTGAAAGCTGAACTATGAAAGCAAGGTTCCACTCTGTGAGTTGAATGCAAACATCACAAAGAAGTTTCTCAGCATGCTTCCGTGTAGTTCTGAGAAGTTTATCCCGTTTCCAACGAAATCCTCAGAGAAGTCCAAATATCCACTTTCAGATTCTACAGAAAGTGTGTTTGGAAACTGCTCCATCTAAAGGAATGTTCAGCTCTGTTAGTTCAATGCAATGATCACTAAGAATTGTCTGTGAATGCTTCCGTTTGATTTTTAGATGAAGTTATTTCCTTTACTACAGTAGGCCTCAAAGCAGTCCAAATCTCCAATCGCAGATTCTACAAAAAGATTGTTTACAACCTGCTCTATCTATAGGAATGTTCAACTCTGTGAGTCGGATGCAATCATCACAAAGTAGTTTCTGAGAATGCTTCCATCTAGTTTTTATGTGAAGATTTTCCTTTTCCACCACAGGCCTCAAAGCCCTCCAAATGTCCACTTGCAGATTCTAGAAAAAGAGGGATTCAGAGCTGCTCTGTCAAGAGGAAAGTTCAATTCTTGAAGTGGAACACAACCATCACAAAGCAGTTTCTGAGAATGCTTCTGTTTAGTTTTTCTGTGAAGATGAACCCGTTTCCAACGAAATCTTCACAGAGGTCCACATATCAACTTGCAGAATCCAAAGAAAGAGAGTTTCAAAAGTGCTCCATCAACAGGATTGTTCACCTCTGTGAGTTGAATGCAGTCATCACAGGAAACATTCTGAGAATGCTTCTGTCTAGGTTTGATGTGAAGATATACCCGTTTCGAAGGAAGACCACAAAGTGGTCCAAATATCCACTTGCAGATTCTACAAAAAGAATGTTTGAAAGCTGAACTATGAAAGCAAGGTTCAACTCTGTGAGTTGAATGCAAACATCACAAAGAAGTTTCTCAGAATGCTTCCCTGTATTTCTGGGAGGCATATCCCTTTTCCAACGAAATCCTCAGAGAAGTCCAAATATCCACTTGCAGATTCTACAGAAAGTGGGTTTGGAAACTGCTCCATCTAAAGGAATTTTCAGCTCTGTTAGTTCAATCCAATGATCACTAAGAATTTTCTGTGAATGCTTCCGTTTGGTTTTTAGATGAAGTTATTTCCTTTACTACAGTAGGCCTCAAAGCAGTCCAAATCTCCAATCGCAGATTCTACAAAAAGATTGTTTACAACCTGCTCTATCTATAGGAATGTTCAACTCTGTGAGTCGAATGCAATCATCACAAAGTAGTTTCTGAGAATGCTTCCATCTAGTTTTTATGTGAAGATTTTCCTTTTCCACCACAGGCCTCAAAGCCCTCCAAATGTCCACTTGCAGATTCTAGAATAAGAGGATTTCAGAGCTGCTCTGTCAAGAGGAAAGTTCAATTCCTGAAGTGGAACACAAACATCACAAAGCAGTTTCTGAGAATGCTCCTGTTTAGTTTTTCTGTGAAGATGAACCCGTTTCCAACGAAATCTTCACAGAGGTCCACATATCCACTTGCAGAATCCAAAGAAAGAGAGTTTCAAAACTGCTCCATCAGCAGGATTGTTCACCTCTGTGAGTTGAATGCAGTCATCACAGGAAACATTCTGAGAATGCTTCTGTCTAGGTTTGATGTGAAGATATACCTGTTTCGAAGGAAGGCCACAAAGTGGTCCAAATATCCACTTGCAGATTCTACGAAAAGAGTGTTTGAAAGCTGAACTATGAAAGCAAGGTTCAACTCTGTGAGTTGAATGCAAACATCACAAAGAAGTTTCTCACAATGCTTCCGTGTAGTTCTGGGAAGTTTATCCCGTTTCCAACGAAATCCTCAGAGAGGTCCAAATATCCACTTGCAGATTCTACAGAAAGTGTGTTTGGAAACTGCTCCATCTAAAGGAATGTTCAGCTCTGTTAGTTCAATGCAATGATCACTAAGAATTGTCTGTGAATGCTTCCGTTTGGTTTTTAGATGAAGTTATTTCCTTTACTACAGTAGGCCTCAAAGCAGTCCAAATTTCCAATCGCAGATTCTACAAAAAGATTGTTTACGACCTGCTCTATCTGTAGGAAAATTCAACTCTGTGAGTCGAACGCAATCATCACAAAGGAGTTTCTGAGAATGCTTCCATCTAGTTTTTATGTGAAGATTTTCCTTTTCCACCACAGGCCTCAACGCCCTCCAAATGTCCACTTGCAGATTCTAGAATAAGAGGGTTTCAGAGCTGCTCTGTCAAGAGGAAAGTTCAATTCCTGAAGTGGAACACAAACATCACAAAGCAGTTTACTGAGAATGCTTCCTGTTTTAGTTTTTCTGTGAAGATGAACCCGTTTCCAACGAAATCTTCACAGAGGTCCACATATCCACTTGCAGAATCCAAAGAAAGAGAGTTTCAAAACTGCTCCATCAGCAGGATTGTTCACCTCTGTGAGTTGAATGCAGTCATCACAGGAAACATTCTGAGAATGCTTCTGTCTAGGTTTGATGTGAAGATATACCCCTTTCGAAGGAAGGCCACAAAGTGGTCCAAATATCCACTTGCAGATTCTACAAAAAGAGTGTTTGAAAGCTGAATTATGAAAGCAAGGTTCAACTCTGTGAGTTGAATGCAAACATCACAAAGAAGTTTCTCAGAATGCTTCCGTGTAGTTCTGGGAAGTTTATCCCGTTTCCAACGAAATCCTCAGAGAGGTCCAAATATCCACTTGCAGATTCTACAGAAAGTGTGTTTGGAAACTGCGCCATCTAAAGGAATGTTCAGCTCTGTTAGTTCAATGCAATGATCACTAAGAATTGTCTGTGAATGCTTCCGTTTGGTTTTTAGATGAAGTTATTTCCTTTACTACAGTAGGCCTCAAAGCAGTCCAAATCTCCAATCGCAGATTCTACAAAAAGATTGTTTACAACCTGCTCTATCTATAGGAATGTTCAACTCTGTGAGTCGAATGCCATCATCACAAAGTAGTTTCTGAGAATGCTTCCATCTAGTTTTTATGGGAAGATTTTCCTTTTCCACCACAGGCCTCAAAGCCCTCCAAATGTCCACTTGCAGATTCTAGAAAAAGAGGGTTTCAGAGCTGCTCTGTCAAGAGGAAAGTTCAATTCTTGAAGTGGAACACAAACATCACAAAGCAGTTTCTGAGAATGCTCCTGTTTAGTTTTTCTGTGAAGATGAACCCGTTTCCAACGAAATGTTCACAGAGGTCCACATATCCACTTGCAGAATCCAAAGAAAGAGAGTTTCAAAACTGCTCCATCAGCAGGATTGTTCACTTCTGTGAGTTGAATGCAGTCATCACAGAAAACATTCTGAGAATGCTTCTGTCTAGGTTTGATGTGAAGATATACCCGTTTCGAAGGAAGGCCACAAAGTGGTCCAAATATCCACTTGCAGATTCTACAAAAAGAGTGTTTGAAAGCTGAACTATGAAAGCAAGGTTCAACTCTGTGAGTTGAATGCAAACATCACAAAGAAGTTTCTCAGAATGCTTCCGTGTAGTTCTGGGAAGTTTATCCCGTTTTCAACGAAATCCTCAGAGAACTCCAAATATCCACTTGCAGATTCTACAGAAAGTGTGTTTGGAAACTGCTCCATCTAAAGGAATGTTCAGCTCTGTTAGTTCAATCCAATGATGACTAAGAATTGTCTGTGAATGCTTCCGTTTCGTTTTTAGATGAAGTTATTTCCTTTACTACAGTAGGCCTCAAAGCAGTCCAAATCTCCAATCGCAGATTCTACAAAAAGATTGTTTACAACCTGCTCTATCTATAGGAATGTTCAACTCTGTGAGTCGAATGCAATCATCACAAAGTAGTTTCTGAGAATGCTTCCATCTAGTTTTTATGTGAAGATTTTCCTTTTCCACCACAGGCCTCAAACCCTCCAAATGTCCACTTGCAGATTCTAGAAAAAGAGGGTTTCAGAGCTGCTCTGTCAAGAGGAAAGTTCAATTCTTGAAGTGGAACACAAACATCACAAAGCAGTTTCTGAGAATGCTTCTGTTTAGTTTTTCTGTGAAGATGAACCCGTTTCCAACGAAATCTTCACAGAGGTCCACATATCTACTTGCAGAATCCAAAGAAAGAGAGTTTCAAAAGTGCTCCATCAACAGGATTGTTCACCTCTGTGAGTTGAATGCAGTCATCGCAGGAAACATTCTGAGAATGCTTCTGTCTAGGTTTGATGTGAAGATATACCCGTTTCGAAGGAAGGCCACAAAGTGGTCCAAATATCCAGTTGCAGATTCTACAAAAAGAGTGTTTGAAAGCTGAACTATGAAAGCAAGGTTCAACTCTGTGAGTTGAATGCAAACATCACAAAGAAGTTACTCACAATGCTTCCGTGTAGTTCTGGGAAGTTTATCCCGTTTCCAACGAAATCCTCAGAGAGGTCCAAATATCCACTTGCAGATTCTACAGAAGGTGTGTTTGGAAACTGCTCCATCTAAAGGAATGTTCAGCTCTGTTAGTTCAATCCAATGATCACTAAGAATTGTCTGTGAATGCTTCCGTTTGGTTTTTAGATGAAGTTTTTTCCTTTACTACAGTAGGCCCCAAAGCACTCCAAATCTCCAATCGCAGATTCTACAAAAAGATTGTTTACAACCTGCTCTATCTATAGGAATGTTCAACTCTGTGAGTCGAATGCAATCATCACAAAGTAGTTTCTGAGAATGCTTCCATCTAGTTTTTATGTGAAGATTTTCCTTTTCCACCACAGGCCTCAAAGCCCTCCAAATGTCCACTTGCAGATTCTAGAAAAAGAGGGTTTCAGAGCTGCTCTGTCAAGAGGAAAGTTCAATTCTTGAAGTGGAACACAAACATCACAAAGCAGTTTCTGAGAATGCTCCTGTTTAGTTTTTCTGTGAAGATGAACCCGTTTCCAACGAAATCTTCACAGAGGTCCACATATCCACTTGCAGAATCCAAAGAAAGAGAGTTTCAAAACTGCTCCATCAGCAGGATTGTTCACCTCTGTGAGTTGAATGCAGTCATCACAGGAAACATTCTGAGAATGCTTCTGTCTAGGTTTGATGTGAAGATATACCCGTTTCGAAGGAAGGCCACAAAGTGGTCCAAATATCCACTTGCAGATTTTACAAAAAGAGTGTTTGAAAGCTGAACTATGAAAGCAAGGTTCAACTCTGTGCGTTGAATGCAAACATCACAAAGAAGTTTCTCAGAATGCTTCCGTGTAGTTCTGGGAAGTTTATCCCGTTTCCAACGAAATCCTCAGTAGAAGTCCAAATATCCACTTGCAGATTCTACAGAAAGTGTGTTTGGAAACTGCTCCATCTAAAGGAA
Source organism: Homo sapiens (assembly GCF_000001405.40). Classification (NCBI taxonomy): domain Eukaryota; kingdom Metazoa; phylum Chordata; class Mammalia; order Primates; family Hominidae; genus Homo; species Homo sapiens. The sequence goes on along the minus strand of NC_000011.10, from coordinate 54,185,157 downwards.
TGTTCAGCTCTGTTAGTTCAATGCAATGATCACTAAGAATTGTCTGTGAATGCTTCCGTTTGGTTTTTAGATGAAGTTATTTCCTTTACTACAGTAGGCCTCAAAGCAGTCCAAATCTCCAATCGCAGATTCTACAAAAACATTGTTTACAACCTGCTCTATCTATAGGAATGTTCAACTCTGTGAGTCGAATGCAATCATCACAAAGTAGTTTCTGAGAATGCTTCCATCTAGTTTTTATGGGAAGATTTTCCTTTTCCACCACAGGCCTCAAAGCCCTCCAAATGTCCACTTGCAGATTCTAGAAAAAGAGGGTTTCAGAGCTGCTCTGTCAAGAGGAAAGTTCAATTCTTGAAGTGGAACACAAACATCACAAAGCAGTTTCTGAGAATGCTCCTGTTTAGTTTTTCTGTGAAGATGAGCACGTTTCCAACGAAATCTTCACAGAGGTCCACATATCCACTTGCAGAATCCAAAGAAAGAGAGTTTCAAAACTGCTCCATCAGCAGGATTGTTCACCTCTGTGAGTTGAATGCAGTCATCACAGGTAACATTCTGAGAATGCTTCTGTCTAGGTTTGATGTGAAGATATACCCGTTTCGAAGGAAGGCCAGAAAGTGGTCCAAATATCCACTTGCAGATTCTACAAAAAGAGTGTTTGAAAGCTGAACTATGAAAGCAAGGTTCAACTCTGTGAGTTGAATGCAAACATCACAAAGAAGTTTCTCAGAATGCTTCCGTGTAGTTCTGGGAAGTTTATCCCGTTTCCAACGAAATCCTCAGAGAGGTCCAAATATCCACTTGCAGATTCTACAGAAAGTGTGTTTGGAAACTGCGCCATCTAAAGGAATGTTCAGCTCTGTTAGTTCAATCCAATGATCACTAAGAATTGTCTGTGAATGCTTCCGTTTGGTTTTTAGATGAAGTTATTGCCTTTACTACAAGTAGGCCTCAAAGCAGTCCAAATCTCCAATCGCAGATTCTACAAAAAGATTGTTTACAACCTGCTCTATCTATAGGAATGTTCAACTCTGTGAGTCGAATGCAATCATCACAAAGTAGTTTCTGAGAATGCTTCCATCTAGTTTTTATGTGAAGATTTTCCTTTTCCACCACAGGCCTCAAAGCCCTCCAAATGTCCACTTGCAGATTCTAGAAAAAGAGGGTTTCAGAGCTGCTCTGTCAAGAGGAAAGTTCAATTCTTGAAGTGGAACACAAACATCACAAAGTAGTTTCTGAGAATGCTTCTGTTTAGTTTTTCTGTGAAGATGAACCCGTTTCCAACGAAATGTTCACAGAGGTCCACATATCCACTTGCAGAATCCAAAGAAAGAGAGTTTCAAAACTGCTCCATCAACAGGATTGTTCACCTCTGTGAGTTGAATGCAGTCATCACTGGAAACATTCTGAGAATGCTTCTGTCAAGGTTTGATGTGAAGATATACCCGTTTCGAAGGAAGGCCACAAAGTGGTCCAAATATCCACTTGCAGATTCTACAAAAAGAGTGTTTGAAAGCTGAACTATGAAAGCAAGGTTCAACTCTGTGAGTTGAATGCAAACATCACAAAGAAGTTTCTCAGAATGCTTCCGTGTAGTTCTGGGAAGTTTATCCCGTTTCCAACGAAATCCTCAGAGAAGTCCAAATATCCACTTGCAGATTCTACAGAAAGTGTGTTTGGAAAATGCTCCATCTAAAGGAATGTTCAGCTCTGTTAGTTCAATCCAATGATCACTAAGAATTGTCTGTGAATGCTTCCGTTTGGTTTTTAGATGAAGTTATTTCCTTTACTACAGTAGGCCTCAAAGCAGTCCAAATCTCCAATCGCAGATTCTACAAAAAGATTGTTTACAACCTGCTCTATCTATAGGAATGTTCAACTCTGTGAGTCGAATGCAATCATCACAAAGTAGTTTCTGAGAATGCTTCCATCTAGTTTTTATGTGAAGATTTTCCTTTTCCACCACAGGCCTCAAAGCCCTCCAAATGTCCACTTGCAGATTCTAGAAAAAGAGGGTTTCAGAGCTACTCTGTCAAGAGGAAAGTTCAATTCCTGAAGTGGAACACAAACATCACAAAGCAGTTTCTGAGAATGCTCCTGTTTAGTTTTTCTGTGAAGATGAACCCGTTTCCAACGAAATCTTCACAGAGGTCCACATATCCACATGCAGAATCCAAAGAAAGAGAGTTTCAAAACTGCTCCATCAACAGGATTGTTCACCTCTGTGAGTTGAATGCAGTCATCACAGGAAACATTCTGAGAATGCTTCTGTCTAGGTTTGATGTGAAGATATACCCGTTTCGAAGGAAGGCCACAAAGTGGTCCAAATATCTACTTGCAGATTCTACGAAAAGAGTGTTTGAAAGCTGAACTATGAAAGCAAGGTTCAACTCTGTGAGTTGAATGCAAACATCACAAAGAATTTTCTCAGAATGCTTCCATGTAGTTCTGGGAAGTTTATCCCGTTTCCAACGAAATCCTCAGAGAAGTCCAAATATCCACTTGCAGATTCTACAGAAAGTGTGTTTGGAAACTGCTCCATCTAAAGGAATGTTCAGCTCTGTTAGTTCACTCCAATGATCGCTAAGAATTGTCTGTGAATGCTTCCGTTTGGTTTTTAGATGAAATTATTTCCTTTACTACAGTAGGCCTCAAAGCAGTCCAAATCTCCAATCGCAGATTCTACAAAAAGATTGTTTACAACCTGCTCTATCTATAGGAATGTTCAATTCTGTGGGTCGAATGCAATCATCACAAAGTAGTTTCTGATAATGCTTCCATCTAGTTTTTATGTGAAGATTTTCCTTTTCCACCACAGGCCTCAAAGCCCTCCAAATGTCCACTTGCAGATTCTAGAATAAGAGGGTTTCAGAGCTGCTCTGTCAAGAGGAAAGTTCAATTCCTGAAGTGGAACACAAACATCACAAAGCAGTTTCTGAGAATGCTTCTGTTTAGTTTTTCTGTGAAGATGAACCCGTTTCCAACGAAATCTTCACAGAGGACCACATATTCACTTGCAGAATCCAAAGAAGGAGAGTTTCAAAAGTGCTCCATCAGCAGGATTGTTCACCTCTGTGAGTTGAATGCAGTCATCACAGGAAACATTCTGAGAATGCTTCTGTCTAGGTTTGATGTGAAGATATACCCGTTTCGAAGGAAGGCCACAAAGTGCTCCAAATATCCACTTGCAGATTCTACAAAAAGAGTGTTTGAAAGCTGAACTATGAAAGCAAGGTTCAACTCTGTGAGTTGAATGCAAACATCACAAAGAAGTTTCTCAGCATGCTTCCGTGTAGTTCTGGGAATTTTATCCCGTTTCCATCGAAATCCTCAGAGAAGTCCAAATATCCACTTGCAGATTCTACAGAAAGTGTGTTTGGAAACTGCTCCATCTAAAGGAGTGTTCAGCTCTGTTAGTTCAATCCAATGATCACTAAGAATTGTCTGTGAATGCTTCCGTTTGGTTTTTAGATGAAGTTATTTCCTTTACTTCAGTAGGCCTCAAAGCAGTCCAAATCTCCAATCGCAGATTCTACAAAAAGATTGTTTACAACCTGCTCTATCTATAGGAATGTTCAACTCTGTGAGTCGAATGCAATCATCACAAAGTAGTTTCTGAGAATGCTTCCATCAATTTTTTATGTGAAGATTTTCCTTTTCCACCACAGGCCTCAAAGCCCTCCAAATGTCCACTTGGAGATTCTAGAAAAAGAGGGTTTCAGAGCTGCTCTGTCAAGAGGAAAGTTCAATTCTTGAAGTGGAACACAAACATCACAAAGCAGTTTCTGAGAATGCTTCTGTTTAGTTTTTCTGTGAAGATGAACCCGTTTCCAACGAAATCTTCACAGAGGTCCACATATCCACTTGCAGAATCCAAAGAAAGAGAGTTTCAAAACTGCTCCATCAGCAGGATTGTTCACCTCTGTGAGTTGAATGCAGTCATCACAGGAAACATTCTGAGAATGCTTCTGTCTAGGTTTGATGTGAAGATATACCCGTTTCAAAGGAAGGCCACAAAGTGGTCCAAATATCCACTTTCAGATTCTACAAAAAGAGTGTTTGAAAGCTGAACTATGAAAGCAAGGTTCAACTCTGTGAGTTGAATGCAAACATCACAAAGAAGTTTCTCACAATGCTTCCGTGTAGTTCTGGGAAGTTTATCCCATTTCCAACGAAATCCTCAGAGAAGTCCAAATATCCACTTGCAGATTCTGCAGAAAGTGTGTTTGGAAACTGCTCCATCTAAAGGAATGTTCAGCTCTGTTAGTTCAATCCAATGATCACTAAGAATTGTACTGTGAATGCTTCCGTTTGGTTTTTAGATGAAGTTATTTCCTTTACTACAGTAGGCCTCAAAGCAGTCCAAATCTCCAATCGCAGATTCTACAAAAAGATTGTTTACAACCTGCTCTATCTATAGGAATGTTCAACTCTGTGAGTCGAAAGCCATCATCACAAAGTAGTTTCTGAGAATGCTTCCATCTAGTTTTTATGTGAAGATTTTCCTTTTCCACCACAGGCCTCAAAGCCCTCCAAATGTCCACTTGCAGATTCTAGAATAAGAGGGTTTCAGAGCTGCTCTGTCAAGAGGAAAGTTCAATTCTTGAAGGGGAACACAAACATCACAAAGCAGTTTCTGAGAATGCTCCTGTTTAGTTTTTCTGTGAAGATGAACCCGTTTCCAACGAAATCTTCACAGAGGTCCACATATCCACTTGCAGAATCCAAAGAAAGAGAGTTTCAAAACTGCTCCATCAGAAGGATTGTTCACCTCTCTGAGTTGAATGCAGTCATCACAGGAAACATTCTGAGAATTCTTCTGTCTAGGTTTGATGTGAAGATATACCCGTTTCGAAGGAAGGCCAGAAAGTGGTCCAAATATCCACTTGCAGATTCTACAAAAAGAGTGTTTGAAAGCTGAACTATGAAAGCAAGGTTCAACTCTGTGAGTTGAATGCAAACATCACAAAGAAGTTTCTCAGAATGCTTCCGTGTAGTTCTGGGAAGTTTATCCCGTTTCCAACGAAATCCTCAGAGAAGTCCAAATATCCACTTGCAGATTCTACAGAAAGTGTGTTTGGAAACTGCGCCATCTAAAGGAATGTTCAGCTCTGTTAGTTCAATGCAATGATCACTAAGAATTGTCTGTGAATGCTTCCGTTTGGTTTTTAGATGAAGTTATTTCCTTTACTACAGTAGGCCTCAAAGCAGTCCAAATCTCTAATCGCAGATTCTACAAAAAGATTGTTTACAACCTGCTCTATCAATAGGAATGTTCAACCCTGTGAGTCGAATGCAATCATCACAAAGTAGTTTCTGAGAATGCTTCCATCTAGTTTTTATGTGAAGATTTTCCTTTTCCACCACAGGCCTCAAAGCCCTCCAAATGTCCACTTGCAGATTCTAGAAAAAGAGGGTTTCAGAGCTGCTCTGTCAAGAGGAAAGTTCAATTCTTGAAGTGGAACACAAACATCACAAAGCAGTTTCTGAGAATGCTTCTGTTTAGTTTTTCTGTGAAGATGAACCCGTTTCCAACGAAATCTTCACAGAGGTCCACATATCCACTTGCAGAATCCAAAGAAAGAGAGTTTCAAAACTGCTCCATCAGCAGGATTGTTCACCTCTGTGAGTTGAATGCAGTCATCACAGGAAACATTCTGAGAATGCTTCTGTCTAGGTTTGATGTGAAGATATACCCGTTTCGAAGGAAGGCCACAAAGTGGTCCAAATATCCACTTGCAGATTCTACAAAAAGAGTGTTTGAAAGCTGAACTATGAAAGCAAGGTTCAACTCTGTGAGTTGAATGCAAACATCACAAAGAAGTTTCTCAGAATACTTCCGTGTAGTTCTGGGAAGTTTATCCCGTTTCCAACGAAATCCTCAGAGAAGTCCAAATATCCACTTGCAGATTCTACAGAAAGTGTGTTTGGAAACTGCTCCATCTAAAGCAATGTTCAGCTCTGATAGTTCAATGCAATGATCACTAAGAATTGTCTGTGAATGCTTCCGTTTGGTTTTTAGATGAAGTAATTTCCTTTACTACAGTAGGCCTCAAAGCAGTCCAAATCTCCAATCGCAGATTCTACAAAAAGATTGTTTACAACCTGCTCTATCTATAGGAATGTTCAACTCTGTGAGTCGAATGCAATCATCACAAAGAAGTTTCTGAGAATGCTTCCATCTAGTTTTTATGTGAAGATTTTCCTTTTCCACCACAGGCCTCAAAGCCCTCCAAATGTCCACTTGCAGATTCTAGAAAAAGAGGGTGTCAGAGCTGCTCTGTCAAGAGGAAAGTTCAATTCTTGAAGTGTAACACAAACATCACAAAGCAGTTTCTGAGAATGCTTCTGTTTAGTTTTTCTGTGAAGATGAACCCTTTTCCAACGAAATCTGCACAGAGGTCCACATATCCACTTGCAGAATACAAAGAAAGAGAGTTTCAAAACTGCTCCATCAACAGGATTGTTCACCTCTGTGAGTTGAATGCAGTCATCACAGGAAACATTCTGAGAATGCTTCTGTCTAGGTTTGATGTGAAGATATACCCGTTTCGAAGGAAGGCCACAAAGTGGTCCAAATATCCACTTGCAGATTCTACAAAAAGAGTGTTTGAAAGCTGAACTATGAAAGCAAGGTTCAACTCTGTGAGTTGAATGCAAACATCACAAAGAAGTTTCTCAGAATGCTTCCGTGTAGTTCTGGGAAGTTTATCCCGTTTCCAACGGAATCCTCAGAGAAGTCCAAATATCCACTTGCAGATTCTACAGAAAGTGTGTTTGGAAACTGTGCCATCTAAGGGAATGTTCAGCTCTCTTAGTTCAATCCAATGATCACTAAGAATTGTCTGTGAATGCTTCCGTTTGGTTTTTAGATGAAGTTATTTCCTTTACTACAGTAGGCCTCAAAGCAGTCCAAATCTCCAATCGCAGATTCTACAAAAAGATTGTTTACAACCGGCTCTATCTATAGGAATGTTCAACTCTGTGAGTCGAATGCAATCATCACAAAGTAGTTTCTGAGAATGCTTCCATCTAGTTTTTATGGGAAGATTTTCCTTTTCCACCACAGGCCTCAAAGCCCTCCAAATGTCCACTTGCAGACTCTAGAAAAAGAGGGTTTCAGAGCTGCTCTGTCAAGAGGAAAGTTCAATTCTTGAAGTGGAACACAAACATCACAAAGCAGTTTCTGAGAATGCTCCTGTTTAGTTTTTCTGTGAAGATGAACCCGTTTCCAACGAAATCTTCACAGAGGTCCACATATCCACTTGCAGAATCCAAAGAAAGGGAGTTTCAAAACTGCTCCATCAGCAGGATTGTTCACCTCTGTGAGTTGAATGCAGTCATCACAGGAAACATTCTGAGAATGCTTCTGTCTAGGTTTGATGTGAAGATATACCCTTTTCGAAGGAAGGCCACAAAGTGGTCCAAATATCCACTTGCAGATTCTACAAAAAGAGTGTTTGAAAGCTGAACTTTGAAAGCAAGGTTCAAATCTGTGAGTTGAATGCAAACATCACAAAGAAGTTTCTCAGAATGCTTCCGTGTAGTTCTGGGAAGTTTATCCCGTTTCCAACGAAATCCTCAGAGAGGTCCAAATATCCACTTGCAGATTCTACAGAAAGTGTGTTTGGAAACTGCTCCATCTAAAGCAATGTTCAGCTCTGTTAGTTCAATGCAATGATCACTAAGAATTGTCTGTGAATGCTTCCGTTTGGTTTCTAGATGAAGTTATTTCCTTTACTAAAGTAGGCCTCAAAGCAGTCCAAATCTCCAATCGCAGATTGTACAAAAAGATTGTTTACAACCTGCTCTATCTATAGGAATGTTCAACTCTGTGAGTCGAATGCAATCATCACAAAGTAGTTTCTGAGAATGCTTCCATCTAGTTTTCATGTGAAGATTTTCCTTTTCCACCACAGGCCTCAAAGCCCTCCAAATGTCCACTTGCAGATTCTAGAAAAAGAGGGTTTCAGAGCTGCTCTGTCAAGAGGAAAGTTCAATTCTTGAAGTGGAACACAAACATCACAAAGCAGTTTCTGAGAATGCTCCTGTTTAGTTTTTCTGTGAAGATGAACCCGTTTCCAACGAAATCTTCACAGAGGTCCACATATCCACTTGCAGAATCCAAAGAAAGAGAGTTTCAAAACTGCTCCATCAACAGGATTCTTCACCTCTGTGAGTTGAATGCAGTCATCAGAGGAAACATTCTGAGAATGCTTCTGTCTAGGTTTGATGTGAAGATATACCCGTTTCGAAGGAAGGCCACAAAGTGGTCCAAATATCCACTTGCAGATTCTACAAAAAGAGTGTTTGAAAGCTGAACTATGAAAGCAAGGTTCAACTCTGTGAGTTGAATGCAAACATCACAAAGAAGTTTCTCAGAATGCTTCCGTGTAGTTCTGGGAAGTTTATCCCGTTTCCAACGAAATCCTCAGAGAGGTCCAAATATCCACTTGCAGATTCTACAGAAAGTGTGTTTGGAAAATGCTCCATCTAAAGGAATGTTCAGCTCTGTTAGTTGAATCCAATGATCACTAAGAATTGTCTGTGAATGCTTTCCGTTTGGTTTTTAGATGAAGTTATTTCCTTTACTACAGTAGGCCTCAAAGCAGTTCCAAATCTCCAATCGCAGATTCTACAAAAAGATTGTTTACAACCTGCTCTATCTATAGGAATGTTCAACTCTGTGAGTCGAATGCAATCATCACAAAGTAGTTTCTGAGAATGCTTCCATCTAGTTTTTATGTGAAGATTTTCCTTTTCCACCACAGGCCTCAAAGCCCTCCAAATGTCCACTTGCAGATTCTAGAAAAACAGGGTTTCAGAGCTGCTCTGTCAAGAGGAAAGTTCAATTCTTGAAGTGGAACACAAACATCACAAAGCAGTTTCAGAGAATGCTTCTGTTTAGTTTTTCTGTGAAGATGAACACGTTTCCAACGAAATCTTCACAGAGGTCCACATATCAACTTACAGAATCCAAAGAAAGAGAGTTTCAAAACTGCTCCATCAACAGGATTGTTCACCTCTGTGAGTTGAATGCAGTCATCACAGGAAACATTCTGAGAATGCTTCTGTCTAGGTTTGATGTGAAGATATACCCGTTTCGAAGGAAGGCCACAAAGTGGTCCAAATATCCACTTGCAGATTCTACAAAAAGAGGGTTTGAAAGCTGAACTATGAAAGCAAGGTTCAACTCTGTGAGTTGAATGCAAACATCACAAAGAAGTTTCTCAGAATGCTTCAGTGTAGTTCTGGGAAGTTTATCCCGTTTCCAACGAAATCCTCAGAGAAGTCCAAATATCCACTTGCAGATTCTACAGAAAGTGGGTTTGGAAACTGCTCCATCTAAAGGAATGTTCAGCTCTGTTAGTTCAATCCAATGATCACTAAGAATTGTCTGTGAATGCTTCCGTTTGGTTTTTAGATGAAGTTATTTCCTTTACTACAGTAGGCCTCAAAGCAGTCCAAATCTCCAATCGCAGATTCTACAAAAAGATTGTTTACAACCTGCTCTATCTATAGGAATGTTCAACTCTGTGAGTCGAATGCAATCATCACAAAGGAGTTCCTGAGAATGCTTCCTTCTAGTTTTTATGTGAAGATTTTCCTTTTCCACCACAGGCCTCAAAGCCCTCCAAATGTCCCCTTGCAGATTCTAGAAAAAGAGGGTTTCAGAGCTGCTCTGTCAAGAGGAAAGTTCAATTCTTGAAGTGGAACACAAACATCACAAAGCAGTTTCTGAGAATGCTCCTGTTTAGTTTTTCTGTGAAGATGAACCCGTTTCCAACGAAATCTTCACAGAGGTCCACATATCCACTTGCAGAATCCAAAGAAAGAGAGTTTCAAAACTGCTCCATCAGCAGGATTGTTCACCTCTGTGAGTTGAATGCAGTCATCACAGGAAACATTCTGAGAATGCTTCTGTCTAGGTTTGATGTGAAGATATACCCGTTTCGAAGGAAGGCCACAAAGTGGTCCAAATATCCACTTGCAGATTCTACAAAAAGAGTGTTTCAAAGCTGAACTATGAAAGCAAGGTTCAACTCTGTGAGTTGAATGCAAATATCACAAAGAAGTTTCTCAGAATGCTTCCGTGAAGTTCTGGGAAGTTTATCCCGTTTCCAACGAAATCCTCAGAGAGGTCAAAATATCCACTTGCAGATTCTACAGAAAGTGTGTTTGGAAACTACGCCATCTAAAGGAATGTTCAGCTCTGTTAGATCAATGCAATGATCACTAAGAATTGTCTGTGAATGCTTCCGTTTGGTTTTTAGATGAAGTTATTTCCTTTACTACAGTTGGCCTCAAAGCAGTCCAAATCTCCAATCGCAGATTCTACAAAAAGATTGTTTACAACCTGCTCTATCTATAGGAATGTTCAACTCTGTGAGTCGAATGCAATCATCACAAAGTAGTTTCTGAGAATGCTTCCATCTAGTTTTTATGTGAAGATTTTCCTTTTCCACCACAGGCCTCAAAGCCCTCCAAATGTCCACTTGCAGATTCTAGAAAAAGAGGGTTTCAGAGCTGCTCTGTCAAGAGGAAAGTTCAATTCTTGAAGTGGAACACAAACATCACAAAGCAGTTTCTGAGAATGCTTCTGTTTAGTTTTTCTGTGAAGATGAACCCGTTTCCAACGAAATCTTCATAGAGGTCCACATATCCACTTGCAGAATCCAAAGAAAGAGAGTTTCAAAACTGCTCCATCAACAGGATTCTTCACCTCTGTGAGTTGAATGCAGTCATCACAGGAAACATTCTGAGAATGCTTCTGTCTAGGTTTGATGTGAAGATATACCCGTTTCGAAGGAAGGCCACAAAGTGGTCCAAATATCCACTTGCAGATTCTACAAAAAGAGTGTTTGAAAGCTGAACTATGAAAGCAAGGTTCAACTCTGTGAGTTGAATGCAAACATCACAAAGAAGTTTCTCAGAATGCTTCCGTGTATTTCTGGGAAGTTTATCCCGTTTCCAACGAAATCCTCAGAGAGGTCCAAATATCCACTTGCAGATTCTACAGAAAGTGTGTTTGGAAACTGCGCCATCTAAAGGAATGTTCAGCTCTGTTAGTTCAATGCAATGATCACTAGGAATTGTCTGTGAATGCTTCCGTTTGGTTTTTAGATGAAGTTATTTCCTTTACTACAGTAGGCCTCAAAGCAGTCCAAATCTCCAATCGCAGATTCTACAAAAAGATTCTTTACAACCTGCTCTATCTATAGGAATGTTCAACTCTGTGAGTCGAATGCAATCATCACAAAGTAGTTTCTGAGAATGCTTCCATCTAGTTTTTATGTGAAGATTTTCCTTTTCCACCGCAGGCCTCAAAGCCCTCCAAATGTCAACTTGCAGATTCTAGAAAAAGAGGGTTTCAGAGCTGCTCTGTCAAGAGGAAAGTTCAATTCCTGAAGTGGAACACAAACATCACAAAGCAGTTTGCTGAGAATGCTTCCTGTTTAGTTTTTCTGTGAAGATGAACCCGTTTCCAACGAAATCTTCACAGAGGTCCACATATCCACTTGCAGAATCCAAAGAAAGAGAGTTTCAAAACTGCTCCATCAGCAGGATTGTTCACCTCTGTGAGTTGAATGCAGTCATCACAGGAAACATTCTGAGAATGCTTCTGTCTAGGTTTGATGTGAAGATATACCCGTTTCGAAGGAAGGCCACAAAGTGGTCCAAATATCCACTTGCAGATTCCACAAAAAGAGTGTTTGAAAGCTGAACTATGAAAGCAAGGTTCAACTCTGTGAGTTGAATGCAAACATCACAGAGAAGTTTCTCACAATGCTCCGTGTAGTTCTGGGAAGTTTATCCCGTTTCCAACGAAATCCTCAGAGAGGTCCAAATATCCACTTGCAGATTCTACAGAAAGTGTGTTTGGAAACTGCGCCATCTAAAGGAATGTTCAGCTCTGTTAGTTCAATGCAATGATCACTAAGGATTGTCTGTGAATGCTTCCGTTTGGTTTTTAGATGAAGTTATTTCCTTTACTACAGTAGGCCTCAAAGCAGTCCAAATCTCCAATCGCAGATTCTACAAAAAGATTGTTTACAACCTGCTCTATCTATAGGAATGTTCAACTCTGTGAGTCGAATGCAATCATCACAAAGTAGTTTCTGAGAATGCTTCCATCTAGTTTTTATGTGAAGATTTTCCTTTTCCACCACAGGCCTCAAAGCCCTCCAAATGTCCACTTGCAGATTCTAGAATAAGAGGGTTTTAGAGCTGCTCTGTCAAGAGGAAAGTTCAATTCCTGAAGTGGAACACAAACATCACAAAGCAGTTTCTGAGAATGCTCCTGTTTAGTTTTTCTGTGAAGATGAACCCGTTTCCAACGAAATCTTCACAGAGGTCCACATATCCACTTGCAGAATCGAAAGAAAGAGAGTTTCAAAACTGCTCCATCAGCAGGATTGTTAACCTCTGTGAGTTGAATGCAGTCATCACAGGAAACATTCTGAGAATGCTTCTGTCTAGGTTTGATGTGAAGATATACCCGTTTCGAGGAAGGCCACAAAGTGGTCCAAATATCCACTTGCAGATTCTACAAAAAGAGTGTTTGAAAGCTGAACTATGAAAGCAAGGTTCAACTCTGTGAGTTGAATGCAAACATCACAAAGAAGTTTCTCAGAATGCTTCCGTGTAGTTCTGGGAAGTTTATCCCGTTTCCAACGAAATCCTCAGAGAGGTCCAAATATCCACTTGCAGATTCTACAGAAAGTGTGTTTGGAAAATGCTCCATCTAAAGGAATGTTCAGCTCTGTTAGTTGAATCCAATGATCACTAAGAATTGTCTGTGAATGCTTCCGTTTGGTTTTTAGATGAAGTTATTTCCTTTACTACAGTAGGCCTCAAAGCAGTCCAAATCTCCAATCGCAGATTCTACTAAAAGATTGTTTACAACCTGCTCTATCTATAGGAATGTTCAACTCTGTGAGTCGAATGCAATCATCACAAAGTAGTTTCTGAGAATGCTTCTATCTAGTTTTTATATGCAGATATTTACGTTTCCGCCACAGGCCTCAAAGCCCTTCAAATGTCCACTTGCAGATTCAAGAAAAGCAATGTTTCATAGCTGCTCTGTCAAGAGGAAATTTCAACTCTGCAAGTTGAACACAAACATCACAACGTAGTTTCTGAGAATGCTCCTGTTTAGTTTTTCTGTGAAGATGAACCCGTTTCCAACGAAATCTTCACAGAGGTCCACATATCCACTTGCAGAATCCAAAGAAAGAGAGTTTCAAAACTGCTCCATCAGCAGGATTGTTCACCTCTGTGAGTTGAATGCAGTCATCACAGGAAACATTCTGAGAATGCTTCTGTCTAGGTTTGATGTGAAGATATACCCGTTTCGAAGGAAGGCCACAAAGTGGTCCAAATATCCACTTGCAGATTCTACAAAAAGAGTGTTTGAAAGCTGAACTATGAAAGCAAGGTTCAACTCTGTGAGTTGAATGCAAACATCACAAAGAAGTTTCTCAGAATGCTTCCGTGTAGTTCTGGGAAGTTTATCCCGTTTCCAACGAAATCCTCAGAGAAGTCCAAATATCCACTTGCAGATTCTACAGAAAGTGTGTTTGGAAACAGCGCCATCTAAAGGAGTGTTCAGCTCTGTTAGTTCAATCCAATGATCACTAAGAATTGTCTGTGAATGCTTCCGTTTGGTTTTTAGATGAAGTTATTTCCTTTACTACAGTAGGCCTCAAAGCAGTCCAAATCTCCAATCGCAGATTCTACAAAAACATTGTTTACAACCTGCTCTATCTATAGGAATGTTCAACTCTGTGAGTCGAATGCAATCATCACAAAGTAGTTTCTGAGAATGCTTCCATCTAGTTTTTATGTGAAGATTTTCCTTTTCCACCACAGGCCTCAAAGCCCTCCAAATGTCCACTTGCAGATTCTAGAATAAGAGGGTTTCAGAGCTGCTCTGTCAAGAGGAAAGTTCAATTCCTGAAGTGGAACACAAACATCACAAAGCAGTTTCTGAGAATGCTTCTGCTTAGTTTTTCTGTGAAGATGAACCCGTTTCCAACGAAATCTTCACAGAGGTCCACATATCCACTTGCAGAATCCAAAGAAAGAGAGTTTCCAAACTGCTCCATCAGCAGGATTGTTCACCTCTGTGAGTTGAATGCAGTCATCACAGGAAACATTCTGAGAATGCTTCTGTCTAGGTTTGATGTGAAGATATACCCGTTTCGAAGGAAGGCCAGAAAGTGGTCCAAATATCCACTTGCAGATTCTACAAAAAGAGTGTTTGAAAGCTGAACTATGAAAGCAAGGTTCAACTCTGTGAGTTGAATGCAAACATCACAAAGAAGTTTCTCAGAATGCTTCCGTGTAGTTCTGGGAAGTTTATCCCGTTTCCAACGAAATCCTCAGAGAGGTCCAAATATCCAGTTGCAGATTCTACAGAAAGTGTGTTTGGAAACTGCGCCATCTAAAGGAATATTCAGCTCTGTTAGTTCAATGCAATGATCACTAAGAATTGTCTGTGAATGCTTCCGTTTGGTTTTTAGATGAAGTTATTTCCTTTACTACAGTAGGCCTCAAAGCAGTCCAAATCTCCAATTGCAGATTCTACAAAAAGATTGTTTACAACCTGCTCTATCTATAGGAATGTTCAACTCTGTGAGTCGAATGCAATCATCACAAAGTAGTTTCTGAGAATGCTTCCATCTAGTTTTTATGGGAAGATATTCCTTTTCCACCACAGGCCTCAAAGCCCTCCAAATGTCCACTTGCAGATTCTAGAAAAAGAGGGTTTCAGAGCTGCTCTGTCAAGAGGAAAGTTCAATTCTTGAAGTGGAACACAAACATCACAAAGCAGTTTACTGAGAGTGCTTCTGTTTAGTTTTTCTGTGAAGATGAACCCGTTTCCAACGAAATCTTCACAGAGGTCCACATATCCACTTGCAGAATCCAAAGAAAGGGAGTTTCAAAACTGCTCCATCAACAGGATTGTTCACCTCTGTGAGTTGAATGCACTCATCACAGGAAACATTCTGAGAATGCTTCTGTCTAGGTTTGATGTGAAGATATACCCGTTTCGAAGGAAGGCCACAAAGTGGTCCAAATATCCACTTGCAGATTCTACAAAAAGAGTGTTTGAAAGCTGAACTATCAAAGCAAGGTTCAACTCTGTGAGTTGAATGCAAACATCACAAAGAAGTTTCTCAGAATGCTTCCGTGTAGTTCTGGGAAGTTTATCCCGTTTCCAACGAAATCCTCAGAGAGGTCCAAATATCCACTTGCAGATTCTACAGAAACTGTGTCTGGAAACTGAGCCATCTAAAGGAATGTTCAGCTCTGTTAGTTCAATCCAATGATCACTAAGAATTGTCTGTGAATGCTTCCGTTTGGTTTTTAGATGAAGTTATTTCCTTTACTACAGTAGGCCTCAAAGCAGTCCAAATCTCTAATCGCAGATTCTACAAAAAGATTGTTTACAACCTGCTCTCTCTATAGGAATGTTCAACTCTGTGAGTCGAATGCAATCATCACAAAGTAGTTTCTGAGAATGCTTCCATCTAGTTTTATGTGAAGATTTTCCTTTTCCACCACAGGCCTCAAAGCCCTCCAAATGTCCACTTGCAGATTCTAGAATAAGAGGGTTTCAGAGCTGCTCTGTCAAGAGGAAAGTTCAATTCCTGAAGTGGAACACAAACATCACAAAGCAGTTTCTGAGAATGCTTCTGTTTAGTTTTTCTGTGAAGATGAACCCGTTTCCAACGAAATCTTCACAGAGGTCCACATATCCACTTGCAGAATCCAAAGAAAGAGAGTTTCAAAACTACTCCATCAACAGGATTGTTCACCTCTGTGAGTTGAATGTAGTCATCACAGGAAACATTCTGAGAATGCTTCTGTCTAGGTTTGATGTGAAGATATACCCGTTTCGAAGGAAGGCCAGAAAGTGGTCCAAATATCCACTTGCAGATTCTACAAAAAGAGTGTTTGAAAGCTGAACTATGAAAGCAAGGTTCAACTCTGTGAGTTGAATGCAAACATCACAAAGAAGTTTCTCAGAATGCTTCCGTGTAGTTCTGGGAAGTTTATCCCGTTTCCAACGAAATCCTCAGTAGAGGTCCAAATATCCACTTGCAGATTCTACAGAAATTGTGTTTGGAAACTGCTCCATCTAAAGGAATGTTCAGCTCTGTTAGTTCAATCCAATGATCACTAAGAATTGTCTGTGAATGCTTCCGTTTGGTTTTTAGATGAAGTTATTTCCTTTACTACAGTAGGCCTCAAAGCAGTCCAAATCTCCAATCGCAGATTCTACAAAAAGATTGTTTACAACCTGCTCTATCTATAGGAATGTTCAACTCTGTGAGTCGAATGCAATCATCACAAAGTAGTTTCTGAGAATGCTTCCATCTAGTTTTTATGTGAAGATTTTCCTTTTCCAACACAGGCCTCAAAGCCCTCCAAATGTCCACTTGCAGATTCTAGAAAAAGAGGGTTTCAGAGCTGCTCTGTCAAGAGGAAAGTTCAATTCTTGAAGTGGAACACAAACATCACAAAGCAGTTTCTGAGAATGCTCCTGTTTAGTTTTTCTGTGAAGATGAACCCGTTTCCAACGAAATCTTCCCAGAGGTCCACATATCCACTTGCAGAATCCAAAGAAAGAGAGATTCAAAACTGCTCCATCAACAGGATTGTTCACCTCTGTGAGTTGAATGCAGTCATCACAGGAAACATTCTGAGAATGCTTCTGTCTAGGTTTGATGTGAAGATATACCCGTTTCGAAGGAAGGCCACAAAGTGGTCCAAATATCCACTTGCAGATTCTACAAAAAGAGTGTTTGAAAGCTGAACTATGAAAGCAAGGTTCAACTCTGTGAGTTGAATGCAAACATCACAAAGAAGTTTCTCAGAATGCTTCCGTGTAGTTCTGGGAAGTTTATCCCGTTTCCAACGAAATCCTCAGAGAAGTCCAAATATCCACTTGCAGATTCTACAGAAAGTGTGTTTGGAAACTGCTCCATCTAAAGGAATGTTCAGCTCTGTTAGTTCAATGCAATGATCACTAAGAATTGTCTGTGAATGCTTCCGTTTGGTTTTTAGATGAAGTTATTTCCTTTACTACAGTAGGCCTCAAAGCAGTCCAAATCTCCAATCGCAGATTCTACAAAAAGATTGTTTACAACCTGCTCTATCTATACGAATGTTCAACTCTGTGAGTCGAATGCAATCATCACAGAGTAGTTTCTGAGAATCCTTCCATCTAGTTTTTATGTGAAGATTTTCCTTTTCCATCACAGGCCTCAAAGCCCTCCAAATGTCCACTTGCAGATTCTAGAAAAAGAGGGTTTCAGAGCTGCTCTGTCAAGAGGAAAGTTCAATTCTTGAAGTGGAACACAAACATCACAAAGCAGTTTCTGAGAATGCTCCTGTTTAGTTTTTCTGTGAAGATGAACCCGTTTCCAACGAAATCTTCACAGAGGTCCACATATCCACTTGCAGAATCCAAAGAAAGAGAGTTTCAAAACTGCTCCATCAGCAGGATTGTTCACCTCTGTGAGTTGAATGCAGTCATCACAGGAAACATTCTGAGAATGCTTCTGTCTAGGTTTGATGTGAAGATATACCCGTTTCGAAGGAAGGCCACAAAGTGGTCCAAATATCCACTTGCAGATTCTACAAAAAGAGTGTTTGAAAGCTGAACTATGAAAGCAAGGTTCAACTCTGTGAGTTGAATGCAAACATCACAAAGAAGTTTCTCAGAATGCTTCCGTGTAGTTCTGGGAAGTTTATCCCGTTTCCAACGAAATCCTCAGAGAGGTCCAAATATCCACTTGCAGATTCTACAGAATGTGTGTTTGGAAACTGCGCCATCTAAAGGAATGTTCAGCTCTGTTAGTTCAATGCAATGATCACTAAGAATTGTCTGTGAATGCTTCCGTTTGGTTTTTAGATGAAGTTATTTCCTTTACTACAGTAGGCCTCAAAGCAGTCCAAATCTCCAATCGCAGATTCTACAAAAAGATTGTTTACAACCTGCTCTATGTATAGGAATGTTCAACTCTGTGAGTCGAATGCAATCATCACAAAGTAGTTTCTGAGAATGCTTCCATCTAGTTTTTATGTGAAGATTTTCCTTTTCCACCACAGGCCTCAAAGCCCTCCAAATGTCCACTTGCAGATTCTAGAATAAGAGGGTTTTAGAGCTGCTCTGTCAAGAGGAAAGTTCAATTCCTGAAGTGGAACACAAACATCACAAAGCAGTTTCTGAGAATGCTCCTGTTTAGTTTTTCTGTGAAGATGAACCCGTTTCCAACGAAATCTTCACAGAGGTCCACATATCCACTTGCAGAATCCAAAGAAAGAGAGTTTCAAAACTGCTCCATCAGCAGGATTGTTCACCTCTGTGAGTTGAATGCAGTCATCACAGGAAACATTCTGAGAATGCTTCTGTCTAGGTTTGATGTGAAGATATACCCGTTTCGAAGGAAGGCCACAAAGTGGTCCAAATATCCACTTGCAGATTCTACAAAAAGAGTGTTTGAAAGCTGAACTATGAAAGCAAGGTTCAACTCTGTGAGTTGAATGCAAACATCACAAAGAAGTTTCTCAGAATGCTTCCGTGTAGTTCTGGGAAGTTTATCCCGTTTCCAACGAAATCCTCAGAGAAGTCCAAATATCCACTTGCAGATTCTACAGAAAGTGTGTTTGGAAACTGCGCCATCTAAAGGAATGTTCAGCTCTGTTAGTTCAATGCAATGATCACTAAGAATTGTCTGTGAATGCTTCCGTTTGGTTTTTAGATGAAGTTATTTCCTTTACTACAGTAGGCCTCAAAGCAGTCCAAATCTCTAATCGCAGATTCTACAAAAAGATTGTTTACAACCTGCTCTCTCTATAGGAATGTTCAACTCTGTCAGTCGAATGCAATCATCACAAAGTAGTTTCTGAGAATGCTTCCATCCAGTTTTTATGTGAAGATTTTCCTTTTCCACCACAGGCCTCAAAGCCCTCCAAATGTCCAATTGCAGATTCTAGAAAAAGAGGGTTTCAGAGCTCCTCTATCAAGAGAAAAGTTCAATTCTTGAAGTGGAACACAAACATCACAAAGCAGTTTCTGAGAATGCTTCTGTTTAGTTTTTCTGTGAAGATGAACCCGTTTCCAACGAAATCTTCACAGAGGTCCACATATCCACTTGCAGAATCCAAAGAAAGAGAGTTTCAAAACTGCTCCATCAGCAGGATTGTTCACCTCTGTGAGTTGAATGCAGTCATCACAGGAAACATTCTGAGAATGCTTCTGTCTAGGTTTGATGTGAAGATATACCCGTTTCGAAGGAAGGCCACAAAGTGGTCCAAATATCCACTTGCAGATTCTACAAAAAGAGGGTTTGAAAGCTGAACTATGAAAGCAAGGTTCAACTCTGTGAGTTGAATGCAAACATCACAAAGAAGTTTCTCAGAATGCTTCCGTGTAGTTCTGGGAATTTTATCCTGTTTCCAACGAAATCCTCAGAGAGGTCCAAATATCCACTTGCAGATTCTACAGAAAGTGGGTTTGGAAACTGCTCCATCTAAAGGAATGTTCAGCTCTGTTAGTTCAATCCAATGATCACTAAGAATTGTCTGTGAATGCTTCCGTTTGGTTTTTAGATGAAGTTATTTCCTTTACTACAGTAGGCCTCAAAGCAGTCCAAATCTCCAATCGCAGATTCTACAAAAAGATTGTTTACAACCTGCTCTATATATAGGAATGTTCAACTCTTTGAGTCGAATGCAATCATCACAAAGTAGTTTCTGAGAATGCTTCCATCTAGTTTTTATGTGAAGATTTTCCTTTTCCACCACAGGCCTCAAAGCCCTCCAAATGTCCACTTGCAGATTCTAGAAAAAGAGGGTTTCAGAGCTGCTCTGTCAAGAGGAAAGTTCAATTCTTGAAGTGGAACACAAACATCACAAAGCAGTTTCTGAGAATGCTTCTGTTTAGTTTTTCTGTGAAGATGAACCCGTTTCCAACGAAATCTTCACAGAGGTCCACATATCCACTTGCAGAATCCAAAGAAAGAGAGTTTCAAAACTGCTCCATCAGCAGGATTGTTCACCTCTGTGAGTTGAATGCAGTCATCACAGGAAACATTCTGAGAATGCTTCTGTCTAGGTTTGATGTGAAGATATACCCGTTTCGAAGGAAGGCCACAAAGTGGTCCAAATATCCACTTGCAGATTCTACAAAAAGAGTGTTTGAAAGCTGAACTATGAAAGCTAGGTTCAACTCTGTGAGTTGAATGCAAACATCACAAAGAAGTTTCTCAGAATGCTTCCCTGTAGTTCTGGGAAGTTCATCCCGTTTCCAACGAAATCCTCAGAGAAGTCCAAATATCCACTTGCAGATTCTACAGAAAGTGGGTTTGGAAACTGCTTCATCTAAAGGAATGTTCAGCTCTGTTAGTTCAATGCAATGATCACTAAGAATTGTCTGTGAATGCTTCCGTTTGGTTTTTAGATGAAGTTATTTCCTTTACTACAGTAGGCCTCAAAGCAGTCCAAATCTCCAATCGCAGATTCTACAAAAAGATTGTTTACAACCTGCTCTATCTATAGGAATGTTCAACTCTGTGAGTCGAATGCAATCATCACAAAGTAGTTTCTGAGAATGCTTCCATCTAGTTTTTATGTGAAGATTTTCCTTTTCCACCACAGGCCTCAAAGCCCTCCAAATGTCCACTTGCAGATTCTAGAAAAAGAGGGTTTCAGAGCTGCTCTGTCAAGAGGAAAGTTCAATTCTTGAAGTGGAACACAAACATCACAAAGCAGTTTCTGAGAATGCTCCTGTTTAGTTTTTCTGTGAAGATGAACCCGTTTCCAACGAAATCTTCAAAGAGTTCCACATATCCACTTGCAGAATCCAAAGAAAGGGAGTTTCAAAACTGCTCCATCAACAGGATTGTTCACCTCTGTGAGTTGAATGCAGTCATCACAGGAAACATTCTGAGAATGCTTCTGTCTAGGTTTGATGTGAAGATATACCCGTTTCGAAGGAAGGCCACAAAGTGGTCCAAATATCCACTTGCAGATTCTACAAAAAGAGTGTTTGAAAGCTGAACTATGAAAGCAAGGTTCAACTCTGTGAGTTGAATGCAAACATCACAAAGAAGTTTCTCAGAATGCTTCCGTGTAGTTCTGGGAAGTTTATCCCGTTTCCAACGAAATCCTCAGAGAGGTCCAAATATCCACTTGCAGATTCTACAGAAAGTGTGTTTGGAAACTGCGCCATCTAAAGGAATGTTCAGCTCTGTTAGTTCAATGCAATGATCACTAAGAATTGTCTGTGAATGCTTCCGTTTGGTTTTTAGATGAAGTTATTTCCTTTACTACAGTAGGCCTCAAAGCAGTCCAAATCTCCAATCGCAGATTCTACAAAAAGATGGTTTACAACCTGCTCTATGTATAGGAATGTTCAACTCTGTGAGTCGAATGCAATCATCACAAAGTAGTTTCTGAGAATACTTCCATCTAGTTTTTATGTGAAGATTTTCCTTTTCCACCACAGGCCTCAAAGCCCTCCAAATGTCCACTTGCAGATTCTAGAAAAAGAGGGTTTCAGAGCTGCTCTGTCAAGAGGAAAGTTCAATTCCTGAAGTGGAACACAAACATCACAAAGCAGTTTCTGAGAATGCTCCTGTTTAGTTTTTCTGTGAAGATGAACCCGTTTCCAACGAAATCTTCACAGAGGTCCACATATCCACTTGCAGAATCCAAAGAAAGAGAGTTTCAAAACTGCTCCATCAACAGGATTGTTCACCTCTGTGAGTTGAATGCAGTCATCACAGGAAACATTCTGAGAATGCTTCTGTCTAGGTTTGATGTGAAGATATACCCGTTTCGAAGGAAGGCCACAAAGTGGTCCAAATATCCACTTGCAGATTCTACAAAAAGAGTGTTTGAAAGCTGAAATATGAAAGCAAGGTTCAACTCTGTGAGTTGAATGCAAACATCACAAAGAAGTTTCTCAGAATACTTCCGTGTAGTTTTGGGAAGTTTATCCCGTTTCCAACGAAATCCTCAGAGAGGTCCAAATATCCACTTGCAGATTCTACAGAAAGTGTGTTTGGAAACTGCGCCATCTAAAGGAATGTTCAGCTCTGTTAGTTCAATCCAATGATCACTAAGAATTGTCTGTGAATGCTTCCGTTTGGTTTTTAGATGAAGTTATTTCCTTTACTACAGTAGGCCTCAAAGCAGTCCAAATCTCCAATCGCAGATTCTACAAAAAGATTGTTTACAACCTGCTCTATCTATAGGAATGTTCAACTCTGTGAGTCGAATGCAATCATCACAAAGTAGTTTCTGAGAATGCTTCCATCTAGTTTTTATGGGAAGATTTTCCTTTTCCACCACAGGCCTCAAAGCCCTCCAAATGTCCACTTGCAGATTCTAGAAAAAGAGGGTTTCAGAGCTGCTCTGTCAAGAGGAAAGTTCAATTCTTGAAGTGGAACACAAACATCACAAAGCAGTTTCTGAGAATGCTTCTGTTTAGTTTTTCTGTGAAGATGAACCCGTTTCCAACGAAATCTTCACAGAGGTCCACATATCAACTTGCAGAATCCAAAGAAAGAGAGTTTCAAAACTGCTCCATCAACAGGATTGTTCACCTCTGTGAGTTGAATGCAGTCATCACAGGAAACATTCTGAGAATGCTTCTGTCTAGGTTTGATGTGAAGATATACCCGTTTCGAAGGAAGGCCACAAAGTGGTCCAAATATCCACTTGCAGATTCTACAAAAAGAGTGTTTGAAAGCTGAACTATGAAAGCAAGGTTCAACTCTGTGAGTTGAATGCAAACATCACAAAGAAGTTTCTCAGAATGCTTCCGTGTAGTTCTGGGAAGTTTTTCCCGTTTCCTACGATATCCTCAGAGAAGTCCAAATATCCACTTGCAGATTCTACAGAAAGTGTGTTTGGAAACTGCTCCATCTAAAGGAATGTTCAGCTCTGTTAGTTCAATCCAATGATCACTAAGAATTGTCTGTGAATGCTTCCGTTTGGTTTTTAGATGAAGTTATTTCCTTTACTACAGTAGGCCTCAAAGCAGTCCAAATCTCCAATCGCATATTCTACAAAAAGATTGTTTACAACCTGCTCTATCTATAGGAATGTTCAACTCTTTGAGTCGAATGCAATCATCACAAAGTAGTTTCTGAGAATGATTCCATCTAGTTCTTATGTGAAGATTTTCCTTTTCCACCACAGGCCTCAAAGCCCTCCAAATGTCCACTTGCAGATTCTGGAAAAAGAGGGTTTCAGAGCTGCTCTGTCAAGAGGAAAGTTCAATTCTTGAAGTGGAACACAAACATCACAAAGCAGTTTCTGAGAATGCTTCTGTTTAGTTTTTCTGTGAAGATGAACCCGTTTCCAACGAAATCTTCAAAGAGGTCCACATATCCACTTGCAGAATCCAAAGAAAGAGAGTTTCAAAACTGCTCCATCAGCAGGATTGTTCACCTCTGTGAGTTGAATGCAGTCATCACAGGAAACATTCTGATAATGCTTCTGTCTAGGTTTGATGTGAAGATATACCCGTTTCGAAGGAAGGCCACAAAGTGGTCCAAATATCCACTTGCAGATTCTACAAAAAGAGTGTTTGAAAGCTGAACTATGAAAGCAAGGTTCAACTCTGTGAGTTGAATGCAAACATCACAAAGAAGTTTCTCACAATGCTTCCGTGTAGTTCTGGGAAGTTTATCCCGTTTCCAACGAAATCCTCAGACAAGTCCAAATATCCACTTGCAGATTCTACAGAAAGTGTGTTTGGAAACTGCTCCATCTAAAGGAGTGTTCAGCTCTGTTAGTTCAATCCAATGATCACTAAGAATTGTCTGTGAATGCTTCCGTTTGGTGTTTAGATGAAGTTATTTCCTTTACTACAGTAGGCCTCAAAGCAGTCCAAATCTCCAATCGCAGATTCTACAAAAAGATTGTTTACAACCTGCTCTATCTGTAGGAAAGTTCAACTCTGTGAGTCGAATGCAATCATCACAAAGGAGTTTCTGAGAATGCTTCCATCTAGTTTTTATGTGAAGATTTTCCTTTTCCACCACAGGCCTCAAAGCCCTCCAAATGTACACTTGCAGATTCTAGAAAAAGAGGGTTTCAGAGCTGCTCTGTCAAGAGGAAAGTTCAATTCCTGAAGTGGAACAAAAACATCACAAAGCAGTTTCTGAGAATGCTTCTGTTTAGTTTTTCTGTGAAGATGAACCCGTTTCCAACGAAATCTTCACAGAGGTCCACATATCCACTTGCAGAATCCAAAGAAAGAGAGTTTCAAAACTGCTCCATCAGCAGGATTGTTCACCTCTGTGAGTTGAATGCAGTCATCACAGGAAACATTCTGAGAATGCTTCTGTCTAGGTTTGATGTGAAGATATACCCGTTTCGAAGGAAGGCCACAAAGTGGTCCAAATATCCACTTGCAGATTCTACAAAAAGAGTGTTTGAAAGCTGAACTATGAAAGCAAGGTTCAACTCTGTGAGTTGAATGCAAACATCACAAAGAAGTTTCTCAGAATGCTTCCGTGTAGTTCTGGGAAGTTTAGCCCGTTTCCAACGAAATCCTCAGAGAGGTCCAAATATCCACTTGCAGATTCTACAGAAAGTGTGTTTGGAAACTGCTCCATCTAAAGGAATGTTCAGCTCTGTTAGTTCAATCCAATGATCACTAAGAATTGTCTGTGAATGCTTCCGTTTCGTTTTTAGATGAAGTTATTTCCTTTACTACAGTAGGCCTCAAAGCAGTCCAAATCTCCAATCGCAGATTCTACAAAAAGATTGATTACAACCTGCTCTATCTATAGGAATGTTCAACTCTGTGAGTCGAATGCAATCATCACAAAGTAGTTTCTGAGAATGCTTCCATCTAGTTTTTATGTGAAGATTTTCCTTTTCCACCACAGGCCTCAAAGCCCTCCAAATGTCCACTTGCAGATTCTAGAAAAAGAGGGTTTCAGAGCTGCTCAGTCAAGAGGAAAGTTCAATTCCTGAAGTGGAACACAAACATCACAAAGCAGTTTCTGAGAATGCTCCTGTTTAGTTTTTCTGTGAAGATGAACCCGTTTCCAACGAAATCTTCACAGAGGTCCACATATCCACTTGCAGAATCCAAAGAAAGAGAGTTTCAAAACTGCTCCATCAGCAGGATTGTTCACCTCTGTGAGTTGAATGCAGTCATCACAGGAAACATTCTGAGAATGCTTTCTGTCTAGGTTTGATGTGAAGATATACCCGTTTCGAAGGAAGGCCACAAAGTGGTCCAAATATCCACTTGCAGATTCTACAAAAAGAGTGTTTGAAAGCTGAACTATGAAAGCAAGGTTCAACTCTGTGAGTTGAATGCAAACATCACAAAGAAGTTTCTCAGAATGCTTCCGTGTAGTTCTGGGAAGTTTATCCCGTTTCCAACGAAATCCTCAGAGAAGTCCAAATATCCACTTGCAGATTCTACAGAAAGTGGGTTTGGAAACTGCTCCATCTAAAGGAATGTTCAGCTCTGTTAGTTCAATCCAATGATCACTAAGAATTGTCTGTGAATGCTTCCGTTTGATTTTTAGATGAAGTTATTTCCTTTACTACAGTAGGCCTCAAAGCAGTCCAAATCTCCAATCGCAGATTCTACAAAAAGATTGTTTACAACCTGCTCTATCTATAGGAATGTTCAACTCTGTGAGTCGAATGCAATCATCACAAAGTAGTTTCTTAGAATGCTTCCATCTAGTTTTTATGTGAAGATTTTCCTTTTCCACCACATGCCTCAAAGCCCTCCAAATGTCCACTTGCAGATTCTAGAAAAAGAGGGTTTCAGAGCTGCTCTGTCAAGAGGAAAGTTCAATTCCTGAAGTGGAACACAAACATCACAAAGCAGTTTCTGAGAATGCTTCTGTTTAGTTTTTCTGTGAAGATGAACCCGTTTCCAACGAAATCTTCACATAGGTCCACATATCAACTTGCAGAATCCAAAGAAAGAGAGTTTCAAAACTGCTCCATCAACAGGATTGTTCACCTCTGTGAGTTGAATGCAGTCATCACAGGAAACATTCTGAGAATGCTTCTGTCTAGGTTTGATGTGAAGATATACCCGTTTCGAAGGAAGGCCACAAAGTGGTCCAAATATCCACTTGCAGATTCTACAAAAAGAGTGTTTGAAAGCTGAACTATGAAAGCAAGGTTCAACTCTGTGAGTTGAATGCAAACATCACAAAGAAGTTTCTCAGAATGCTTCCGTGTAGTTCTGGGACGTTTATCCCGTTTCCAAAGAAATCCTCAGAGAGGTCCAAATATCCACTTGCAGGTTCTACAGAAAGTGGGTTTGGAAACTGCTCCATCTAAAGGAATGTTCAGCTCTGTTAGTTCAATCCAATGATCACTAAGAATTGTCTGTGAATGCTTCCGTTTGGTTTTTAGATGAAGTTATTTCCTTTACTACAGTAGGCCTCAAAGCAGTCCAAATCTCCAATCGCAGATTCTACAAAAAGATTGTTTACAACCTGCTCTATCTATAGGAATATTCAACTCTGTGAGTCGAATGCAATCATCACAAAGTAGTTTCTGAGAATGCTTCCATCTAGTTTTTTTGTGAAGATTGTCCTTTTCCACCACAGACCTCAAAGCCCTCCAAATGTCCACTTGCAGATTCTAGAAAAAGAGGGTTTCAGAGCTGCTCTGTCAAGAGGAAAGTTCAATTCTTGAAGTGGAACACAAACATCACAAAGCAGTTTCTGAGAATGTTTCTGTTTAGTTTTTCTGTGAAGATGAACACGTTTCCAACGAAATCTTCACAGAGGTCCACATATCAACTTGCAGAATCCAAAGAAAGAGAGTTTCAAAACTGCTCCATCAACAGGATTGTTCACCTCTGTGAGTTGAATGCAGTCATCACAGGAAACATTCTGAGAATGCTTCTGTCAAGGTTTGATGTGAAGAGATACCCGTTTCGAAGGAAAGCCACAAAGTGGTCCAAATATCCACTTGCAGATTCTACAAAAAGAGTGTTTGAAAGCTGAACTATGAAAGCAAGGTTCAACTCTGTGAGTTGAATGCAAACATCACAAAGAAGTTTCTCAGAATACTTCCGTGTATTTCTGGGAAGTATATCCGTTTTCCAACAAAATCCTCAAAGAGGTCCAAATATCCACTTGCAGATTCTACAGAAAGTGGGATTGGAAACTGCTCCATCTAAAGGAATGTTCAGCTCTGTTAGTTCAATCCAATGATCACTAAGAATTGTCTGTGAATGCTTCCGTTTGGTTTTTAGATGAAGTTATTTCCTTTACTACAGTAGGCCTCAAAGCAGTCCAAATCTCCAATCGCAGATTCTACAAAAAGATTGTTTACAACCTGCTCTATGTATAGGAATGTTCAACTCTGTGAGTCGAATGCAATCATCACAAAGTAGTTTCTGAGAATGCTTCCATCTAGTTTTTATGTGAAGATTTTCCTTTTCCACCACAGGCCTCAAAGCCCTCCAAATGTCCACTTGCAGATTCTAGAAAAAGAGGGTTTCAGAGCTGCTCTGTCAAGAGGAAAGTTCAATTCTTGAAGTGGAACACAAACATCACAAAGTAGTTTCTGAGAATGCTCCTGTTTAGTTTTTCTGTGAAGATGAACCCGTTTCCAACGAAATCTTCACAGAGTTCCACATATCCACTTGCAGAATCCAAAGAAAGAGAGTTTCAAAACTGCTCCATCAACAGGATTGTTCACCTCTGTGTGTTGAATGCAGTCATCACAGGAAACATTCTGAGAATGCTTCTGTCTAGGTTTGATGTGAAGATATACCCGTTTCGAAGGAAGGCCACAAAGTGGTCCAAATATCCACTTGCAGATTCTACAAAAAGAGTGTTTGAAAGCTGAACTATGAAAGCAAGGTTTAACTCTCTGAGTTGAATGCAAACATCACAAAGAAGTTTCTCAGAATGCTTCCGTGTAGTTCTGGGAAGTTTATCCCGTTTCCAACGAAATCCTCAGAGAAGTCCAAATATCCACTTGCAGATTCTACAGAAAGTGGGTTTGGAAACTGCTCCATCTAAAGGAATGTTCAGCTCTGTTAGTTCAATCCAATGATCACTAAGAATTGTCTGTGAATGCTTCCGTTTGATTTTTAGATGAAGTTATTTCCTTTACTACAGTAGGCCTCAAAGCAGTCCAAATCTCCAATCGCAGATTCTACAAAATGATTGTTTTCAACCTGCTCTATCTATAGGAATGTTCAACTCTGTGAGTCGAATGCAATCATCACAAAGTAGTTTCTGAGAATGCTTCCATCTAGTTTTTATGTGAAGATTTTCCTTTTCCACCACAGGCCTCAAAGCCCTCCAAATGTCCACTTGCAGATTCTAGAATAAGAGGATTTCAGAGCTGCTCTGTCAAGAGGAAAGTTCAATTCCTGAAGTGGAACACAAACATCACAAAGCAGTTTCTGAGAATGCTCCTGTTTAGTTTTTCTGTGAAGATGAACCCGTTTCCAACGAAATCTTCACAGAGGTCCACATATCCACTTGCAGAATCCAAAGAAAGAGAGTTTCAAAACTGCTCCATCAGCAGGATTGTTCACCTCTGTGAGTTGAATGCAGTCATCACAGGAAACATTCTGAGAATGCTTCTGTCTAGGTTTGATGTGAAGATATACCCGTTTCGAAGGAAGGCCACAAAGTGGTCCAAATATCCATTTGCAGATTCTACAAAAAGAGTGTTTGAAAGCTGAACTATGAAAGCAAGGTTCAACTCTGTGAGTTGAATGCAAACATCACAAAGAAGTTTCTCAGAATGCTTCCGTGTAGTTCTGGGAAGTTTATCCCGTTTCCAACGAAATGCTCAGAGAGGTCCAAATATCCACTTACAGATTCTACAGAAAGTGTGTTTGGCAACTGCTCCATCTAAAGGAATGTTCAGCTCTGTTAGTTCAATCCAATGATCACTAAGAATTGTCTGTGAATGCTTCCGTTTGGTTTTTAGATGAAGTTATTTCCTTTACTACAGTAGGCCTCAAAGCAGTCCAAATCTCCAATCGCAGATTCTACAAAAAGATTGTTTACAACCTGCTCTATCTATAGGAATGTTCAACTCTGTGAGTCGAATGCAATCATCACAAAGTAGTTTCTGAGAATGCTTCCATCTAGTTTTTATGTGAAGATTTTCCTTTTCCACCACAGGTCTCAAAGCCCTCCAAATGTCCACTTGCAGATTCTAGAAAAAGAGGATTTCAGAGCTGCTCTGTCAAGAGGAAAGTTCAATTCTTGAAGTGGAACAAAAACATCACAAAGCAGTTTCTGAGAATGCTCCTGTTTAGTTTTTCTGTGAAGATGAACCCGTATCCAACGAAATCTTCACAGAGGTCCACATATCCACTTGCAGAATCCAAAGAAAGAGAGTTTCAAAACTGCTCCATCAGCAGGATTGTTCACCTCTGTGAGTTGAATGCAGTCATCACAGGAAACATTCTGAGAATGCTTCTGTCTAGGTTTGATGTGAAGATATACCCGTTTCGAAGGAAGGCCAAATGTGGTCCAAATATCCACTTGCAGATTCTACAAAAAGAGTGTTTGAAAGCTGAACTATGAAAGCAAGGTTCAACACTGTGAGTTGAATGCAAACATCACAAAGAAGTTTCTCCCAATGCTTCCGTGTAGTTCTGGGAAGTTTATCCCGTTTCCAACGAAATCCTCAGAGAGGTCCAAATATCCACTTGCAGATTCTACAGAAAGTGTGTTTGGAAACTGCGCCATCTAAAGGAATGTTCAGCTCTGTTAGTTCAATGCAATGATCACTAAGAATTGTCTGTGAATGCTTCCGTTTGGTTTTTAGATGAAGTTATTTCCTTTACTACAGTAGGCCTCAAAGCAGTCCAAATCTCCAATCGCAGATTCTACAAAAAGATTGTTTACAACCTGCTCTATGTATAGGAATGTTCAACTCTGTGAGTCGAATGCAATCATCACAAAGTAGTTTCTGAGAATGCTTCCATCTAGTTTTTATGTGACGATTTTCCTTTTCCACCACAGGCCTCAAAGCCCTTCAAATGTCCACTTGCAGATTCTAGAATAAGAGGGTTTCAGAGCTGCTCTGTCAAGAGGAAAGTTCAATTCCTGAAGTGGAACACAAACATCACAAAGCAGTTTCTGAGAATGCTCCTGTTTAGTTTTTCTGTGAAGATGAACCCGTTTCCAACGAAATCTTCACAGAGGTCCACATATCCACTTGCAGAATCCAAAGAAAGAGAGTTTCAAAACTGCTCCATCAGCAGGATTGTTCACCTCTGTGAGTTGAATGCAGTCATCACAGGAAACATTCTGAGAATGCTTCTGTCTAGGTTTGATGTGAAGATATACCCGTTTCGAAGGAAGGCCACAAAGTGGTCCAAATATCCACATGCAGATTCTACAAAAAGAGTGTTTGAAAGCTGAACTATGAAAGCAAGGTTCAACTCTGTGAGTTGAATGCAAACATCACAAAGAAGTTTCTCACAATGCTTCCGTGTAGTTCTGGGAAGTTTATCCCGTTTCCAACGAAATCCTCAGAGAAGTCCAAATATCCACTTGCAGATTCTACAGAAAGTGTGTTTGGAAACTGCTCCATCTAAAGGAATGTTCAGCTCTGTTAGTTCAATCCAATGATCACTAAGAATTGTCTGTGAATGCTTCCGTTTGGTTTTTAGATGAAGTTATTTCCTTTACTACAGTATGCCTCAAAGCAGTCCAAATCTCCAATCGCAGATTCTACAAAAAGATTGTTTACAACCTGCTCTATCTATAGGAATGTTCAACTCTGTGAGTCGAATGCAATCATCACAAAGTAGTTTCTGAGAATGCTTCCATCTAGTTTTTATGTGAAGATTTTCCTTTTCCACCACAGGCCTCAAAGCCCTCCAAATGTCCACTTGCAGATTCTAGAAAAAGAGGGTTTCAGAGCTGCTCTGTCAAGAGGAAAGTTGAATTGTTGAAGTGGAACACAAACATCACAAAGTAGTTTCTGAGAATGCTTCTGTTTAGTTTTTCTGTGAAGATGAACCCGTTTCCAACGAAATCTTCACAGAGGTCCACATATCAACTTGCAGAATCCAAAGAAAGAGAGTTTCAAAAGTGCCCCATCAACAGGACTGTTCACCTCTGTGAGTTGAATGCAGTCATTACAGGAAACATTCTGAGAATGCTTCTGTCTAGGTTTGATGTGAAGATGTACCCGTTTCAAAGGAAGGCCACAAAGTGGTCCAAATATCCACTTGCAGATTCTACAAAAAGAGTGTTTGAAAGCTGAACTATGAAAGCAAGGTTCAACTCTGTGAGTTGAATGCAAACATCAGAAATATGATTCTCACAATGCTTCCCTGTAGTTCTGGGAAGTTTATCCCGTTTCCAACGAAATCCTCAGAGAAGTCCAAATATCCACTTGCAGATTCTACAGAAAGTGTGTTTGGAAACTGCTCCATCTAAAGGAATGTTCAGCTCTGTTAGTTCAATCCAATGATCACTAAGAATTGTCTGTGAATGCTTCCGTTTGGTTTTTAGATGAAGTTATTTCCTTTACTACAGTAGGCCTCAAAGCAGTCCAAATCTCCAATCGCAGATTCTACAAAAAGATTGTTTACAACCTGCTCTATGTATAGGAATGTTCAACTCTGTGAGTCGAATGCAATCATCACAAAGTAGTTTCTGAGAATGCTTCCATCTAGTTTTTATGTGAAGATTTTCCTTTTCCACCACAGGCCTCAAAGCCCTCCAAATGTCCACTTGCAGATTCTAGAAAAAGAGGGTTTCAGAGCTGCTCTGTCAAGAGGAAAGTTCAATTCTTGAAGTGGAACACAAACATCACAAAGCAGTTTCTGAGAATGCTTCTGTTTAGTTTTTCTGTGAAGATGAACCCGTTTCCAACGAAATGTTCTCAGAGGTCCACATATCAACTTGCAGAATCCAAAGAAAGAGAGTTTCAAAAGTGCTCCATCAACAGGATTGTTCACCTCTGTGAGTTGAATGCAGTCATCACAGGAAACATTCTGAGAATGCTTCTGTCTAGGTTTGATGTGAAGATATACCCGTTTCGAAGGAAGGCCACAAAGTGGTCCAAATATCCACTTGCAGATTCTACAAAAAGAGTGTTTGAAAGCTGAACTATAAAAGCAAGGTTCAACTCTGTGAGTTGAATGCAAACATCACAAAGAAGTTTCTCAGAATGCTTCCGTGTAGTTCTGGGAAGTTTATCCCCTTTACAACGAAATCCTCAGAGAAGTCCAAATATCCACTTGCAGATTCTACAGAAAGTGTGTTTGGAAACTGCTCCATCTAAAGGAATGTTCAGCTCTGTTAGTTCAATCCAATGATCACTAAGAATTGTCTGTGAATGCTTCCGTTTGGTTTTTAGATGAAGTTATTTCCTTTACTACAGTAGACCTCAAAGCAGTCCAAATCTCCAATCGCAGATTCTACAAAAAGATTGTTTACAACCTGCTCTATCTATAGGAATGTTCAACTCTGTGAGTCGAATGCAATCATCACAAAGGAGTTTCTGAGAATGCTTCCATCTAGTTTTTATGTGAAGATTTTCCTTTTCCACCACAGGCCTCAAAGCCCTCCAAATGTCCACTTGCAGATTCTAGAATAAGAGGGTTTTAGAGCTGCTCTGTCAAGAGGAAAGTTCAATTCCTGAAGTGGAACACAAACATCACAAAGCAGTTTCTGAGAATGCTTCTGTTTAGTTTTTCTGTGAAGATGAACCCGTTTCCAACGAAATCTTCACAGAGGTCCACATATCCACTTGCAGAATCCAAAGAAAGAGAGTTTCAAAACTGCTCCATCAGCAGGATTGTTCACCTCTGTGAGTTGAATGCAGTCATCACAGGAAACATTCTGAGAATGCTTCTGTCTAGGTTTGATGTGAAGATATACCCGTTTCGAAGGAAGGCCACAAAGTGGTCCAAATATCCACTTGCATATTCTACAAAAAGAGTGTTTGAAAGCTGAACTATGAAAGCAAGGTTCAACTCTGTGAGTTGAATGCAAACATCACAAAGAAGTTTCTCAGAATGCTTCCGTGTAGTTCTGGGAAGTTTATCCCGTTTCCAACGAAATCCTCAGAGAAGTCCAAATATCCACTTGCAGATTCTACAGAAAGTGTGTTTGGAAACTGCTCTATCTAAAGGAATGTTCAGCTCTGTTTGTTCAATCCAATGATCACTAAGAATTGTCTGTGAATGCTTCCGTTTGTTTTTTAGATGAAGTTATTTCCTTTACTACAGTAGGCCTCAAAGCAGTCCAAATCTCCAATCGCAGATTCTACAAAAAGATTGTTTACAACCTGCTCTATCTATAGGAATGTTCAACTCTGTGAGTCGAATGCAATCATCACAAAGTAGTTTCTGAGAATGCTTCCATCTAGTTTTTATGTGAAGATTTTCCTTTTCCACCACAGGCCTCAAAGCCCTCCAAATGTCCACTTGCAGATTCTAGAATAAGAGGGTTTCAGAGCTGCTCTGTCAAGAGGAAAGTTCAATTCCTGAAGTGGAACACAAACATCACAAAGCAGTTTCTGAGAATGCTTCTGTTTAGTTTTTCTGTGAAGATGAACCCGTTTCCAACGAAATCTTCACAGAGGTCCACATATCCACTTGCAGAATCCAAAGAAAGAGAGTTTCAAAACTGCTCCATCAACAGGATTGTTCACCTCTGTGAGTTGAATGCAGTCATCACAGGAAACATTCTGAGAATGCTTCTGTCTAGGTTTGATGTGAAGATATACCCGTTTCGATGGAAGGCCACAAAGTGGTCCAAATATCCACTTGCAGATTCTACAAAAAGAGTGTTTGAAAGCTGAACTATGAAAGCAAGGTTCAACTCTGTGAGTTGAATGCAAACATCACAAAGAAGTTTCTCAGAATGCTTCCGTGTAGTTCTGGGAAGTTTATCCCGTTTCCAACGAAATCCTCAGAGAGGTCCAAACATCCACTTGCAGATTCTACAGAAAGTGTGTTTGGAAACTGCGCTATCTAAAGGAATGTTCAGCTCAGTTAGTTCAATGCAATGATCACTAAGAATTGTCTGTGAATGCTTCCGTTTGGTTTTTAGATGAAGTTATTTCCTTTACTACAGTAGGCCTCAAAGCAGTCCAAATCTCCAATCGCAGATTCTACAAAAAGATTGTTTACAACCTGCTCTATCTATAGGAATGTTCAACTCTGTGAGTCGAAAGCCATCATCACAAAGTAGTTTCTGAGAATGCTTCCATCTAGTTCTCATGTGAAGATTTTCCTTTTCCACCACAGGCCTCAAAGCCCTCCAAATGTCCACTTGCAGATTCTAGAAAAAGAGGGTTTCAGAGCTGCTCTGTCAAGAGGAAAGTTCAATTCTTGAAGTGGAACACAAACATCACAAAGCAGTTTCTGAGAATGCTTCTGTTTAGTTTTTCTGTGAAGATGAACCCGTTTCCAACGAAATCTTCACAGAGGTCCACATATCCACTTGCAGAATCCAAAGAAAGAGAGTTTCAAAACTGCTCCATCAGCAGGATTGTTCACCTCTGTGAGTTGAATGCAGACATCACAGGAAACATTCTGAGAATGCTTCTGTCTAGGTTTGATGTGAAGATATACCCGTTTCGAAGGAAGGCCACAAAGTGGTCCAAATATCCACTTGCAGATTCTACAAAAAGAGTGTTTGAAAGCTGAACTATGAAAGCAAGGTTCAACTCTGTGAGTTGAATGCAAACATCACAAAGAAGTTTCTCAGAATGCTTCCGTGTAATTCTGGGATATTTATCCCGTTTCCAACGAAATCCTCAGAGAGGTCCAAATATCCACTTGCAGATTCTACAGAAAGTGTGTTTGGAAACTGCACCATCTAAAGGAATGTTCAGCTCTGTTAGTTCAATGCAATGATCACTAAGAATTGTCTGTGATTGCTTCCGTTTGGTTTTTTGATGAAGTTATTTCCTTTACTACAGTAGGCCTCAAAGCAGTCCAAATCTCCAATCGCAGATTCTACAAAAAGATTGTTTACAACCTGCTCTATCTATAGGAATGTTCAACTCTGTGAGTCGAATGCAATCATCACAAAGTAGTTTCTGAGAATGCTTCCATCTAGTTTTTATGGGAAGATTTTCCTTTTCCACCGCAGGCCTCAAAGCCCTCCAAATGTCCACTTGCAGATTCTAGAAAAAGAGGGTTTCAGAGCTGCTCTGTCAAGAGGAAAGTTCAATTCTTGAAGTGGAACACAAACATCACAAAGCAGTTTCTGAGAATGCTTCTGTTTAGTTTTTCTGTGAAGATGAACCCGTTTCCAACGAAATCTTCACAGAGGTCCACATATCCACTTGCAGAATCCAAAGAAAGAGAGTTTCAAAACTGCTGCATCAGCAGGATTGTTCACCTCTGTGAGTTGAATGCAGTCATCACAGGAAACATTCTGAGAATGCTTCTGTCTAGGTTTGATGTGAAGATATACCCGTTTCGAAGGAAGGCCACAAAGTGGTCCAAATATCCACTTGCAGATTCTACAAAAAGAGTGTTTGAAAGCTGAACTATGAAAGCAAGGTTCAACTCTGTGAGTTGAATGCAAACATCACAAAGATGTTTCTCACAATGCTTCCGTGTAGTTCTGGGAAGTTTATCCCGTTTCCAACGAAATCCTCAGAGAAGTCCAAATATCCACTTGCAGATTCTACAGAAAGAGGGTTTGGAAACTGCTCCATCTAAAGGAATGTTCAGCTCTGTTAGTTCAATCCAATGATCACTAAGAATTGTCTGTGAATGCTTCCGTTTGGTTTTTAGATGAAGTTATTTCCTTTACTACAGTAGGCCTCAAAGCAGTCCAAATCTCCAATCGCAGATTCTACAAAAAGATTGTTTACAACCTGCTCTATCTATAGGAATGTTCAACTCTGTGAGTCGAATGCAATCATCACAAAGTAGTTTCTGAGAAGGCTTCCATCTAGTTTTTATGTGAAGATTTTCCTTTTCCACCACAGGCCTCAAAGCCCTCCAAATGTCCACTTGCAGATTCTAGAAAAAGAGGGTTTCAGAGCTGCTCTGTCAAGAGGAAAGTTCAATTCTTGAAGTGGAACACAAACATCACAAAGTAGTTTCTGAGAATGCTTCTGTTTAGTTTTTCTGTGAAGATGAACCCGTTTCCAACGAAATCTTCACAGAGGTCCACATATCCACTTGCAGAATCCAAAGAAAGAGAGTTTCAAAACTGCTCCATCAGCAGGATTGTTCACCTCTGTGAGTTGAATGCAGTCATCACAGGAAACATTCTGAGAATGCTTTCTGTCTAGGTTTGATGTGAAGATATACCCGTTTCGAAGGAAGGCCACAAAGTGGTCCAAATATCCACTTGCAGATTCTACAAAAAGAGTGTTTGAAAGCTGAACTAAGAAAGCAAGGTTCAACTCTGTGAGTTGAATGCAAACATCACAAAGAAGTTTCTCAGAATGCTTCCGTGTAGTTCTGGGAAGTTTATCCCGTTTCCAACGAAATCCTCAGAGAAGTCCAAATATCCACTTGCAGATTCTACAGAAAGTGTGTTTGGAAACAGCGCCATCTAAAGGAGTGTTCAGCTCTGTTAGTTCAATCCAATGATCACTAAGAATTGTCTGTGAATGCTTCCGTTTGGTTTTTAGATGAAGTTATTTCCTTTACTACAGTAGGCCTCAAAGCAGTCCAAATCTCCAATCGCAGATTCTACAAAAAGATTGTTTACAACCTGCTCTATCTATAGGAATGTTCAACTCTGTGAGTCGAAAGCCATCATCACAAAGTAGTTTCTGAGAATGCTTCCATCTAGTTTTTATGTGAAGATTTTCCTTTTCCACCACAGGGCTCAAAGCCCTCCAAATGTCCACTTGCAGATTCTAGAAAAAGAGGGTTTCAGAGCTGCTCTGTCAAGAGGAAAGTTTAATTACTGAAGTGGAACACAAACATCACAAAGCAGTTTCTGAGAATGCTCCTGTTTAGTTTTTCTGTGAAGATGAACCCGTTTCCAACGAAATCTTCACAGAGGTCCACATATCCACTTGCAGAATCCAAAGAAAGAGAGTTTCAAAACGGCTCCATCAACAGGATTGTTCACCTCTGTGAGTTGAATGCAGTCATCACAGGAAACATTCTGAGAATGCTTCTGTCTAGGTTTGATGTGAAGATATACCCGTTTCGAAGGAAGGCCACAAAGTGGTCCAAATATCCACTTGCACATTCTACAAAAAGAGTGTTTGAAAGCTGAACTATGAAAGCAAGGTTCAACTCTGTGAGTTGAATGCAAACATCACAAAGAAGTTTCTCACAATGCTTCCGTGTAGTTCTGGGAAGTTTATCCCGTTTCCAACGAAATCCTCAGAGAGGTCCAAATATCCACTTGCAGATTCTACAGAAAGTGTGTTTGGAAACTGCTCCATCTAATGGAATGTTCAGCTCTGTTAGTTCAATCCAATGATCACTAAGAATTGTCTGTGAATGCTTCCGTTTGGTTTTTAGATGAAGTTATTTCCTTTACTACAGTAGGCCTCAAAGCAGTCCAAATCTCCAATCGCAGATTCTACAAAAAGATTGTTTACAACCTGCTCTATCTATAGGAATGTTCAACTCTGTGAGTCGAAAGCCATCATCACAAAGTAGTTTCTGAGAATGCTTCCATCTAGTTTTTATGTGAAGATTTTCCTTTTCCACCACAGGCCTCAAAGCCCTCCAAATGTCCACTTGCAGATTCTAGAAAAAGAGGGTTTCAGAGCTGCTCTGTCAAGAGGAAAGTTCAATTCTTGAAGTGGAACACAAACATCACAAAGCAGTTTCTGAGAATGCTTCTGTTTAGTTTTTCTGTGAAGATGAACCCGTTTCCAACGAAATCTTCACAGAGGTCCACATATCCACTTGCAGAATCCAAAGAAAGAGAGTTTCAAAACTGCTCCATCAGCAGGATTGTTCACCTCTGTGAGTTGAATGCAGTCATCACAGGAAACATTCTGAGAATGCTTCTGTCAAGGTTTGATGTGAAGATATACCCGTTTCGAAGGAAGGCCACAAAGTGGTCCAAATATCCACTTGCAGATTCTACAAAAAGAGTGTTTGAAAGCTGAACTATGAAAGCAAGGTTCAACTCTGTGAGTTGAATGCAACCATCACAAAGAAGTTTCTCAGAATACTTCCGTGTAGTTCTGGGAAGTTTATCCCGTTTCCAACGAAATCCTCAGAGAAGTCCAAATATCCACTTGCAGATTCTACAGAAAGTGTGTTTGGAAACTGCTCCATCTAAAGGAATGTTCAGCTCTGTTAGTTCAATGCAATGATCACTAAGAATTGTCTGTGAATGCTTCCGTTTGGTTTTTAGATGAAGTTATTTCGTTTTCTACAGTAGGCCTCAAAGCAGTCCAAATCTCCAATCGCAGATTCTACAAAAAGATTGTTTACAACCTGCTCTATCTATAGGAATGTTCAACTCTGTGAGTCGAATGCAATCATCACAAAGTAGTTTCTGAGAATGCTTCCATCTAGTTTTTATGTGAAGATTTTCCTTTTCCACCACAGGCCTCAAAGCCCTCCAAATGTCCACTTGCAGATTCTAGAAAAAGAGGGTTTCAGAGCTGCTCTGTCAAGAGGAAAGTTCAATTCTTGAAGTGGAACAGAAACATCACAAAGCAGTTTCTGGGAATGCTTCTGTTTAGTTTTTCTGTGAAGATGAACCCGTTTCCAACGAAATCTTCACAGAGGTCCACATATCCACTTGCAGAATCCAAAGAAAGAGAGTTTCAAAACTGCTCCATCAACAGGATTGTTCACCTCTGTGAGTTGAATGCAGTCATCACAGGAAACATTCTGAGAATGCTTCTGTCTAGGTTTGATGTGAAGATATACCCGTTTCGAAGGAAGGCCACAAAGTGGTCCAAATATACACTTGCAGATTCTACAAAAAGAGTGTTTGAAAGCTGAACTATGAAAGCAAGGTTCAACTCTGTGAGTTGAATGCAAACATCACAAAGAAGTTTCTCAGAATGCTTCCGTGTAGTTCTGGGAATTTTATCCCGTTTCCAACGAAATCCTCACAGAGGTCCAAATATCCACTTGCAGATTCTACAGAAAGTGTGTTTGGAAACTGCGCCATCTAAAGGAATGTTCAGCTCTGTTAGTTCAATGCAATGATCACTAAGAATTGTCTGTGAATGCTTCCGTTTGGTTTTTAGATGAAGTTATTTCCTTTACTACAGTAGGCCTCAAAGCAGTCCAAATCTCCAATTGCAGATTCTACAAAAAGATTGTTTACAACCTGCTCTATCTATAGGAATGTTCAACTCTGTGAGTCGAATGCAATCATCACAAAGTAGTTTCTGAGAATGCTTCCATCTAGTTTTTATGTGAAGATTTTCCTTTTCCACCACAGGCCTCAAAGCCCTCCAAATGTCCACTTGCAGATTCTAGAAAAAGAGGGTTTCAGAGCTGCTCTGTCAAGAGGAAAGTTCAATTCTTGAAGTGGAACACAAACATCACAAAGTAGTTTCTGAGAATGCTTCTGTTCAGTTTTTCTGTGAAGATGAACCTGTTTCCAACGAAATCTTCAGAGAGGTCCACATATCAACTTGCAGAATCCAAAGAAAGAGAGTTTCAAAAGTGCCCCATCAACAGGATTGTTCACCTCTGTGAGTTGAATGCAGTCATCACAGGAAACATTCTGAGAATGCTTCTGTCTAGGTTTGATGTGAAGATATACCCTTTTCAAAGGAAGGCCACAAAGTGGTCCAAATATCCACTTGCAGATTCTACAAAAAGAGTGTTTGAAAGCTGAACTATGAAAGCAAGGTTCAACTCTGTGAGTTGAATGCAAACATCACAAAGAAGTTTCTCACAATGCTTCCGTGTAGTTCTGGGAAGTTTATCCCGTTTCCAACGAAATCCTCAGAGAGGTCCAAATATCCACTTGCAGATTCTACAGAAAGTGTGTTTGGAAACTGCTCCATATTAAAGGAATGTTCAGCTCTGTTAGTTCAATGCAATGATCACTAAGAATTGTCTGTGAATGCTTCCGTTTGGTTTTTAGATGAAGTTATTTCCTTTACTACAGTAGGCCTCAAAGCAGTCCAAATCTCCAATCGCAGATTCTACAAAAAGATTGTTTACAACCTGCTCTATGTATAGGAATGTTCAACTCTGTGAGTCGAATGCAATCATCACAAAGTAGTTTCTGAGAATGCTTCCATCTAGTTTTTATGTGAAGATTTTCCTTTTCCACCACAGGCCTCAAAGCCCTCCAAATATCCACTTGCAGATTCTAGAAAAAGAGGGTTTCAGAGCTGCTCTGTCAAGAGGAAAGTTCAATTCTTGAAGTGGAACACAAACATGACAATGCAGTTTCTGAGAATGCTTCTGTTTAGTTTTTCTGTGAAGATGAACCCGTTTCCAACGAAATCTTCACAGAGGTCCACATATCCACTTGCAGAATCCAAAGAAAGAGAGTTTCAAAACTGCTCCATCAGCAGGATTGTTCACCTCTGTGAGTTGAATGCAGTCATCACAGGAAACATTCTGAGAATGCTTCTGTCTAGGTTTGATGTGAAGATATACCCGTTTCGAAGGAAGGCCACAAAGTGGTCCAAATATCCACTTGCAGATTCTACAAAAAGAGTGTTTGAAAGCTGAACTATGAAAGCAAGGTTCAACTCTGTGAGTTGAATGCAAACATCACAAAGAAGTTTCTCACAATGCTTTCGTGTAGTTCTGGGAAGTTTATCCCGTTTCCAACGAAATCCTCAGAGAAGTCCAAATATCCACTTGCAGATTCTACAGAAAGTGTGTTTGGAAACTGCTCCATCTAAAGGAATGTTCAGCTCTGTTAGTTCAATCCAATGATCACTAAGAATTGTCTGTGAATGCTTCCGTTTGGTTGTTAGATGAAGTAATTTCCTTTACTACAGTAGGCCTCAAAGCAGTCCAAATCTCCCATCGCAGATTCTACAAAAAGATTGTTTACAACCTGCTCTATCTATAGGAATGTTCAACTCTGTGAGTCGAATGCAATCATCACAAAGAAGTTTCTGAGAATGCTTCCATCTAGTTCTTATGTGAAGATTTTCCTTTTCCACCACAGGCCTCAAAGCCCTCCAAATGTCCACTTGCAGTTTCTAGAAAAAGAGGGTTTCAGAGCTGCTCTGTCAAGAGGAAAGTTCAATTCTTGAAGTGGAACACAAACATCACAAAGCAGTTTCTGAGAATGCTTCCTGTTTAGTTTTTCTGTGAAGATGAACCCGTTTCCAACGAAATCTTCACAGAGGTCCACATATCCACTTGCAGAATCCAAAGAAAGAGAGTTTCAAAACTGCTCCATCAGCAGGATTGTTCACCTCTGTGAGTTGAATGCAGTCATCACAGGAAAACATTCTGAGAATGCTTCTGTCTAGGTTTGATGTGAAGATATACCCGTTTCGAAGGAAGGCCACAAAGTGGTCCAAATATCCACTTGCAGATTCTACAAAAAGAGTGTTTGAAAGCTGAACTATGAAAGCAAGGTTCAACTCTGTGAGTTGAATGCAAACATCACAAAGAAGTTTCTCACAATGCTTCCGTGTAGTTCTGGGAAGTTTATCCCTTTTCCAACGAAATCCTCAGAGAAGTCCAAATATCCACTTGCAGATTCTACAGAAAGTGTGTTTGGAAACTGCGCCATCTAAAGGAATGTTCAGCTCTGTTAGTTCAATGCAATGATCACTAAGAATTGTCTGTGAATGCTTCCGTTTGGTTTTTAGATGAAGTTATTTCCTTTACTACAGTAGGCCTCAAAGCAGTCCAAATCTCCAATCGCAGATTCTAGAAAAAGATTGTTTACAACCTGCTCTATCTATAGGAATGTTCAACTCTGTGAGTCGAATGCAATCATCACAAAGTAGTTTCTGAGAATGTTTCCATCTAGTTTTTATGTGAAGATTTTCCTTTTGCACCACAGGCCTCAAAGCCCTCCAAATGTCCACTTGCAGATTCTAGAAAAAGAGGGTTTCAGAGCTGCTCTGTCAAGAGGAAAGTTCAATTCTTGAAGTGGAACACAAACATCACAAAGCAGTTTCTGAGAATGCTCCTGTTAATTTTTCTGTGAAGATGAACCCGTTTCCAACGAAATCTTCACATAGTTCCACATATCCACTTGCAGAATCCAAAGAAAGGGAGTTTCAAAACGGCTCCATCAACAGGATTGTTCACCTCTGTGAGTTGAATGCAGTCATCACAGGAAACATTCTGAGAATGCTTCTGTCTAGGTTTGATGTGAAGATATACCCGTTTCGAAGGAAGGCCACAAAGTGGTCCAAATATCCACTTGCAGATTCTACAAAAAGAGAGTTTGAAAGCTGCACTATGAAAGCAAGGTTCAACTCTGTGAGTTGAATGCAAACATCACAAAGAAGTTTCTCAGCATGCTTCCGTGTAGTTCTGGGAAGTTTATCCCGTTTCCAACGAAATCCTCAGAGAAGTCCAAATATCCACTTGTAGATTCTACAGAAAGTGTGTTTGGAAACTGCTCCATCTAAAGGAATGTTCAGCTCTGTTAGTTCAATGCAATGATCACTAAGAATTGTCTGTGAATGCTTCCGTTTGGTTTTTAGATGAAGTTATTTCCTTTACTACAGTAGGCCTCAAAGCAGTCCAAATCTCCAATCGCAGATTCTACAAAAAGATTGTCTACAACCTGCTCTATTTATACGAATGTTCAACTCTGTGAGTCGAATGCAATCATCGCAAAGTAGTTTCTGAGAATGCTTCCATCTAGTTTTTATGTGAAGATTTTCCTTTTCCACCACAGGCCTCAAAGCCCTCCAAATGTCCACTTGCAGATTCTAGAAAAAGAGGGTTTCAGAGCTGCTCTGTCAAGAGGAAAGTTCAATTCTTGAAGTGGAACACAAACATCACAAAGTAGTTTCTGAGAATGCTTCTGTTTAGTTTTTCTGTGAAGATGAACCGGTTTCCAACGAAATCTTCACAGAGGTCCACATATCAACTTGCAGAATCCAAAGAAAGAGAGTTTCAAAAGTGCTCCATCAACAGGATTGTTCACCTCTGTGAGTTGAATGCAGTCATCACAGGAAACATTCTGATAATGCTTCTGTCTAGGTTTGATGTGAAGATATACCCGTTTCGAAGGAAGGTCACAAAGTGGTCCAAATATCCACTTGCAGATTCTACAAAAAGAGTGTTTGAAAGCTGAACCATGAAAGCAAGGTTCAACTCTGTGAGTTGAATGCAAACATCACAAAGAAGTTTCTCAGAATGCTTCCCGTGTAGTTCTGGGAAGTTTATCCCGTTTCCAACGAAATCCTCAGAGATGTCCAAATATCCACTTGCAGATTCTACAGAAAGTGTGTTTGGAAAATGCTCCATCTAAAGGAATGTTCAGCTCTGTTAGTTCAATGCAATGATCACTAAGAATTGTCTGTGAATGCTTCCGTTTCGTTTTTAGATGAAGTTATTTCCTTTACTACAGTAGGCCTCAAAGCAGTCCAAATCTCCAATCGCAGATTCTACAAAAAGATTGTTTACAACCTGCTCTATCTATAGGAATGTTCAACTCTGTGAGTCGAATGCAATCATCACAAAGTAGTTTCTGAGAATGCTTCCATCTAGCTTTTATGTGAAGATTTTCCTTTTCCACCACAGGCCTCAAAGCCCTCCAAATGTCCACTTGCAGATTCTAGAAAAAGAGGGTTTCAGAGCTGCTCTGTCAAGAGGAAAGTTCAATTCTTGAAGTGGAACACAAACATCACAAAGCAGTTTCTGAGAATGCTTCTGTTTAGTTTTTCTGTGAAGATGAACCCGTTTCCAACGAAATCTTCACAGAGGTCCACATATCCACTTGCAGAATCCAAAGAAAGGGAGTTTCAAAACTGCTCCATCAGCAGGATTGTTCACCTCTGTGAGTTGAATGCAGTCATCACAGGAAACATTCTGAGAATGCTTCTGTCTAGGTTTGATGTGAAGATATACCCGTTTCGAAGGAAGGCCACAAAGTGGTCCAAATATCCACTTGCAGATTCCACAAAAAGAGTGTTTGAAAGCTGAACTATGAAAGCAAGGTTCAACTCTGTGAGTTGAATGCAAACATCACAGAGAAGTTTCTCACAATGCTTCCGTGTAGTTCTGGGAAGTTTATCCCGTTTCCAACGAAATCCTCAGAGAAGTCCAAATATCCACTTGCAGATTCTACAGAAAGTGGGTTTGGAAACTGCTCCATCTAAAGGAATGTTCAGCTCTGTTAGTTCAATCCAATGATCACTAAGAATTGTCTGTGAATGCTTCCGTTTGGTTTTTAGATGAAGTTATTTCCTTTACTACAGTAGGCCTCAAAGCAGTCCAAATCTCCAATCGCAGATTCTACAAAAAGATTGTTTACAACCTGCTCTATCTATAGGAATGTTCAACTCTGTGAGTCGAATGCAGTCATCACAAAGTAGTTTCTGAGAATGCTTCCATCTAGTTTTTATGTGAAGATTTTCCTTTTCCACCACAGGCCTCAAAGCCCTCCAAATGTCCACTTGCAGATTCTAGAAAAAGAGGGTTTCAGAGCTGCTCTGTCAAGAGGAAAGTTCAATTCTTGAAGTGGAACACAAACATCACAAAGCAGTTTCTGAGAATGCTCCTGTTTAGTTTTTCTGTGAAGATGAACCCGTTTCCAACGAAATCTACACAGAGATCCACATATCCACTTGCACAATCCAAAGAAAGAGAGTTTCAAAACTGCTCCATCAGCAGGATTGTTCACCTCTGTGAGTTGAATGCAGTCATCACAGGAAACATTCTGAGAATGCTTCTGTCTAGGTTTGATGTGAAGATATACCCGTTTCGAAGGAAGGCCACAAAGTGGTCCAAATATCCACTTGCAGATTATACAAAAGGAGTGTTTAAAAGCTGAACTATGAAAGCAAGGTTCAACTCTGTGAGTTGAATGCAAACATCACAAAGAAGTTTC
Organism: Homo sapiens; assembly: GCF_000001405.40. Taxonomy (NCBI): domain Eukaryota; kingdom Metazoa; phylum Chordata; class Mammalia; order Primates; family Hominidae; genus Homo; species Homo sapiens. Next base: position 54,140,221 of record NC_000011.10, on the reverse strand, counting down.
TCACAATGCTTCCGTGTAGTTCTGGGAAGTTTATCCCGTTTCCAACGAAATCCTCAGAGAAGTCCAAATATCCACTTGCAGATTCTACAGAAAGTGTGTTTGGAAACTGCGCCATCTAAAGGAATGTTCAGCTCTGTTAGTTCAATGCAATGATCACTAAGAATTGTCTGTGAATGCTTCCGTTTGGTTTTTAGATGAAGTTATTTCCTTTACTACAGTAGGCCTCAAAGCAGTCCAAATCTCCAATCGCAGATTCTACAAAAAGATTGTTTACAACCTGCTCTATGTATAGGAATGTTCAACTCTGTGAGTCGAATGCAATCATCACAAAGTAGTTTCTGAGAATGCTTCCATCTAGTTTTTATGGGAAGATTTTCCTTTTCCACCACAGGCCTCAAAGCCCTCCAAATGTCCACTTGCAGATTCTAGAAAAAGAGGGTTTCAGAGCTGCTCTGTCAAGAGGAAAGTTCAATTCTTGAAGTGGAACACAAACATCACAAAGCAGTTTCTGAGAATGCTCCTGTTTAGTTTTTCTGTGAAGATGAACCCGTTTCCAACGAAATCTTCACAGAGGTCCACATATCCACCTGCAGAATCCAAAGAAAGAGAGTTTCAAAACTGCTCCATCAACAGGATTGTTCACCTCTGTGAGTTGAATGCAGTCATCACAGGAAAACATTCTGAGAATGCTTCTGTCTAGGTTTGATGTGAAGATATACCCGTTTCGAAGGAAGGCCACAAAGTGGTCCAAATATCCACTTGCAGATTCTATAAAAAGAGTGTTTGAAAGCTGAACTATGAAAGCAAGGTTCAACTCTGTGAGTTGAATGCAGACATCACAAAGAAGTTTCTCACAATGCTTCCGTGTAGTTCTGGGAAGTTTATCCCTTTTCCAACGAAATCCTCAGAGAAGTCCAAATATCCACTTGCAGATTCTACAGAAAGTGTGTTTGGAAACTGCTCCATCTAAAGGAATGTTCAGCTCTGTTAGTTCAAAGCAATGATCACTAAGAATTGTCTGTGAATGCTTCCGTTTGGTTTTTAGATGAAGTTATTTCCTTTACTAGAGTAGGCCTCAAAGCAGTCCAAATCTCCAATCGCAGATTCTACAAAAAGATTGTTTACAACCTGCTCTATCTATAGGAATGTTCAACTATGTGAGTCGAATGCAATCATCACAAAGTAGTTTCTGAGAATGCTTCCATCTAGTTTTTATGTGAAGATTTTCCTTTTCCACCACAGGCCTCAAAGCCCTCCAAATGTCCACTTGCAGATTCTAGAATAAGAGGGTTTCAGAGCTGCTCGGTCAAGAGGAAAGTTCAATTCTTGAAGTGGAACACAAACATCACAAAGCAGTTTCGGAGAATGCTTCTGTTTAGTTTTTCTGTGAAGATGAACCCGTTTCCAACGAAATCTTCACAGAGGTCCACATATCAACCTGCAGAATCCAAAGAAAGAGAGTTTCAAAACTGCTCCATCAACAGGATTGTTCACCTCTGTGAGTTGAATGCAGTCATCACAGGAAACATTCTGAGAATGCTTCTGTCTAGGTTTGATGTGAAGATATACCCGTTTCGAAGGAAGGCCACAAAGTGGTCCAAATATCCACTTGCAGATTGTACAAAAAGAGTGTTTGAAAGCTGAACTATGAAAGCAAGGTTCAACTCTGTGAGTTGAATGCAAACATCACAAAGAAGTTTCTCAGAATGCTTCCGTGTAGTTCTGGGAAGTTTATCCCGTTTCCAACGAAATCCTCAGAGAAGTCCAAATATCCACTTGCAGATTCTACAGAAAGTGTGTTTGGAAACTGCGCCATCTAAAGGAATGTTCAGCTCTGTTAGTTCAATGCAATGATCACTAAGAATTGTCTGTGAATGCTTCCGTTTGGTTTTTAGATGAAGTTATTTCCTTTACTACAGTAGGCCTCAAAGCAGTCCAAATCTCCAATCGCAGATTCTACAAAAAGATTGTTTACAACCTGCTCTATCTAAAGGAATGTTCAACTCTGTGAGTCGAATGCAATCATCACAAAGTAGTTTCTGAGAATGCTTCCATCTAGTTTTTATGTGAAGATTTTCCTTTTCCACCACAGGCCTCAAAGCCCTCCAAATGTCCACTTGCAGATTCTAGAAAAAGAGGGTTTCAGAGCTGCTCTTTCAAGAGGAAAGTTCAATTCCTGAAGTGGAACACAAACATCACAAAGCAGTTTCTGAGAATGCTTCTGTTTAGTTTTTCTGTGAAGATGAACCCGTTTCCAACGAAATCTTCACAGAGGTCCACATATCCACTTGCAGAATCCAAAGAAAGAGAGTTTCAAAACTGCTCCATCAGCAGGATTGTTCACCTCTGTGAGTTGAATGCAGTCATCACAGGAAACATTCTGAGAATGCTTCTGTCTAGGTTTGATGTGAAGATATACCCTTTTCAAAGGAAGGCCACAAAGTGGTCCAAATATCCACTTGCAGATTCTACAAAAAGAGTGTTTGAAAGCTGAACTATGAAAGCAAGGTTCAACTCTGTGAGTTGAATGCAAACATCACAAAGAAGTTTCTCACAATGCTTCCGTGTAGTTCTGGGAAGTTTATCCCGTTTCCAACGAAATCCTCAGAGAAGTCCAAATATCCACTTGCACATTCTACAGAAAGTGTGTTTGGAAACTGCTCCATCTAAAGGAATGTTCAGCTCTGTTAGTTCAATGCAATGATCACTAAGAATTGTCTGTGAATGCTTCCGTTTGGTTTTTAGATGAAGTTATTTCCTTTACTACAGTAGGCCTCAAAGCAGTCCAAACCTCCAATCGCAGATTCTACAAAAAGATTGTTTACAATCTGCTCTATCTATAGGAATGTTCAACTCTGTGAGTCGAATGCAATCATCACAAAGTAGTTTCTGAGAATGCTTCCATCTAGTTTTTATGGGAAGATTTTCCTTTTCCACCACAGGCCTCAAAGCCCTCCAAATGTCCACTTGCAGATTCTAGAAAAAGAGGGTTTCAGAGCTGCTCTGTAAAGAGGAAAGTTCAATTCTTGAAGTGGAACACAAACATCACAAAGCAGTTTCTGAGAATGCTTCTGTTCAGTTTTTCTGTGAAGATGAACCCGTTTCCAACGAAATCTTCACAGAGGTCCACATATCCACTTGCAGAATCCAAAGAAAGAGAGTTTCAAAACTGCTCCATCAGCAGGATTGTTCACCTCTGTGAGTTGAATGCAGTCATCACAGGAAACATTCTGAGAATCCTTCTGTCTAGGTTTGATGTGAAGATATACCCGTTTCGAAGGAAGGCCAGAAAGTGGTCCAAATATCCACTTGCAGATTCTACAAAAAGAGTGTTTGAAAGCTGAACTATGAAAGCAAGGTTCAACTCTGTGAGTTGAATGCAAACATCACAAAGAAGTTTCTCAGAATGCTTCCGTGTAGTTCTGGGAAGTTTATCCCGTTTCCAACGAAATCCTCAGAGAAGTCCAAATATCCACTTGCAGATTCTACAGAAAGTGGGTTTGGCAACTGCTCCATCTAAAGGAATGTTCAGCTCTGTTAGTTCAATCCAATGATCACTAAGAATTGTCTGTGAATGCTTCCGTTTGGTTTTTAGATGAAGTTATTTCCTTTACTACAGTAGGCCTCAAAGCAGTCCAAATCTCCAATCGCAGATTCTACAAAAAGATTGTTTACAACCTGCTCTATCTATAGGAATGTTCAACTCTGTGAGTCGAATGCAATCATCACAAAGTAGTTTCTGAGAATGCTTCCATCTAGTTTTTATGTGAAGATTTTCCTTTTCCACCACAGGCCTCAAAGCCCTCCAAATGTCCACTTGCAGATTCTAGAAAAAGAGGGTTTCAGAGCTGCTCTGTCGAGAGGAAAGTTCAATTCTTGAAGTGGAACACAAACATCACAAAGCAGTTTCTGAGAATGCTTCTGTTTAGTTTTTCTGTGAAGATGAACCCGTTTCCAACGAAATCTTCACAGAGGTCCACATATCCACTTGCAGAATCCAAAGAAAGAGAGTTTCAAAACTGCTCCATCAGCAGGATTGTTCACCTCTGTGAGTTGAATGCAGTCATCACAGGAAACATTCTGAGAATGCTTCTGTCTAGGTTTGATGTGAAGATATACCCGTTTCGAAGGAAGGCCACAAAGTGGTCCAAATATCCACTTGCAGATTCTACAAAAAGAGTGTTTGAAAGCTGAACTATGAAAGCAAGGTTCAACTCTGTGAGTTGAATGCAAACATCACAAAGAAGTTTCTCAGAATGCTTCCGTGTAGTTCTGGGAAGTTTATCCCGTTTCCAACGAAATCCTCAGAGAAGTCCAAATATCGACTTGCAGATTCTACAGAAAGTGTGTTTGGAAACTGTGCCATCTAAGGGAATGTTCAGCTCTGTTAGTTCAATCCAATGATCACTAAGAATTGTCTGTGAATGCTTCCGTTTGGTTTTTAGATGAAGTTATTTCCTTTACTACAGTAGGCCTCAATGCAGTCCAAATCTCCAATCGCAGATTCTACAAAAAGATTGTTTACAACCTGCTCTATCTATAGGAATGTTCAACTCTTTGAGTCGAATGCAATCATCACAAAGTAGGTTCTGAGAATGCTTCCATCTAGTTTTTATGTGAAGATTTTCCTTTTCCACCACAGGCCTCAAAGCCCTCCAAATGTCCACTTGCAGATTCTAGAAAAAGAGGGTTTCAGAGCTGCTCTGTCAAGAGGAAAGTTCAATTCTTGAAGTGGAACACAAACATCACAAAGCAGTTTCTGAGAATGCTCCTGTTTAGTTTTTCTGTGAAGATGAACACGTTTCCAACGAAATCTTCACAGAGGTCCACATATCCACTTGCAGAATCCAAAGAAAGAGAGTTTCAAAACTGCTCCATCAGCAGGATTGTTCACCTCTGTGAGTTGAATGCAGTCATCACAGGAAACATTCTGAGAATGCTTCTGTCTAGGTTTGATGTGAAGATATACCCGTTTCGAAGGAAGGCCACAAAGTGGTCCAAATATACACTTGCATATTCTACAAAAAGAGTGTTTGAAAGCTGAACTATGAAAGCAAGGTTCAACTCTGTGAGTTGTATGCAAACATCACAAAGAAGTTTCTCAGAATGCTTCCGTGTAGTTCTGGGAAGTTTATCCCGTTTCCAACGAAATCCTCAGAGAAGTCCAAATATCCACTTGCAGATTCTACAGAAAGTGTGTTTGGAAAATGCTCCATCTAAAGGAATGTTCAGCTCTGTTAGTTCAATGCAATGATCACTAAGAATTGTCTGTGAATGCTTCCGTTTGGTTTTTAGATGAAGTTATTTCCTTTACTACAGTAGGCCTCAAAGCAGTCCAAATCTCCAATCGCAGATTCTACAAAAAGATTGCTTACAACCTGCTCTATCTATAGGAATGTTCAACTCTGTGAGTCGAATGCAATCATCACAAAGTAGTTTCTGAGAATGCTTCCATCTAGTTTTTATGTGAAGATTTTCCTTTTCCACCACAGGCCTCAAAGCCCTCCAAATGTCCACTTGCAGATTCTAGAAAAAGAGGGTTTCAGAGCTGCTCTGTCAAGAGGAAAGTTCAATTCTTGAAGTGGAACACAAACATCACAAAGCAGTTTCTGAGAATGCTCCTGTTTAGTTTTTCTGTGAAGATGAACCCGTTTCCAACGAAATCTTCACAGAGGTCCACATATCCACTTGCACAATCCAAAGAAAGAGAGTTTCAAAACTGCTCCATCAGCAGGATTGTTCACCTCTGTGAGTTGAATGCAGTCATCACAGGAAACATTCTGAGAATGCTTCTGTCTAGGTTTGATGTGAAGATATACCCGTTTCGAAGGAAGGCCACAAAGTGGTCCAAATATCCACTTGCAGATTCTACAAAAAGAGTGTTTGAAAGCTGAACTATGAAAGCAAGGTTCAACTCTGTGAGTTGAATGCAAACATCACAAAGAAGTTTCTCAGAATGCTTCCGTGTAGTTCTGGGAAGTTTTCCCGTTTCCAACGAAATCCTCAGAGAAGTCCAAATATCCACTTGCAGATTCTACAGAAAGTGTGTTTGGAAACTGCTCCATCTAAAGGAATGTTCAGCTCTGTTAGTTCAATCCAATGATCACTAAGAATTGTCTGTGAATGCTTCCGTTTGGTTTTTAGATGAAGTTATTTCCTTTACTACAGTAGGCCTCAAAGCAGTCCAAATCTCCAATCGCAGATTCTACAAAAAGATTGTTTACAACCTGCTCTATCTATAGGAATGTTCAACTCTGTGAGTCGAATGCAATCATCACAAAGTAGTTTCTGAGAATGCTTCCATCTAGTTTTTATGTGAAGATTTTCCTTTTCCACCACAGGCCTCAAAGCCCTCCAAATGTCCACTTGCAGATTCTAGAAAAAGAGGGTTTCAGAGCTGCTCTGTCAAGAGGAAAGTTCAATTCTTGAAGTGGAACACAAACATCACAAAGTAGTTTCTGAGAATGCTCCTGTTTAGTTTTTCTGTGAAGATGAACCCGTTTCCAACGAAATCTTCACAGAGGTCCACATATCCACTTGCAGAATCCAAAGAAAGGGAGTTTCAAAACTGCTCCATCAGCAGGATTGTTCACCTCTGTGAGTTGAATGCAGTCATCACAGGAAACATTCTGCGAATGCTTCTGTCTAGGTTTGATGTGAAGATATACCCGTTTCGAAGGAAGGCCACAAAGTGGTCGAAATATCCACTTGCAGATTCTACAAAAAGAGTGTTTGAAAGCTGAACTATGAAAGCAAGGTTCAACTCTGTGAGTTGAATGCAAACATCACAAAGAAGTTTCTCAGAATGCTTCCGTGTAGTTCTGGGAAGTTTATCCCGTTTCCAACGAAATCCTCAGAGAAGTCCACATATCCACTTGCAGATTCTACAGAAAGTGTGTTTGGAAACTGCACCATCTAAAGGAATGTTCAGCTCTGTTAGTTCAATGCAATGATCACTAAGAATTGTCTGTGAATGCTTCCGTTTGGTTTTTAGATGAAGTTATTTCCTTTACTACAGTAGGCCTCAAAGCAGTCCAAATCTCCAATCGCAGATTCTACAAAAAGATTGTTTACAACCTGCTCTATCTATAGGAATGTTCACCTCTGTGAGTCGAATGCAATCATCACAAAGTAGTTTCTGAGAATGATTCCATCTAGTTTTTATGTGAAGATTTTCCTTTTCCACCACAGGCCTCAAAGCCCTCCAAATGTCCACTTGCAGATTCTAGAAAAATAGGGTTTCAGAGCTGCTCTGTCAAGAGGAAAGTTCAATTCTTGAAGTGGAACACAAACATCACAAAGCAGTTTCTGAGAATGCTTCTTTTTAGTTTTTCTGTGAAGATGAACCCGTTTCCAACGAAATCTTCACAGAGGTCCACATATCCACTTGCAGAATCCAAAGAAAGAGAGTTTCAAAACTGCTCCATCAGCAGGATTGTTCACCTCTGTGAGTTGAATGCAGTCATCACAGGAAACATTCTGAGAATGCTCCTGTTTAGTTTTTCTGTGAAGATGAACCCGTTTCGAAGGAAGGCCCCAAAGTGGTCCAAATATCCACTTGCAGATTCTACAAAAAGAGTGTTTGAAAGCTGAACTTGGAAAGCAAGGTTCAACTCTGTGAGTTGAATGCAAACATCACAAAGAAGTTTCTCAGAATGCTTCCGTGTAGTTCTGGGAAGTTTATCCCGTTTCCAACGAAATCCTCAGAGAAGTCCAAATATCCACTTGCAGATTCTGCAGAAAGTGTGTTTGGAAACTGCGCCATCTAAAGGAATGTTCAGCTCTGTTAGTTCAATCCAATGATCACTAAGAATTGTCTGTGAATGCTTCCGTTTGGTTTTTAGATGAAGTTATTTCCTTTACTACAGTTGGCCTCAAAGCATTCCAAATCTCCAATCGCAGATTCTACAAAAAGATTGTTTACAACCTGCTCTATCTATAGGAATGTTCAACTCTGTGAGTCGAATGCAATCATCACAAAGTAGTTTCTGAGAATGCTTCCATCTAGTTTTTATGTGAAGATTTTCCTTTTCCACCACAAGGCCCCAAAGCCCTCCAAATGTCCACTTGCAGATTCTAGAAAAAGAGGGTTTCAGAGCTGCTCTGTCAAGAGGAAAGTTCAATTCTTGAAGTGGAACACAAACATCACAAAGCAGTTTCTGAGAATGCTTCTGTTTAGTTTTTCTGTGAAGATGAACCCGTTTCCAACGAAATCTTCACAGAGGTCCACATATCCACTTGCAGAATCCAAAGAAAGGGAGTTTCAAAACTGCTCCATCAGCAGGATTGTTCACCTCTGTGAGTTGAATGCAGTCATCACAGGAAACATTCTGAGAATGCTTCTGTCTAGGTTTGATGTGAAGATATACCCGTTTCGAAGGAAGGCCACAAAGTGGTCCAAATATCCACTTGCAGATTCTACAAAAAGAGTGTTTGAAAGCTGAACTATGAAAGCAAGGTTCAACTCTGTGAGTTGAATGCAAACATCACAAAGAAGTTTCTCACAATGCTTCCGTGTAGTTCTGGGAAGTTTATCCCTTTTCCAACGAAATCCTCAGAGAAGTCCAAATATCCACTTGCAGATTCTACAGAAAGTGTGTTTGGAAACTGCTCCATCTAAAGGAATGTTCAGCTCTGTTAGTTCAATCCAATGATCACTAAGAATTGTCTGTGAATGCTTCCGTTTGGTTTTTAGATGAAGTTATTTCCTTTACTACAGTAGGCCTCAAAGCATTCCAAATGTCCAATCGCAGATTCTACAAAAAGATTGTTTACAACCTGCTCTATCTATAGGAATGTTCAACTCTGTGAGTCGAATGCAATCATCACAAAGCAGTTTCTGAGAATGCTTCCATCTAGTTTTTATGTGAAGATTTTCCTTTTCCACCACAGGCCTCAAAGCCCTCCAAATGTCCACTTGCAGATTCTAGAAAAAGAGGGTTTCAGAGCTGCTCTGTCAAGAGGAAAGTTCAATTCTTGAAGTGGAACACAAACATCACAAAGCAGTTTCTGAGAATGCTTCTGTTTAGTTTTTCTGTGAAGATGAACCCGTTTCCAACGAAATCTTCACAGAGGTCCACATATCCACTTGCAGAATCCAAAGAAAGAGAGTTTCAAAACTGCTCCATCAGCAGGATTGTTCACCTCTGTGAGTTGAATGCAGTCATCACAGGAAACATTCTGAGAATGCTTCTGTCCAGGTTTGATGTGAAGATATAACCGTTTCGAAGGAAGGCCACAAAGTGGTCCAAATATCCATTGGAGATTCTACAAAAAGAGTGTTTGAAAGCTGAACTATGAAAGCAAGGTTCAACTCTGTGAGTTGAATGCAAACATCAGAAAGAAGTTTCTCAGCATGCTTCCGTGTAGTTCTGGGAAGTTTATCCCGTTTCCAACGAAATCCTCAGAGTGGTCCAAATATCCACTTGCAGATTCTACAGAAAGTGTGTTTGGAAACTGCGCCATCTAAAGCAATGTTCAGCTCTGTTAGTTCAATGCAATGATCACTAAGAATTGTCTGTGAATGCTTCCGTTTGGTTTTTAGATGAAGTTATTTCCTTTACTACAGTAGACCTCAAAGCAGTCCAAATCTCCAATCGCAGATTCTACAAAAAGATTGTTTACAACCTGCTCTATCTATAGGAATGTTCAACTCTGTGAGTCGAATGCAATCATCACAAAGTAGTTTCTGAGAATGCTTCCATCTAATTTTTATGTGAAGATTTTCCTTTTCCACCAGAGGCCTCAAAGCCCTCCAAATGTCCACTTGCAGATTCTAGAAAAAGAGGGTTTCAGAGCTGCTCTGTCAAGAGGAAAGTTCAATTCTTGAAGTGGAACACAAACATCACAAAGCCGTTTCTGAGAATGCTTCTGTTTAGTTTTTCTGTGAAGATGAACCCGTTTCCAACGAAATCTTCACAGAGGTCCACATATCCACTTGCAGAATCCAAAGAAAGAGAGTTTCAAAACTGCTCCATCAGCAGGATTGTTCACCTCTGTGAGTTGAATGCAGTCATCACAGGAAACATTCTGAGAATGCTTCTGTCTAGGTTTGATGTGAAGATATAGCCTTTTCGAAGGAAGGCCACAAAGTGGTCCAAATATCCACTTGCAGATTCTACAAAAAGAGTGTTTGAAAGCTGAACTATGAAAGCAAGGTTCAACTCTGTGAGTTGAATGCAAACATCACAAAGAAGTTTCTCACAATGCTTCCGTGTAGTTCTGGGAAGTATATCCCGTTTCCAACGAAATCCTCAGAGAGGTCCAAATATCCACTTCCAGATTCTACAGAAAGTGGGTTTGGAAACTGCTCCAAATAAAGGAATGTTCAGCTCTGTTAGTTCAATCCAATGATCACTAAGAATTGTCTGTGAATGCTTCCGTTTGGTTTTTAGATGAAGTTATTTCCTTTACTACAGTAGGCCTCAAAGCAGTACAAATCTCCAATCGCAGATTCTACAAAAAGATTGTTTTCACCCTGCTCTATCTATAGGAATGTTCAACTCTGTGAGTCGAATGAAATCATCACAAAGTAGTTTCTGAGAATGCTTCCATCTAGTTTTTATGTGAAGATTTTCCTTTTCCACCACAGGCCTCAAAGCCCTCCAAATGTCCACTTGCAGATTCTAGAAAAAGAGGGTTTCAGAGCTGCTCTGTCAAGAGGAAAGTTCAATTCTTGAAGTGGAACACAAACATCACAAAGCAGTTTCTGAGAATGCTCCTGTTTAGTTTTTCTGTGAAGATGAACCCGTTTCCAACGAAATCTTCACACAGGTCCACATATCCACTTGCAGAATCCAAAGAAAGAGAGTTTCAAAACTGCTCCATCAGCAGGATTGTTCACCTCTGTGAGTTGAATGCAGTCATCACAGGAAACATTCTGAGAATGCTTCTGTCTAAGTTTGATGTGAAGATATACCCGTTTCGAAGGAAGGCCACAAAGTGGTCCAAATATCCACTTGCAGATTCTACAAAAAGAGTGTTTGAAAGCTGAACTATGAAAGCAAGGTTCAACTCTGTGAGTGGAATGCAAACATCACAAAGAAGTTTCTCACAATGCTCCGTGTAGTTCTGGGAAGTTTATCCCGTTTCCAACGAAATCCTCAGAGAAGTCCAAATATCCACTTGCAGATTCTACAGAAAGTGTGTTTGGAAACTGCTCCATCTAAAGGAATGTTCAGCTCTGTTAGTTCAATCCAATGATCACTAAGAATTGTCTGTGAATGCTTCCGTTTGGTTTTTAGATGAAGTTATTTCCTTTACTACAGTAGGCCTCAAAGCAGTCCAAATCTCCAATCGCAGATTCTACAAAAAGATTGTTTACAACCTGCTCTATCTATAGGAATGTTCAACTCTGTGAGTCGAATGCAATCATCACAAAGTAGTTTCTGAGAATGCTTCCATCTAGTTTTTAAGTGAAGATTTTCCTTTTCTTCTACAGGCCTCAAAGCCCTCCAAATGTCCACTTGCAGATTCTAGAAAAAGAGGGTTTCAGAGCTGCTCTGTCAAGAGGAAAGTTCAGTTCTTCAAGTGGAACACAAACATCACAAAGCAGTTTCTGAGAATGCTCCTGTTTAGTTTTTCTGTGAAGATGAACCCGTTTCCAACGAAATCTTCACAGAGGTCCACATATCCACTTGCAGAATCCAAAGAAAGAGAGTTTCAAAACTGCTCCATCAACAGGATTGTTCACATGTGTGAGTTGAATGCAGTCATCACAGGAAACATTCTGAGAATGCTTCTGTCTAGGTTTGATGTGAAGATATACCCGTTTCGAAGGAAGGCCACAAAGTGGTCCAAATATCCACTTGCAGATTCTACAAAAAGAGTGTTTGAAAGCTGAACTATGAAAGCAAGGTTCAACTCTGTGAGTTGAATGCAAACTTCACAAAGAAGTTTCTCACAATGCTTCCCTGTAGTTCTGGGAAGTTTATCCCGTTTCCAACGAAATCCTCAGAGAAGTCCAAATATCCACTTGCAGATTCTACAGAAAGTGGGTTTGGAAACTGCTCCATCTAAAAGAATGTTCAGCTCTGTTAGTTCAATGCAATGATCACTAAGAATTGTCTGTGAATGCTTCCGTTTGGTTTTTAGATGAAGTTATTTCCTTTACTACAGTAGGCCTCAAAGCAGTCCAAATCTCCAATCGCAGATTCTACAAAAAGATTGTTTACAACCTGCTCTATCTATAGGAATGTTCAACTATGTGAGTAGAATGCAATCATCACAAAGTAGTTTCTGAGAATGCTTCCATCTAGTTTTTATGTGAAGATTTTCCTTTTCCACCACAGGCCTCAAAGCCCTCCAAATGTCCACTTGCAGATTCTAGAAAAAGAGGGTTTCAGAGCTGCTCTGTCAAGAGGAATGTTCAATTCTTGAAGTGGAACACAAACATCACAAAGCAGTTTCTGAGAATGTTCCTGTTTAGTTTTTCTGTGAAGATGAACCCGTTTCCAACGAAATCTTCACAGAGGTCCACATATCCACTTGCAGAATCCAAAGAAGGAGAGTTTAAAAACTGCTCCATCAGCAGGATTGTTCACCTCTGTGAGTTGAATGCAGTCATCACAGGAAACATTCTGAGAATGCTTCTGTCTAGGTTTGATGTGAAGATATACCCGTTTCGAAGGAAGGCCACAAAGTGGTCCAAATATCCACTTGCAGATTCTACAAAAAGAGTGTTTGAAAGCTGAACTATGAAAGCAAGGTTCAACTCTGTGAGTTGAATGCAAACATCACAAAGAAGTTTCTCAGAATGCTTCCGTGTAGTTCTGGGAAGTTTAACCCGTTTCCAACGAAATCCTCAGAGAGGTCCAAATATCCACTTGCAGATTCTACAGAAAGTGTGTTTGGAAACTGCTCCATCTAAAGGAATGTTCAGCTCTGTTAGTTCAATCCAATGATCACTAAGAATTGTCTGTGAATGCTTCCGTTTGGTTTTTAGATGAAGTTATTTCCTTTACTACAGTAGGTCTCAAAACAGTCCAAATATCCAATCGCAGATTCTACAAAAAGATTGTTTACAACCTGCTCTATCTATAGGAATGTTCAACTCTGTGAGTCGAATGCAATCATCACAAAGTAGTTTCTGAGAATGCTTCCATCTAGTTTTTATGTGAAGATTTTCCTTTTCCACCACAGGCCTCAAAGCCCTCCAAATGTCCACTTGCAGATTCTAGAATAAGAGGATTTCAGAGCTGCTCTGTCAAGACGAAAGTTCAATTCCTGAAGTGGAACACAAACATCACAAAGCAGTTTCTGAGAATGCTTCTGTTTAGTTTTTCTGTGAAGATGAACCCGTTTCCAACGAAAATCTTCACAGAGGTCCACATATCCACTTGCAGAATCCAAAGAAGGAGAGTTTCAAAACTGCTCCATCAGCAGGATTGTTCACCTCTGTGAGTTGAATGCAGTCATCACAGGAAACATTCTGAGAATGCTTCTGTCTAGGTTTGATGTGAAGATATACCCGTTTCGAAGGAAGGCCACAAAGTGGTCCAAATATCCACTTGCAGATTCTACAAAAAGAGTGTTTGAAAGATGAACTATGAAAGCAAGGTTCAACTCTGTGAGTTGAATGAAAACATCACAAAGAAGTTTCTCACAATGCTTCCGTGTAGTTCTGGGAAGTTTATCCCGTTTCCAACGAAATCCTCAGAGAAGTCCAAATATCCACTTGCAGATTCTACAGAAAGTGTGTTTGGAAACTGCTCCATCTAAAGGAATGTTCAGCTCTGTTAGTTCAATCCAATGATCACTAAGAATTGTCTGTGAATGCTTCCGTTTGGTTTTTAGATGAAGTTATTTCCTTTACTACAGTAGGCCTCAAAGCAGTCCAAATCTCCAATCGCAGATTCTACAAAAAGATTGTTTACAACCTGCTCTATCTATAGGAATGTTCAACTCTGTGAGTCGAATGCAATCATCACAAAGTAGTTTCTGAGAATGCTTCCATCTAGTTTTTATGTGAAGATTTTCCTTTTCCACCACAGGCCTCAAAGCCCTCCAAATGTCCACTTGCAGATTCTAGAAAAAGAGGGTTTCAGAGCTGCTCTGTCAAGAGGAAAGTTCAATTCTTGAAGTGGAACACAAACATCACAAAGCAGTTTCTGAGAATGCTTCTGCTTAGTTTTTCTGTGAAGATGAACCCGTTTCCAATGAAATCTTCCCAGAGGTCCACATATGAACTTGCAGAATCCAAAGAAAGAGAGTTTCAAAACTGCTCCATCAACAGGATTGTTCACCTCTGTGAGTTGAATGCAGTCATCACAGGAAACATTCTGAGAATGCTTCTGTCTAGGTTTGATGTGAAGATATACCCGTTTCGAAGGATGGCCACAAAGTGGTCCAAATATCCACTTGCAGATTCTACAAAAAGAGTGTTTGAAAGCTGAACTATGAAAGCAAGGTTCAACTCTGTGAGTTGAATGCAAACATCACAAAGAAGTTTCTCAAAATGCTTCCGTGTAGTTCTGGGAAGTATATCCCGTTTCCAACGAAATCCTCAGCAGAGGTCCAAATATCCACTTGCAGATTCTACAGAAAGTGTGTTTGGAAACTGCGCCATCTAAAGGAAAGTTCAGCTCTGTTAGTTCAATGCAATGATCACTAAGAATTGTCTGTGAATGCTTCCGTTTGGTTTTTAGATGAAGTTATTTCCTTTACTACAGTAGGCCTCAAAGCAGTCCAAATCTCCAATCGCAGATTCTACAAAAAGATTGTTTACAACCTGCTCTATCTATAGGAATGTTCAACTCTGTGAGTCGAATGCAATCATCACAAAGTAGTTTCTGAGAATGCTTCCATCTAGTTTTTATGTGAAGATTTTCCTTTTCCACCACAGGCCTCAAAGCCCTCCAAATGTCCACTTGCAGATTCTAGAATAAGAGGGTTTCAGAGCTGCTCTGTCAAGAGGAAAGTTCAATTCCTGAAGTGGAACACAAACATCACAAAGCAGTTTCTGAGAATGCTCCTGTTTAGTTTTTCTGTGAAGATGAACCCGTTTCCAACGAAATCTTCACAGAGGTCCACATATCCACTTGCAGAATCCAAAGAAAGAGAGTTTCAAAACTGCTCTATCAGCAGGATTGTTCACCTCTGTGAGTTGAATGCAGTCATCACAGGAAACATTCTGCGAATTCTTCTGTCTAGGTTTGATGTGAAGATATACCCGTTTCGAAGGAAGGCCACAAAGTGGTCCAAATATCCACTTGCAGATTCTACAAAAAGAGGGTTTGAAAGCTGAACTATGAAAGCAAGGTTCAACTCTGTGAGTTGAATGCAAACATCACAAAGAAGTTTCTCAGAATGCTTCCCTGTATTTCTGGGAGGCATATCCCTTTTCCAACGAAATCCTCAGAGAAGTCCAAATATCCACTTGCAGATTCTACAGAAAGTGGGTTTGGAAACTGCTCCATCTAAAGGAATTTTCAGCTCTGTTAGTTCAATCCAATGATCACTAAGAATTTTGTGTGAATGCTTCCGTTTGGTTTTTAGATGAAGTTATTTCCTTTACTACAGTAGACTTCAAAGCAGTCCAAATCTCCAATCGCAGATTCTACAAAAAGATTGTTTACAACCTGCTCTATCTATAGGAATGTTCAACTCTGTGAGTCGAATGCAATCATCACAAAGTAGTTTCTGAGAATGCTTCCATCTAGTTTTTATGTGAAGATTTTCCTTTTCCACCACAGGCCTCAAAGCCCTCCAAATGTCCACTTGCAGATTCTAGAAAAAGAGGGTTTCAGAGCTGCTCTGTCAAGAGGAAAGTTCAATTCTTGAAGTGGAACACAAACATCACAAAGTAGTTTCTGAGAATGCTCCTGTTTAGTTTTTCTGTGAAGATGTACCCGTTTCCAACGAAATCTTCACAGAGTTCCACATATCCACTTGCAGAATCCAAAGAAAGAGAGTTTCAAAACTGCTCCAACAGCAGGATTGTTCACCTCTGTGAGTTGAATGCAGTCATCACAGGAAACATTCTGAGAATGCTTCTGTCTAGGTTTGATGTGAAGATATACCCGTTTCAAAGGAAGGCCACAAAGTCGTCCAAATATCCACTTGCAGATTCTACAAAAAGAGTGTTTGAAAGCTGAACTATGAAAGCAAGGTTCAACTCTGTGAGTTGAATGCAAACATCACAAAGAAGTTTCTCAGAATGCTTCCGTGTAGTTCTGGGAAGTTTATCCCGTTTCCAACGAAATCCTCAGAGAAGTCCAAATATCCACTTGCAGATTCTACAGAAAGTGTGTTTGGAAACTACGCCATCTAAAGGAATGTTCAGCTCTGTTAGATCAATGCAATTATCACTAAGAATTGTCTGTGAATGCTTCCGTTTGGATTTTAGATGAAGTTATTTCCTTTACTACAGTAGGCCTCAAAGCAGTCCAAATCTCCAATCGCAGATTCTACAAAAAGATTGTTTACAACCTGCTCTATCTATAGGAATGTTCAACTCTGTGAGTCGAATGCAATCATCACAAAGTAGTTTCTGAGAATGCTTCCATCTAGTTTTTATGTGAAGATTTTCCTTTTCCACCACAGGCCTCAAAGCCCTCCAAATGTCCACTTGCAGATTCTAGAATAAGAGGGTTTTAGAGCTGCTCTGTCAAGAGGAAAGTTCAATTCCTGAAGTGGAACACAAACATCACAAAGCAGTTTCTGAGAATGCTCCTGTTTAGTTTTTCTGTGAAGATGAACCCGTTTCCAACGAAATCTTCACAGAGGTCCACATATCCACTTGCAGAATCCAAAGAAAGAGAGTTTCAAAACTGCTCCATCAGCAGGATTGTTCACCTCTGTGAGTTGAATGCAGTCATCAGAGGAAACATTCCGAGAATGCTTCTGTCTAGGTTTGATGTGAAGATATTCCCGTTTCGAAGGAAGGCCACAAAGTGGTCCAAATATCCACTTGCAGATTCTACAAAAAGAGTGTTTGGAAGCTGAACTATGAAAGCAAGGTTCAAGTCTGTGAGTTGAATGCAACATCACAAAGAAGTTTCTGAGAATGCTTCTGTGCAGTTCTGGGAATTTATCCCGTTTCCAACGAAATCCTCAGAGAGTTCCCAATATCCACTTGCAGATTCTACAGAAAGTGTGTTTGGAAACTGCGCCATCTAAAGGAATGTTCAGCTCTCTTAGTTCAATCCAATGATCACAAAGAATTTTCTGTGAATGCTTCCGTTTGGTTTTTAGATGAAGTTATTTCCTTTACTACAGTAGGCCTCAAAGCAGTCCAAATCTCCAATCGCAGATTCTACAAAAAGATTGTTTACAACCTGCTCTATCTATAGGAATGTTCAACTCTGTGAGTCGAATGCAATCATCACAAAGTAGTTTCTGAGAATGCTTCCATCTAGTTTTTATGTGAAGATTTTCCTTTTCCACCACAGGCCTCAAAGCCCTCCAAATGTCCACTTGCAGATTCTAGAATAAGAGGGTTTCAGAGCTGCTCTGTCAAGAGGAAAGTTCAATTCCTGAAGTGGAACACAAACATCACAAAGCAGTTTCTGAGAATGCTCCTGTTTAGTTTTTCTGTGAAGATGAACCCGTTTCCAACGAAATCTTCACAGAGGTCCACATATCCACTTGCAGAATCCAAAGAAAGAGAGTTTCAAAACTGCTCCATCAGCAGGATTGTTCACCTCTGTGAGTTGAATGCAGTCATCACAGGAAACATTCTGAGAATGCTTCTGTCTAGGTTTGATGTGAAGATATACCCGTTTCGAAGGAAGGCCACAAAGTGGTCCAAATATCCACTTGCAGATTCTACAAAAAGAGTGTTTGAAAGCTGAACTATGAAAGCAAGGTTCAACTCTGTGAGTTGAATGCAAACATCACAAAGAAGTTTCTCAGAATGCTTCCGTGTAGTTCTGGGAAGTTTATCCCGTTTCCAACGAAATCCTCAGAGAGGTCTTAATATCCACTTGCAGATTCTACAGAAAGTGTGTTTGGAAACTGCGCCATCTAAAGGAATGTTCAGCTCTGTTAGTTCAATCCAATGATCAGTAAGAATTGTCTGTGAATGCTTCCGTTTGGTTTTTAGATGAAGTTATTTCCTTTACTACAGTAGGCCTCAAAGCAGTCCAAATCTCCAATCGCAGATTCTACAAAAAGATTGTTTACAACCTGCTCTATGTATAGGAATGTTCAACTCTGTGAGTCGAATGCAATCATCACAAAGTAGTTTCTGAGAATGCTTCCATCTAGTTTTTATGGGAAGATTTTCCTTTTCCACCACAGGCCTCAAAGCCCTCCAAATGTCCACTTGTAGATTCTAGAAAAAGAGGGTTTCAGAGCTGCTCTGTCAAGAGGAAAGTTCAATTCTTGAAGTGGAACACAAACATCACAAAGCAGTTTCTGAGAATGCTCCTGTTTAGTTTTTCTGTGAAGATGAACACGTTTCCAACGAAATCTTCACAGAGGTCCACATATCCACTTGCAGAATCCAAAGAAAGAGAGTTTCAAAACTGCTCCATCAGCAGGATTGTTCACCTCTGTGAGTTGAATGCAGTCATCACAGGAAATATTCTGAGAATGCTTCTGTCTAGGTTTGATGTGAAGATATACCCGTTTCGAAGGAAGGCCACAAAGTGGTCCAAATATCCACTTGCAGATTCTACAAAAAGAGTGTTTGAAAGCTGAACTCTGAAAGCAAGGTTCAACTCTGTGAGTTGAATGCAAACATCACAAAGAAGTTTCTCAGAATGCTTCCGTGTAGTTCTGGGAAGTTTATCCCGTTTCCAACGAAATCCTCAGAGAAGTCCAAATATCCACTTGCAGATTCTACAGAAAGTGTGTTTGGAAACTGCGCCATCTAAAGGAATATTCAGCTCTGTTAGTTCAATGCAATGATCACTAAGAATTGTCTGTGAATGCTTCCGTTTGGTTTTTAGATGAAGTTATTTCCTTTACTACAGTAGGCCTCAAAGCAGTCCAAATCTCCAATCGCAGATTCTACAAAAAGATTGTTTACAACCTGCTCTATCTATAGGAATGTTCAACTCTGTGAGTCGAATGCAATCATCACAAAGTAGTTTCTGAGAATGCTTCCATCTAGTTTTTATGTGAAGATTTTCCTTTTCCACCACAGGCCTCAAAGCCCTCCAAATGTCAACTTGCAGATTCTAGAATAAGAGGGTTTCAGAGCTGCTCTGTCAAGAGGACAGTTCAATTCCTGAAGTGGAACACAAACATCACAAAGCAGTTTCTGAGAATGCTCCTGTTTAGTTTTTCTGTGAAGATGAACCCGTTTCCAACGAAATCTTCACAGAGGTCCACATATCCACTTGCAGAATCCAAAGAAAGAGAGTTTCAAAACTGCTCCATCAGCAGGATTGTTCACCTCTGTGAGTTGAATGCAGTCATCACAGGAAACATTCTGAGAATGCTTATCTGTCTAGGTTTGATGTGAAGATATACCCGTTTCGAAGGAAGGCCACAAAGTGGTCCAAATATCCACTTGCAGATTCTACAAAAAGAGTGTTTGAAAGCTGAACTATGAAAGCAAGGTTCAACTCTGTGAGTTGAATGCAAACATCACAAAGAAGTTTCTCAGAATGCTTCCGTGTAGTTCTGGGAAGTTTATCCCGTTTCCAACGAAATCCTCAGAGAGGTCCAAATATCCACTTGCAGATTCTACAGAAAGTGTGTTTGGAAACTGCTCCATCTAAAGGAATGTTCAGCTCTGTTAGTTCAATCCAATGATCACTAAGAATTGTCTGTGAATGCTTCCGTTTGGTTTTTAGATGAAGTTATTTCCTTTACTACAGTAGGCCTCAAAGCAGTCCAAATCTCCAATCGCAGATTCTACAAAAAGATTGTTTACAACCTGCTCTATCTATAGGAATGTTCAACTCTGTGAGTCGAATGCAATCATCACAAAGTAGTTTCTGAGAATGCTTCCATCTAGTTTTTATGTGAAGATTTTCCTTTTCCACCACAGGCCTCAAAGCCCTCCAAATGTCCACTTGCAGATTCTAGAATAAGAGGGTTTCAGAGCTGCTCTGTCAAGAGGAAAGTTCAATTCCTGAAGTGGAACACAAACATCACAAAGCAGTTTCTGAGAATGCTTCTGTTTAGTTTTTCTGTGAAGATGAACCCGTTTCCAACGAAATCTTCACAGAGGACCACATATTCACTTGCAGAATCCAAAGAAGGAGAGTTTCAAAACTGCTCCATCAGCAGGATTGTTCACCTCTGTGAGTTGAATGCAGTCATCACAGGAAACATTCTGAGAATGCTTCTGTCTAGGTTTGATGTGAAGATATAGCCGTTTCGAAGGAAGGCCACAAAGTGGTCCAAATATCCACTTGCAGATTCTACAAAAAGAGTGTTTGAAAGCTGAACTATGAAAGCAAGGTTCAACTCTGTGAGTTGAATGCAAACATCACAAAGAAGTTTCTCACAATGCTTCCGTGTAGTTCTGGGAATTTTATCCCGTTTCCAACGAAATCCTCAGAGAGGTCCAAATATCCACTTGCAGATTCTACAGAAAGTGTGTTTGGAAACTGCTCCATCTAAAGCAATGTTCAGCTCTGTTAGTTCAATGCAATGATCACTAAGAATTGTCTGTGAATGCTTCCGTTTGGTTTTTAGATGAAGTTATTTCCTTTAGTACAGTAGGCCTCAAAGCAGTCCAAATCTCTAATCGCAGATTCTACAAAAAGATTGTTTACAACCTGCTCTCCCTATAGGAATGTTGAACTCTGTGAGTCGAATGCAATCATCACAAAGTAGTTTCTGAGAATGCTTCCATCTAGTTTTTATGTGAAGATTTTCCTTTTCCACCACAGGCCTCAAAGCCCTCCAAATGTCCACTTGCAGATTCTAGAAAAAGAGGGTTTCAGAGCTGCTCTGTCAAGAGGAAAGTTCAATTCTTGAAGTGGAACACAAACATCACAAAGCAGTTTCTGAGAATGCTCCTGTTTAGTTTTTCTGTGAAGATGAACCCGTTTCCAACGAAATCTTCACAGAGGTCCACATATCCACTTGCAGAATCCAAAGAAAGAGAGTTTCAAAACTGCTCCATCAGCAGGATTGTTCACCTCTGTGAGTTGAATGCAGTCATCACAGGAAACATTCTGAGAATGCTTCTGTCTAGGTTTGATGTGAAGATATACCCGTTTCGAAGGAAGGCCACAAAGTGGTCCAAATATCCACTTGCAGATTCTACAAAAAGAGTGTTTGAAAGCTGAACTATGAAAGCAAGGTTCAACTCTGTGAGTTGAATGCAAACATCACAAAGAAGTTTCTCAGAATGCTTCCGTGTAGTTCTGGGAAGTTTATCCCGTTTCCAACGAAATCCTCAGAGAAGTCCAAATATCCACTTGCAGATTCTACAGAAAGTGGGTTTGGAAACTGCTCCATCTAAAGGAATGTTCAGCTCTGTTAGTTCAATCCAATGATCACTAAGAATTGTCTGTGAATGCTTCCGTTTGGTTTTTAGATGAAGTTATTTCCTTTACTACAGTAGGCCTCAAAGCAGTCCAAATCTCCAATCTCAGATTCTACAAAAAGATTGTTTACAACCTGCTCTATCTATAGGAATGTTCAACTCTGTGAGTCGAATGCAATCATCAAAAAGTAGTTTCTGAGAATGCTTCCATCTAGTTTTTATGTGAAGATTTTCCTTTTCCACCACAGGCCTCAAAGCCCTCCAAATGTCCACTTGCAGGTTCTAGAAAAAGAGGGTTTCAGAGCTGCTCTGTCAAGAGGAAAGTTCAATTCTTGAAGTGGAACACAAACATCACAAAGCAGTTTCTGAGAATACTCCTGTTTAGTTTTTCTGTGAAGATGAACCCGTTTCCAACGAAATCTTCACAGAGGTCCACATATCCACTTGCAGAATCCAAAGAAAGAGAGTTTCAAAAGTGCTCCATCAACAGGATTGTTCACCTCTGTGAGTTGAATGCAGTCATCACAGGAAACATTCTGAGAATGCTTCTGTCTAGGTTTGATGTGAAGATATACCCGTTTCGAAGGAAGGCCACAAAGTGGTCCAAATATCCACTTGCAGATTCTACAAAAAGAGTGTTTGAAAGCTGAACTATGAAAGCAAGGTTCAACTCTGTGAGTTGAATGCAAACATCACAAAGATGTTTCTCACAATGCTTCCGTGTAGTTCTGGGAAGTTTATCCCGTTTCCAACGAAATCCTCAGAGAAGTCCAAATATCCACTTGCAGATTCTACAGAAAGTGTGTTTGGAAACTGCTCCACCTAAAGGAATGTTCAGCTCTGTTAGTTCAATCCAATGATCACTAAGAATTGTCTGTGAATGCTTCCGTTTGGTTTTTAGATGAAGTTATTTCCTTTACTACAGTAGGCCTCAAAGCAGTCCAAATCTCCAATCGCAGATTCTACAAAAAGATTGTTTACAACCTGCTCTATCTATAGGAATGTTCAACTCTGTGAGTCGAATGCAATCATCACAAAGTAGTTTCTGAGAATGCTTCCATCTAGTTTTTATGTGAAGATTTTCCTTTTCCACCACAGGCCTCAAAGCCCTCCAAATGTCCACTTGCAGATTCTAGAAAAAGAGGGTTTCAGAGCTGCTCTGTCAAGAGGAAAGTTCAATTCCTGAAGTGGAACACAAACATCACAAAGCAGTTTCTGAGAATGCTTCTGTTTAGTTTTTCTGTGAAGATGAACCCGTTTCCAACGAAATCTTCACAGAGGTCCACATATCCACTTGCAGAATCCAAAGAAAGAGAGTTTCAAAACTGCTCCATCAGCAGGATTGTTCACCTCTGTGAGTTGAATGCAGTCATCACAGGAAACATTCTGAGAATGCTTCTGTCGAGGTTTGATGTGAAGATATACCCGTTTCGAAGGAAGGCCACAAAGTGGTCCAAATATCCACTTGCAGATTCTACAAAAAGAGTGTTTGAAAGCTGAACTATGAAAGCAAGGTTCAACTCTGTGAGTTGAATGCAAACATCACAAAGAAGTTTCTCAGAATGCTTCCGTGTAGTTCTGGGAAGTTTATCCCGTTTCCAAAGAAATCCTCAGAGAGGTCCAAATATCCACTTGCAGATTCTACAGAAAGTGTGTTTGGAAACTGCTCCATCTAAAGGAATGATCAGCTCTGTTAGTTCAATCCAATGATCACTAAGAATTGTCTCTGAATGCTTCCGTTTGGTTTTTAGATGAAGTTATTTCCTTTACTACAGTAGGCCTCAAAGCAGTCCAAATCTCCAATCGCAGATTCTACAAAAAGATTGTTTACAACCTGCTCTATCTATAGGAATGTTCAACTCTGTGAGTCGAATGCAATCATCACAAAGTAGTTTCTGAGAATGCTTCCATCTAGTTTTTATGTGAAGATTTTCCTTTTCCACCACAGGCCTCAAAGCCCTCCAAATGTCCACTTGCAGACTCTAGAAAAAGAGGGTTTCAGAGCTGCTCTGTCAAGAGGAAAGTTCAATTCTTGAAGTGGAACAGAAACATCACAAAGCAGTTTCTGAGAATGCTTCTGTTTAGTTTTTCTGTGAAGATGAACCCGTTTCCAACGAAATCTTCACAGAGGTCCACATATCCACTTGCAGAATCCAAAGAAAGAGAGTTTCAAAACTGCTCCATCAGCAGGATTGTTCACCTCTGTGAGTTGAATGCAGTCATCACAGGAAACATTCTGGGAATGCTTCTGTCAAGGTTTGATGTGAAGATATACCCGTTTCGAAGGAAGGCCACAAAGTGGTCCAAATATCCACTTGCAGATTCTACAAAAAGAGTGTTTGAAAGCTGAACTATGAAAGCAAGGTTCAACTCTGTGTGTTGAATGCAAACATCACAAAGAAGTTTCTCACAATGCTTCCGTGTAGTTCTGGGAAGTTTATCCCTTTTCCAACGAAATCCTCAGAGAAGTCCAAATATCCACTTGCAGATTCTACAGAAAGTGGGTTTGGAAACTGCGCCATCTAAAGGAATGTTCAGCTCTGTTAGTTCAATCCAATGATCACTAAGAATTGTCTGTGAATGCTTCCGTTTGGTTTTTAGATGAAGTAATTTCCTTTACTACAGTAGGCCTCAAAGCAGTCCAAATCTCCAATCGCAGATTCTACAAAAAGATTGTTTACAACCTGCTCTATCTATAGGAATGTTCAACTCTGTGAGTCGAATGCAATCATCACAAAGAAGTTTCTGAGAATGCTTCCATCTAGTTTTTATGTGAAGATTTTCCTTTTCCACCACAGGCCTCAAAGCCCTCCAAGTGTCCACTTGCAGATTCTAGAAAAAGAGGGTTTCAGAGCTGCTCTGTCAAGAGGAAAGTTCAATTCTTGAAGTGGAACACAAACATCACAAAGTAGTTTCTGAGAATGCTTCTGTTTAGTTTTTCTGTGAAGATGAACCCGTTTCCAACGAAATCTTCACAGAGGTCCACATATCCACATGCAGAATCCAAAGAAAGAGAGTTTCAAAACTGCTCCATCAGCAGGATTGTTCACCTCTGTGAGTTGAATGCAGTCATCACACGAAACATTCTGAGAATGCTTCTGTCTAGGTTTGATGTGAAGATATACCCGTTTCGAAGGAAGGCCACAAAGTGGTCCAAATATCCACTTGCAGATTCTACAAAAAGAGTGTTTGAAAGCTGAACTATGAAAGCAAGGTTCAACTCTGTGAGTTGAATGCAAACATCACAAAGAAGTTTCTCACAATGCTTCCCTGTAGTTCTGGGAAGTTTATCCCGTTTCCAACGAAATCCTCAGAGAAGTCCAAATATCCACTTGCAGATTCTACAGAAAGTGTGTTTGGAAACTGCTCCATCTAAAGGAATGTTCAGCTCTCTTAGTTCAATCCAATGATCACTAAGAATTGTCTGTGAATGCTTCCGTTTGGTTTTCAGATGAAGTTATTTCCTTTACTACAGTAGGCCTCAAAGCAGTCCAAATCTCCAATCGCAGATTCTACAAAAAGATTGTTTACAATCTGCTCTATCTATAGGAATGTTCAACTCTGTGAGTCGAATGCAATCATCACAAAGTAGTTTCTGAGAATGCTTCCATCTAGTTTTTATGTGAAGATTTTCCTTTTCCACCACAGGCCTCAAAGCCCTCCAAATGTCCACTTGCAGATTCTAGAAAAAGAGGGTTTCAGAGCTACTCTGTCAAGAGGAAAGTTCAATTCCTGAAGTGGAACACAAACATCACAAAGCAGTTTCTGAGAATGCTCCTGTTTAGTTTTTCTGTGAAGATGAACCCGTTTTCCAACGAAATCTTCACAGAGGTCCACATATCCACTTGCAGAATCCAAAGAAAGAGAGTTTCAAAACTGCTCCATCAGCAGGATTGTTCACCTCTGTGAGTTGAATGCAGTCATCACAGGAAACATTCTGAGAATGCTTCTGTCTAGGTTTGATGTGAAGATATACCCGTTTCGAAGGAAGGCCACAAAGTGGTCCAAATATCCACTTGCAGATTCTACAAAAAGAGTGTTTGAAAGCTGAACTATGAAAGCAAGGTTCAACTCTGTGAGTTGAATGCAAACATCACAAAGAAGTTTCTCAGAATGCTTCCGTGTAGTTCTGGGAAGTTTATCCCGTTTCCAACGAAATCCTCAGAGAAGTCCAAATATCCACTTGCAGATTCTACAGAAAGTGGGTTTGGCAACTGCTCCATCTAAAGGAATGTTCAGCTCTGTTAGTTCAATGCAATGATCACTAAGAATTGTCTGTGAATGCTTCCGTTTGGTTTTTAGATGAAGTTATTTCCTTTACTACAGTAGGCCTCAAAGCAGTCCAAATCTCCAATCGCAGATTCTACAAAAAGATTGTTTACAACCTGCTCTATCTATAGGAATGTTCAACTCTGTGAGTCGAAAGCCATCATCACAAAGTAGTTTCTGAGAATGCTTCCATCTAGTTTTTATGTGAAGATTTTCCTTTTCCACCACAGACCTCAAAGCCCTCCAAATGTCCACTTGCAGATTCTAGAAAAAAAGAAGGGTTTCAGAGCTGCTCTGTCAAGAGGAAAGTTCAATTCTTGAAGTGGAACACAAACATCACAAAGCAGTTTCTGAGAATGCTTCTGTTTAGTTTTTGTGTGAAGATGAACACGTTTCCAACGAAATCTTCACAGAGGTCCACATATCAACTTGCAGAATCCAAAGAAAGAGAGTTTCAAAACTGCTCCATCAACAGGATTGTTCACCTCTGTGAGTTGAATGCAGTCATCACAGGAAACATTCTGAGAATGCTTTTGTCTAGGTTTGATGTGAAGATATACCCGTTTCGAAGGAAGGCCACAAAGTGGTCCAAATATTCACTTGCAGATTCTACGAAAAGAGTGTTTGAAAGCTGAACGATGAAAGCAAGGTTCAACTCTGTGTGTTGAATGCAAACATCACAAAGAAGTTTCTCAGAATGCTTCCGTGTAGTTCTGGGAAGTTTATCCCGTTTCCAACGAAATCCTCAGAGAAGTCCAAATATCCACTTGCAGATTCTACGGAAAGTGTGTTTGGAAACTGCTCCATCTAAAGGAATGTTCAGCTCTGTTAGTTCAATCCAATGATCACTAAGAATTGTCTGTGAATGCTTCCGTTTGGTTTTTAGATGAAGTAATTTCCTTTACTACAGTAGGCCTCAAAGCAGTCCAAATCTCCAATCGCAGATTCTACAAAAAGATTGTTTACAACCTGCTCTATCTATAGGAATGTTCAACTCTGTGAGTCGAATGCAATCATCACAAAGAAGTTTCTGAGAATGCTTCCATCTAGTTTTTATGTGAAGATTTTCCTTTTCCACCACAGGCCTCAAAGCCCTCCAAATGTCCACTTGCAGATTCTAGAATAAGAGGGTTTCAGAGCTGCTCTGTCAAGAGGAAAGTACAATTCCTGAAGTGGAACACAAACATCACAAAGCAGTTTCTGAGAATGCTCCTGTTTAGTTTTTCTGTGAAGATGAACCCGTTTCCAACGAAATCTTCACAGAGGTCCACATATCCACTTGCAGAATCCAAAGAAAGAGAGTTTCAAAACTGCTCCATCAGCAGGATTGTTCACCTCTGTGAGTTGAATGCAGTCATCACAGGAAACATTCTGAGAATGCTTCTGTCTAGGTTTGATGTGAAGATATACCCGTTTCGAAGGAAGGCCACAAAGTGGTCCAAATATCCACTTGCAGATTCTACAAAAAGAGTGTTTGAAAGCTGAACTATGAAAGCAAGGTTCAACTCTGTGAGTTGAATGCAAACATCACAAAGAAGTTTCTCAGAATGCTTCCGTGTAGTTCTGGGAAGTTTATCCCGTTTCCAACGAAATCCTCAGAGAAGTCCAAATATCCACTTGCAGATTCTACAGAAAGTGGGTTTGGAAACTGCTCCATCTAAAGGAATGTTCAGCTCTGTTAGTTCAATCCAATGATCACTAAGAATTGTCTGTGAATGCTTCCGTTTGGTTTTTAGATGAAGTTATTTCCTTTACTACAGTAGGCCTCAAAGCAATCCAAATCTCCAATCGCAGATTCTACAAAAACATTGTTTACAACCTGCTCTATCTATAGGAATGTTCAACTCTGTGAGTCGAATGCAATCATCACAAAGTAGTTTCTGAGAATGCTTCCATAAAGTTTTTATGTGAAGATTTTCCTTTACCACCACAGGCCTCAAAGCCCTCCAAATGTCCACTTGCAGATTCTAGAAAAAGAGGGTTTCAGAGCTGCTCTGTCAAGAGGAAAGTTCAATTCTTGAAGTGGAACACAAACATCACAAAGCAGTTTCTGAGAATGCTCCTGTTTAGTTTTTCTGTGAAGATGAACCCGTTTCCAACGAAATCTTCACAGAGGTCCTCATATCCACTTGCAGAATCCAAAGAAAGAGAGTTTCAAAACTGTTCCATCAGCAGGATTGTTCACCTCTGTGAGTTGAATGCAGTCATCACAGGAAACATTCTGAAAATGCTTCTGTCTAGGTTTGATGTGAAGATATACCCGTTTCGAAGGAAGGCCACAAAGTGGTCCAAATATCCACTTGCAGATTCTACAAAAAGAGTGTTTGAAAGCTGAACTATGAAAGCAAGGTTCAACTCTGTGAGTTGAATGCAAACATCACAAAGAAGTTTCTCAGAATACTTCCGTGTAGTTCTGGGAAGTTTATCCCGTTTCCAACGAAATCCTCAGAGAGGTCCAAATATCCACTTGCAGATTCTACAGAAAGTGTGTATGGAAACTGCTCCACCTAAAGGAATGTTCAGCTCTGTTAGTTCAATCCAATGATCACTAAGAATTGTCTGTGAATGCTTCCGTTTGGTTTTTAGATGAAGTTATTTCCTTTACTACAGTAGGCCTCAAAGCAGTCCAAATCTCCAATCGCAGATTCTACAAAAAGATTGTTTAAAACCTGCTCTATCTATAGGAATGTTCAACTCTGTGAGTCGAATGCAATCATCACAAAGTAGTTTCTG
Source organism: Homo sapiens (assembly GCF_000001405.40). Classification (NCBI taxonomy): domain Eukaryota; kingdom Metazoa; phylum Chordata; class Mammalia; order Primates; family Hominidae; genus Homo; species Homo sapiens. Next base: position 54,111,825 of record NC_000011.10, on the reverse strand, counting down.
AGAATGCTTCCATCTAGTTTTTATGTGAAGATTTTCCTTTTCCACCACAGGCCTCAAAGCCCTCCAAATGTCCACTTGCAGATTCTAGAATAAGAGGGTTTCAGAGCTGCTCTGTCAAGAGGAAAGTTCAATTCCTGAAGTGGAACACAAACATCACAAAGCAGTTTCTGAGAATGCTCCTGTTTAGTTTTTCTGTGAGGATGAACCCGTTTCCAACGAAATCTTCACAGAGGTCCACATATCCACTTGCAGAATCCAAAGAAAGAGAGTTTCAAAACTGCTCCATCAGCAGGATTGTTCACCTCTGTGAGTTGAATGCAGTCATCACAGGAAACATTCTGAGAATGCTTCTGTCTAGGTTTGATGTGAAGATATACCCGTTTCGAAGGAAGGCCACAAAGTGGTCCAAATATCCACTTGCAGATTCTACAAAAAGAGTGTTTGAAAGCTGAACTATGAAAGCAAGGTTCAACTCTGTGAGTTGAATGCAAACATCACAAAGAAGTTTCTCAGAATGCTTCCGTGTAGTTCTGGGAAGTTTAGCCCTTTTCCAACGAAATCCTCAGAGAGGTCCAAATATCCACTTGCAGATTCTACAGAAAGTGTGTTTGGAAACTGTGCCATCTAAAGGAATGTTCAGCTCTGTTAGTTCAATCCAATGATCACTAAGAATTTTCTGTGAATGCTTCCGTTTGGTTTTTAGATGAAGTTATTTCCTTTACTACAATAGGCCTCAAAGCAGTCCAAATCTCCAATTGCAGATTCTACAAAAAGATTGTTTACAACCTGCTCTATCTATAGGAATGTTCAACTCTGTGAGTCGAATGCAATCATCACAAAGTAGTTTCTGAGAATGCTTCCATCTAGTTTTTATGGGAAGATTTTCCTTTTCCACCACAGGCCTCAAAGCCCTCCAAATGTCCACTTGCAGATTCTAGAAAAAGAGGGTTTCAGAGCTGCTCTGTCAAGAGGAAAGTTCAATTCTTGAAGTGGAACACAAACATCACAAAGCAGTTTCTGAGAATGCTTCTGTTTAGTTTTTCTGTGAAGATGAACCCGTTTCCAACGAAATCTTCACAGAGGTCCACATATCCACTTGCAGAATCCAAAGAAAGAGAGTTTCAAAACTGCTCCATCAGCAGGATTGTTCACCTCTGTGAGTTGAATGCAGTCATCACAGGAAATATTCTGAGAATGCTTCTGTCTAGGTTTGATGTGAAGATATACCCTTTTCGAAGGAAGGCCACAAAGTGGTCCAAATATCCACTTGCAGATTCTACAAAAAGAGTGTTTGAAAGCTGAACTATGAAAGCAAGGTGCAAATCCTGTGAGTTGAATGCAAACATCACAAAGAAGTTTCTCAGAATGCTTTCCGTGTAGTTCTGGGAAGTTTATCCCGTTTCCAACGAAATCCTCAGAGAGGTCCAAATATCCACTTGCAGATTCTACAGAAAGTGTGTTTGGAAACTACGCCATCTAAAGGAATGTTCAGCTCTGTTAGATCAATGCAATGATCACTAAGAATTGTTTGTGAATGCTTCCGTTTGGTTTTTAGATGAAGTTATTTCCTTTACTACAGTAGGCCTCAAAGCAGTCCAAATCTCCAATCGCAGATTCTACAAAAAGATTGTTTTCAACCTGCTCTATCTATACGAATGTTCAACTCTGTGAGTCGAATGCAATCATCAGAAAGTAGTTTCTGAGAATGCTTCCATCTAGTTTTTATGTGAAGATTTTCCTTTTCCACCACAGGCCTCAAAGCCCTCCAAATGTCCACTTGCAGATTCTAGAAAAAGAGGGTTTCAGAGCTGCTCTGTCAAGAGGAAAGTTCAATTCTTGAAGTGGAACACAAACATCACAAAGTAGTTTCTGAGAATGCTTCTGTTTAGTTTTTCTGTGAAGATGAAACCGTTTCCAACGAAATCTTCACAGAGGTCCACATATCAACTTGCAGAATCCAAAGAAAGAGAGTTTCAAAAGTGCTCCATCTACAGGATTGTTCACCTCTGTGAGTTGAATGCAGTCATCACAGGAAACATTCTGAGAATGCTTCTGTCAAGGTTTGATGTGAAGATATACCCGTTTCCAAGGAAGGCCACAAAATGGTCCAAATATCCACTTGCAGATTCTACAAAAAGAGTGTTTGAAAGCTGAACTATGAAAGCAAGGTTCAACTCTGTGAGTTGAATGCAACCATCACGAAGAAGTTTCTCAGAATACTTCCGTGTAGTTCTGGGAAGTATATCCCGTTTCCAACGAAATCCTCAGAGAGGTCCAAATATCCACTTGCAGATTCTACAGAAAGTGGGTTTGGAAACTGCTCCATCTAAAGGAATCTTCAGCTCTGTTAGTTCAATCCAATGATCACTAAGCATTGTCTGTGAATGCTTCCGTTTGGTTTTTAGATGAGGTTATTTCCTTTACTACAGTAGACCTCAAAGCAGTCCAAATCTCCAATCGCAGATTCTACAAAAAGATTGTTTACAACCTGCTCTCTCTATAGGAATGTTCAACTCTGTGAGTCGAATGCAATCATCACAAAGTAGTTTCTGAGAATGCTTCCATCTAGTTTTTATGTGAAGATTTTCCTTTTCCACCACAGGCCTCAAAGCCCTCCAAATGTCCACTTGCAGATTCTAGAAAAAGAGGGTTTCAGAGCTGCTCTGTCAAGAGGAAAGTTCAATTCTTGAAGTGGAACACAAACATCACAAAGCAGTTTCTGAGAATGCCTCTGTTTAGTTTTTCTGTGAAGATGAACCCGTTTCCAACGAAATCTTCACAGAGGTCCACATATCCACTTGCAGAATCCAAAGAAAGAGATTTTCAAAACTGCTCCATCAGCAGGATTGTTCACCTCTGTGAGTTGAATGCAGTCATCACAGGAAACATTCTGAGAATGCTTCTGTCTAGGTTTGATGTGAAGATATACCCGTTTCGAAGGAAGGCCACAAAGTGGTCCAAATATCCACTTGCAGATTCTACAAAAAGAGTGTTTGAAAGCTGAACTATGAAAGCAAGGTTCAACTCTGTGAGTTGAATGCAAACATCACAAAGAAGTTTCTCACAATGCTTCCGTGTAGTTCTGGGAAGTTTATCCCGTTTCCAACGAAATCCTCAGAGAGGTCCAAATATCCACTTGCAGATTCTACAGAAAGTGTGTTTGGAAACTGCGCCATCTAAAGGAATGTTCAGCTCTGTTAGTTCAATGCAATGATCACTAAGAATTGTCTGTGAATCCTTCCGTTTGGTTTTTAGATGAAGTTATTGCCTTTACTACAAGTAGGCCTCAAAGCAGTCCAAATCTCCAATCGCAGATTCTACAAAAAGATTGTTTACAACCTGCTCTATCTATAGGAATGTTCAACTCTGTGAGTCGAATGCAATCATCACAAAGTAGTTTCTGAGAATGCTTCCATCTAGTTTTTATGTGAAGATTTTCCTTTTGCACCACAGGCCTCAAAGCCCTCCAAATGTCCACTTGCAGATTCTAGAAAAAGAGGGTTTCAGAGCTGCTCTTTCAAGAGGAAAGTTCAATTCTTGAAGTGGAACACAAACATCACAAAGCAGTTTCTGAGAATGCTTCTGTTTAGTTTTTCTGTGAAGATGAACCCGTTTCCAACGAAATCTTCACAGAGGTCCACATATCCACTTGCAGAATCCAAAGAAAGAGAGTTTCAAAACTGCTCCATCAGCAGGATTGTTCACCTCTGTGAGTTGAATGCAGTCATCACAGGAAACATTCTGAGAATGCTTCTGTATAGGTTTGATGTGAAGATATACCCGTTTCGAAGGAAGGCCACAAAGTGGTCCAAATATCCACTTGCAGATTCTACAAAAAGAGTGTTTGAAAGCAGAACTATGAAAGCAAGGTTCAACTCTGTGAGTTGAATGCAAACATCACAAAGAAGTTTCTCAGAATGCTTCCCTGTAGTTCTGGGAAGCATATCCCGTTTCCAACGAAATCCTCAGAGAAGTCCAAATATCCACTTGCAGATTCTACAGAAAGTGGGTTTGGAAACTGCTCCATCTAAAGGAATGTTCAGCTCTGTTAGTTCAATCCAATGATCACTAAGAATTTTCTGTGAATGCTTCCGTTTGGTTTTTAGATGAAGTTATTTCCTTTACTACAGTAGGCCTCAAAGCAGTCCAAATCTCCAATCGCAGATTCTACAAAAAGATTGTTTACAACCTGCTCTATCTATAGGAATGTTCAACTCTGTGAGTCGAATGCAATCATCACAAAGTAGTTTCTGAGAATGCTTCCATCTAGTTTTTATGGGAAGATTTTCTTTTTCCACCACAGGCCTCAAAGCCCTCCAAATGTCCACTTGCAGATTCTAGAAAAAGAGGGTTTCAGAGCTGCTCTGTCAAGAGGAAAGTTCAATTCTTGAAGTGGAACACAAACATCACAAAGCAGTTTCTGAGAATGCTTCTTTTTAGTTTTTCTGGGAAGATGAACCCGTTTCCAACGAAATCTTCACAGAGGTCCACATATCCACTTGCAGAATCCAAAGAAAGAGAGTTTCAAAACTGCTCCATCAGCAGGATTGTTCACCTCTGTGAGTTGAATGCAGTCATCACAGGAAACATTCTGAGAATGCTGCTGTCTAAGTTTGATGTGAAGATATACCCGTTTCGAAGGAAGGACACAAAGTGGTCCAAATATCCACTTGCAGATTCTACAAAAAGAGTGTTTGAAAGCTGAACTATGAAAGCAAGGATCATCTCTGTGAGTTGAATGCAAACATCACAAAGAAGTTTCTCAGAATGCTTCCCTGTAGTTCTGGGAAGTTTATCCCTTATCCAACGAAATCCTCAGATAAGTCCAAATATCCACTTGCAGATTCTACAGAAAGTGTGTTTGGAAACTGCTCCATCTAAAGGAATGTTCAGCTCTGTTAGTTCAATCCAATGATCACTAAGAATTGTCTGTGAATGCTTCCGTTTGGTTTTTAGATGAAGTTATTTCCTTTACTACAGTAGGCCTCAAAGCAGTCCAAATCTCCAATCGCAGATTCTACAAAAAGATTGTTTACAACCTGCTCTATCTATAGGAATGTTCAACTCTGTGAGTCGAATGCAATCATCACAAAGTAGTTTCTGAGAATGCTTCCATCTAGTTTTTATGTGAAGATTTTCCTTTTCCACCACAGGCCTCAAAGCCCTCCAAATATCCACTTGCAGATTCTAGAATAAGAGGGTTTCAGAGCTGCTCTGTCAAGAGGAAAGTTCAATTCCTGAAGTGGAACACAAACATCACAAAGCAGTTTCTGAGAATGTTTCTGTTTAGTTTTTCTGTGAAGATGAACCCGTTTCCAACGAAATCTTCACAGAGGTCCACATATCCACTTGCAGAATCCAAAGAAAGAGAGTTTCAAAACTGCTCCATCAGCAGGATTGTTCACCTCTGTGAGTTGAATGCAGTCATCACAGGAAACATTCTGAGAATACTTCTGTCTAGGTTTGATGTGAAGATATACCCGTTTCGAAGGAAGGCCACAAAGTGGTCCAAATATCCACTTGCAGATTCTACAAAAAGAGTGTTTGAAAGCTGAACTATGAAAGCAAGGTTCAACTCTGTGAGTTGAATGCAAACATCACAAAGAAGTTTCTCAGAATGCTTCCCTGTAGTTCTGGGAAGTTTATCCCGTTTCCAACGAAATCCTCAGAGAAGTCCAAATATCCACTTGCAGATTCTACAGAAAGTGTGTTTGGAAACTGCTCCATCTAAAGGAATGTTCAGCTCTGTTAGTTCAATCCAATGATCACTAAGAATTGTCTGTGAATGCTTCCGTTTGGTTTTTAGATGAAGTTATTTCCTTTACTACAGTAGGCCTCAAAGCAGTCCAAATCTCCAATCGCAGATTCTACAAGAAGATTGTTTACAACCTGCTCTATCTATAGGAATGTTCAACTCTGTGAGTCGAATGCAATCATCACAAAGTAGTTTCTGAGAATGCTTCCATCTAGTTTTTATGTGAAGATTTTCCTTTTCCACCACAGGCCTCAAAGCCCTCCAAATGTCCACTTGCAGATTCTAGAAAAAGAGGGTTTCAGAGCTGCTCTGTCAAGAGGAAAGTTCAATTCTTGAAGTGGAACACAAACATCACAAAGCAGTTTCTGAGAATGCTTCTGTTTAGTTTTTCTGTGAAGATGAACCCGTTTCCAACGAAATCTTCACAGAGGTCCACATATCCACTTGCAGAATCCAAAGAAAGAGAGTTTCAAAACTGCTCCATCAGCAGGATTGTTCACCTCTGTGAGTTGAATGCAGTCATCACAGGAAACATTCTGAGAATGCTTCTGTCTAGGTTTGATGTGAAGATATACCCGTTTCGAAGGAAGGCCACAAAGTGGTCCAAATATCCACTTTCTGTAGATTCTAAAAAAAAGAGTGTTTGAAAGCTGAACTATGAAAGCAAGGTTCAACTCTGTGAGTTGAATGCAAACATCACAAAGAAGTTTCTCAGCATGCTTCCGTGTAGTTCTGGGAAGTTTATCCCGTTTCCAACGAAATCCTCAGAGAGGTCCAAATATCCACTTGCAGATTCTACAGAAAGTGTGTTTGGAAACTGCGCCATCTAAAGCAATGTTCAGCTCTGTTAGTTCAATGCAATGAACACTAAGAATTGTCTGTGAATGCTTCCGTTTGGTTTTTAGATGAAGTAATTTCCTTTACTACAGAAGGCCTCAAAGCAGTCCAAATCTCCAATCGCAGATTCTACAAAAAGATTGTTTACAACCTGCTCTATCTATAGGAATGTTCAACTCTGTGAGTCGAATGCAATCATCACAAAGTAGTTTCTGAGAATGCTTCCATCTAGTTTTTATGTGAAGATTTTCCTTTTCCACCACAGGCCTCAAAGCCCTCCAAATGTCCACTTGCAGATTCTAGAAAAAGAGGGTTTCAGAGCTGCTCTGTCAAGAGGAAAGTTCAATTCTTGAAGTGGAACACAAACATCACAAAGCAGTTTCTGAGAATGCTCCTGTTTAGTTTTTCTGTGAAGATGAAACCGTTTCCAACGAAATCTTCACAGAGGTCCACATATCCACTTGCAGAATCCAAAGAAAGAGAGTTTCAAAACTGCTCCATCAGCAGGATTGTTCACCTACTGTGAGTTGAATGCAGTCATCACAGGAAACATTCTGAGAATGCTTCTGTCTAGGTTTGATGTGAAGATTTACCCGTTTCGAAGGAAGGCCACAAAGTGGTCCAAATATCCACTTGCAGATTCCACAAAAAGAGTGTTTGAAAGCTGAACTATGAAAGCAAGGTTCAACTCTGTGAGTTGAATGCAAACATCACAAAGAAGTTTCTCAGAATACTTCCGTGTAGTTCTGGGAAGTTTATCCCGTTTCCAACGAAATCCTCAGAGAAGTCCAAATATCCACTTGCAGATTCTACAGAAAGTGTGTTTGGAAACTGCGCCATCTAAAGGAATGTTCAGCTCTGTTAGTTCAATGCAATGATCACTAAGAATTGTCTGTGAATGCTTCCGTTTGGTTTTTAGATGAAGTTATTTCCTTTACTACAGTAGGCCTCAAAGTAGTCCAAATCTCTAATCGCAGATTCTACAAAGAGATTGTTTACAACCTGCTCTCTCTATAGGAATGTTCAACTCTGTGAGTCGAATGCAATCATCACAAAGTAGTTTCTGAGAATCCTTCCATCTAGTTTTTATGTGAAGATTTTCCTTTTCCACCACAGGCCTCAAAGCCCTCCAAATGTCCACTTGCAGATTCTAGAAAAAGAGGGTTTCAGAGCTGCTCTGTCAAGAGGAAAGTTCAATTCTTGAAGTGGAACACAAACATCACAAAGCAGTTTCTGCGAATGCTCCTGTTTAGTTTTTCTGTGAAGATGAACCCGTTTCCAACGAAATCTTCACAGAGGTCCACATATCCACTTGCAGAATCCAAAGAAAGAGAGTTTCAAAACTGCTCCATCAGCAGGATTGTTCACCTCTGTGAGTTGAATGCAGTCATCACAGGAAGCATTCTGAGAATGCTTCTGTCTAGGGTTGATGTGAAGTATATACCCGTTTCGAAGGAAGGCCACAAAGTGGTCCAAATATCCACTTGCAGATTCCACAAAAAGAGTGTTTGAAAGCTGACCTATGAAAGCAAGGTTCAACTCTGTGAGTTGAATGCAAACATCACAAAGAAGTTTCTCAGAATGCTTCCGTGTAGTTCTGGGAAGTTTATCCCGTTTCCAACGAAATCCTCAGAGAAGTCCAAATATCCACTTGCAGATTCTACAGAAAGTGTGTTTGGAAACTGCTCCATCTAAAGGAATGTTCAGCTCTGTTAGTTCAATCCAATGATCACTAAGAATTGTCTGTGAATGCTTCCGTTTGGTTTTTAGATGAAGTTATTTCCTTTACTACAGTAGGCCTCAAAGCAATCCAAATCTCCAATCGCAGATTCTACAAAAAGATTGTTTACAACCTGCTCTATCTATAGGAATGTTCAACTCTGTGAGTCGAATGCAATCATCACAAAGTAGTTTCTGAGAATGCTTCCATCTAGTTTTTATGTGAAGATTTTCCTTTTCCACCACAGGCCTCAAAGCCCTCCAAATGTCCACTTGCAGATTCTAGAATAAGAGGGTTTCAGAGCTGCTCTGTCAAGAGGAAAGTTCAATTCCTGAAGTGGAACACAAACATCACAAAGCAGTTTCTGAGAATGCTTCTGTTTAGTTTTTCTGTGAAGATGAACCCGTTTCCAACGAAATCTTCACAGAGGTCCACATATCCACTTGCAGAATCCAAAGAAAGAGAGTTTCAAAACTGCTCCATCAGCAGGATTGTTAACCTCTGTGAGTTGAATGCAGTCATCATAGGAAACATTCCGAGAATGCTTCTGTCTAGGTTTGATGTGAAGCATATACCCGTTTCAAAGGAAGGCCACAAAGTGGTCCAAATATCCACTTGCAGATTCCACAAAAAGAGTGTTTGAAAGCTGAACTATGAAAGCAAGGTTCAACTCTGTGAGTTGAATGCAAACATCACAAAGAAGTTTCTCAGAATGCTTCCGTGTAGTTCTGGGAAGTTTAGCCCGTTTCCAACGAAATCCTCAGAGAGGTCCAAATATCCACTTGCAGATTCTACAGAAAGTGTGTTTGGAAACTGCTCCATCTAAAGGAATGTTCAGCTCTGTTAGTTCAATCCAGTGATCACTAAGAATTGTCTGTGAATGCTTCCGTTTGGTTTTTAGATGAAGGTATTTCCTTTACTACAGTAGGCCTCAAAGCAGTCCAAATCTCCAATCGCAGATTCTACAAAAACATTGTTTACAACCTGCTCTATCTGTAGGAATGTTCAACTCTGTGAGTCGAATGCAATCATCACAAAGTAGTTTCTGAGAGTGCTTCCATCTAGTTTTTATGTGAAGATTTTCCTTTTCCACCACAGGCCTCAAAGCCCTCCAAATGTCCACTTGCAGATTCTAGAAAAAGAGGGTTTCAGAGCTGCTCTGTCAAGAGGAAAGTTCAATTCCTGAAGTGGAACACAAACATCACAAAGCAGTTTCTGAGAATGCTCCTGTTTAGTTTTTCTGTGAAGATGAACCCGTTTCCAACGAAATCTTCACAGAGGTCCACATATCCACTTGCAGAATCCAAAGAAAGAGAGTTTCAAAACTGCTCCATCAGCAGGATTGTTCACCTCTGTGAGTTGAATGCAGTCATCACAAGAAACATTCTGAGAATGCTTCTGTCTAGGTTTGATGTGAAGATATACCCGTTTCGAAGGAAGGCCACAAAGTGGTCCAAATATCCACTTGCAGATTCTACAAAAAGAGTGTTTGAAAGCTGAACTATGAAAACAAGGTTCAACTCTGTGAGTTGAATGCAAACATCACAAAGAAGTTTCTCAGAATGCTTCCGTGTAGTTCTGGGAAGTTTATCCCGTTTCCAACGAAATCCTCAGAGAAGTCCAAATATCCACTTGCAGATTCTACAGAAAGTGTGTTTGGAAACTGCTCCATCTAAAGGAATGTTCAGCTCTGTCAGTTCAATCCAATGATCACTAAGAATTGTCTGTGAATGCTTCCGTTTGGTTTTTAGATGAAGTTATTTCCTTTACTACAGTAGGCCTCAAAGCAGTCCAAATCTCCAATCGCAGATTCTACAAAAAGATTGTTTACAACCTGCTCTATCTATAGGAATGTTCAACTCTGTGAGTCGAATGCAATCATCACAAAGCAGTTTCTGAGAATGCTTCCATCTAGTTTTTATGTGAAGATTTTCCTTTTCCACCACAGGCCTCAAAGCCCTCCAAATGTCCACTTGCAGATTCTAGAATAAGAGGATTTCAGAGCTGCTCTGTCAAGAGGAAAGTTCAATTCCTGAAGTGGAACACAAACATCACAAAGCAGTTTCTGAGAATGCTCCTGTTTAGTTTTTCTGTGAAGATGAACCCGTTTCCAACGAAATCTTCACAGAGGTCCACATATCCACTTGCAGAATCCAAAGAAAGAGAGTTTCAAAACTGCTCCATCAGCAGGATTGTTCACCTCTGTGAGTTGAATGCAGTCATCACAGGAAACATTCTGAGAATGCTTCTGTCTAGGTTTGATGTGAAGATATACCCGTTTCGAAGGAAGGCCACAAAGTGGTCCAAATATCCACTTGCAGATTCTACAAAAAGAGTGTTTGAAAGCTGAACTATGAAAGCAAGGTTCAACTCTGTGAGTTGAATGCAAACATCACAAAGAAGTTTCTCACAATGCTCCGTGTAGTTCTGGGAAGTTTATCCCGTTTCCAACGAAATCCTCAGAGAGGTCCAAATATCCACTTGCAGATTCTACAGAAAGTGTGTTTGGAAACTGCGCCATCTAAAGGAATGTTCAGCTCTGTTAGTTCAATGCAATGATCACTAAGAATTGTCTGTGAATGCTTCCGTTTGGTTTTTAGATGAAGTTATTTCCTTTACTACAGTAGGCCTCAAAGCAGTCCAAATCTCCAATCGCAGATTCTACAAAAACATTGTTTACAACCTGCTCTATCTATAGGAATGTTCAACTCTGTGAGTCGAATGCAATCATCACAAAGTAGTTTCTGAGAATGCTTCCATCTAGTTTTTATGTGAAGATTTTCCTTTTCCACCACAGGCCTCAAAGCCCTCCAAATGTCCACTTGCAGATTCTAGAAAAAGAGGGTTTCAGAGCTGCTCTGTGAAGAGGAAAGTTCAATTCTTGAAGTGGAACACAAACATCACAAAGCAGTTTCTGAGAATGCTCCTGTTTAGTTTTTCTGTGAAGATGAACCCGTTTCCAACGAAATCTTCACAGAGGTCCACATATCCACTTGCAGAATCCAAAGAAAGAGAGTTTCAAAACTGCTCCATCAGCAGGATTGTTCACCTCTGTGAGTTGAATGCAGTCATCACAGGAAACATTCTGAGAATGCTTCTGTCTAGGTTTGATGTGAAGATATACCCGTTTCGAAGGAAGGCCACAAAGTGGTCCAAATATCCACTTGCAGATTCTACAAAAAGAGTGTTTGAAAGCTGAACTATGAAAGCAAGGTTCAACTCTGTGAGTTGAATGCAAACATCACAAAGAAGTTTCTCAGAATGCTTCCGTGTAGTTCTGGGAAGTTTATCCCGTTTCCAACGAAATCCTCAGAGAGGTCCTAATATCCACTTGCAGATTCTACAGAAAGTGTGTTTGGAAACTGCGCCATCTAAAGGAATGTTCAGCTCTGTTAGTTCAATCCAATGATCACTAAGAATGGTCTGTGAATGCTTCCGTTTGGTTTTTAGATGAAGTTATTTCCTTTACTACAGTAGGCCTCAAAGCAGTCCAAATCTCCAATCGCAGATTCTACAAAAAGTTTGTTTACAACCTGCTCTATCTATAGGAATGTTCAACTCTGTGAGTCGAATGCAATCATCACAAAGGAGTTTCATGAGAATGCTTCCATCTAGTTTTTATGTGAAGATTTCTCCTTTTCCACCACAGGCCTCAAAGCCCTCCAAATGTCCACTTGCAGATTCTAGAATAAGAGGGTTTCAGAGCTGCTCGGTCAAGAGGAAAGTTCAATTCTTGAAGTGGAACACAAACATCACAAAGCAGTTTCTGAGAATGCTTCTGGTTAGTTTTTCTGTGAAGATGAACCCGTTTCCAACGAAATCTTCACAGAGGTCCACATATCCACTTGCAGAATCCAAAGAAAGAGAGTTTCAAAACTGCTCCATCAACAGGATTGTTCACCTCTGTGAGTTGAATGCAGTCATCACAGGAAACATTCTGAGAATGCTTCTGTCTAGGTTTGATGTGAAGATATACCCGTTTCGAAGGAAGGCCACAAAGTGGTCCAAATATCCACTTGCAGATTCCACAAAAAGAGTGTTTGAAAGCTGAACTATGAAAGCAAGGTTCAACTCTGTGAGTTGAATGCAAACATCACAAAGAAGTTTCTCACAATGCTTTCCGTGTAGTTCTGGGAAGTTTATCCCGTTTCCAACGAAATCCTCAGAGAAGTCCAAATATCCACTTGCAGATTCTACAGAAAGTGTGTTTGGAAACTGCTCCATCTAAAGGAATGTTCAGCTCTGTTAGTTCAATCCAATGATCACTAAGAATTGTTCTGTGAATGCTTCCGTTTGGTTTTTAGATGAAGTTATTTCCTTTACTACAGTAGGCCTCAAAGCAGTCCAAATCTCCAATCGCAGATTCTACAAAAAGATTGTTTACAACCTGCTCTATCTATAGGAATGTTCAACTCTGTGAGTCGAATGCAATCATCACAAAGTAGTTTCTGAGAATGCTTCCATCTAGTTTTTATGTGAAGATTTTCCTTTTCCACCACAGGCCTCAAAGGCCCTCCAAATGTCCACTTGCAGATTCTAGAATAAGAGGGTTTCAGAGCTGCTCGGTCAAGAGGAAAGTTCAATTCTTGAAGTGGAACACAAACATCACAAAGCAGTTTCTGAGAATGCTTCTGTTTAGTTTTTCTGTGAAGATGAACCCGTTTCCAACGAAATCTTCACAGAGGTCCACATATCCACTTGCAGAATACAAAGAAGGAGAGTTTCAAAACTGCTCCATCAGCAGGATTGTTCACCTCTGTGAGTTGAATGCAGTCATCACAGGAAACATTCTGAGAATGCTTCTGTCTAGGTTTGATGTGAAGATATACCCCTTTTGAAGGAAGGCCACAAAGTGGTCCAAATATCCACTTGCAGATTCTACAAAAAGAGTGTTTGAAAGCTGAACTATGAAAGCAAGGTTCAACTCTGTGAGTTGAATGCAAACATCACAAAGAAATTTCTCAGAATACTTACGTGTACTTCTGGGAAGTTTATCCCATTTCCAACGAAATCCTCAGAGAGGTCCAAATATCCACTTGCAGATTCTACAGAAAGTGGGTTTGGAAAGTGCTCCATCTAAAGGAATGTTCAGCTCTGTTAGTTCAATCCAATGATCACTAAGAATTGTCTGTGAATGCTTCCGTTTGGTTTTTAGATGAAGTTATTTCCTTAACTACAGTAGGCCTCAAAGCAGTCCAAATCTCCAATCGCAGATTCTACAAAAAGATTGTTTACAACCTGCTCTATGTATAGGAATGTTCAACTCTGTGAGTCGAATGCAATAATCACAGAGTAGTTTCTGAGAATGCTTCCATCTAGTTTTTACGTGAAGATTTTCCTTTTCCACCACAGGCCTCAAAGCCCTGCAAATGTCCACTTGCAGATTCTAGAATAAGAGGGTTTCAGAGCTGCTCTGTCAAGAGGAAAGTTCAATTCTTGAAGTGGAACACAAACATCACAAAGCAGTTTCTGAGAATGCTTCTGTTTAGTTTTTCTGTGAAGATGAACCCGTTTCCAACGAAATCTTCACAGAGGTCCACATATCAACTTGCAGAATCCAAAGAAAGAGAGTTTCAAAAGTGCTCCATCAACAGGATTGTTCACCTCTGTGAGTTGAATGCAGTCATCACAGGAACCATTCTGAGAATGCTTCTGTCTAGGTTTGATGTGAAGATATACCCGTTTCGAAGGAAGGCCACAAAGTGGTCCAAATATCCACTTGCAGATTCTACAAAAAGAGTGTTTGAAAGCTGAACTAAGAAAGCAATGTTCAACTCTGTGAGTTGAATGCAACCATCACAAAGAAGTTTCTCAGAATGCTTCAGTGTAGTTCTGGGAAGTTTATCCCGTTTCCAACGAAATCCTCAGAGAGGTCCAAATATCCACTTGCAGATTCTACAGAAAGTGTGTTTGGAAACTGCGCCATCTAAAGGAATGTTCAGCTCTGTTAGTTCAATGCAATGATCACTAAGAATTGTCTGTGAATGCTTCCGTTTGGTTTTTAGATGAAGTTATTTCCTTTACTACAGTAGGCCTCAAAGCAGTCCAAATCTCCAATCGCAGATTCTACAAAAAGATTGTTTACAACCTGCTCTATCTATAGGAATGTTCAACTCTGTGAATCGAATGCAATCATCACAAAGTAGTTTCTGAGAATGCTTCCATCTAGTTTTTATGTGAAGATTTTCCTTTTCCACCACAGGCCTCAAAGCCCTCCAAATGTCCACTTGCAGATTCTAGAATAAGAGGGTTTCAGAGCTGCTCTGTCAAGAGGAAAGTTCAATTCCTGAAGTGGAACACAAACATCACAAAGCAGTTTCTGAGAATGCTTCTGTTTAATTTTTCTGTGAAGATGAACCCGTTTCCAACGAAATCTTCACAGAGGTCCACATATCCACTTGCAGAATGCAAAGAAAGAGAGTTTCAAAACTGCTCCATCAACAGGATTGTTCATCTCTGTGAGTTGAATGCAGTCATCACAGGAAACATTCTGAGAATGCTTCTGTCTAGGTTTGATGTGAAGATATACCCGTTTCGAAGGAAGGCCACAAAGTGGTCCAAATATCCACTTGCAGATTCTACAAAAAGAGTGTTTCAAAGCTGAACTATGAAAGCAAGGTTCAACTCTGTGAGTTGAATGCAAACATCACAAAGAAGTTTCTCAGAATACTTTCCGTGTAGTTCTGGGAAGTTTATCCCGTTTCCAACGAAATCCTCAGAGAAGTCCAAATATCCACTTGCAGATTCTACAGAAAGTGTGTTTGGAAACTGCTCCATCTAAAGGAATGTTCAGCTCTGTTAGTTCAATCCAATGATCACTAAGAATTGTCTGTGAATGCTTCCGCTTGGTTTTTCGATGAAGTTATTTCCTTTACTACAGTAGGCCTCAAAGAAGTCCAAATCTCCAATCGCAGATTCTACAGAAAGATTGTTTACAACCTGCTCTATCTATAGGAATGTTCAACTCTATGAGTCGAATGCAATCATCACAAAGTAGTTTCTGAGAATGCTTCTATCTAGGTTTTATGTGAAGATGTTTCCTTTTCCACCACAGGCCTCAAAGCCCTCCAAATGTCCACTTGCAGATTCTAGAAAAAGGGAGTTTCAGAGCTGCTCTGTCAAGAGGAAAGTTCAATTCTTGAAGTGGAACACAAACAACACAAAGGAGTTTCTGAGAATGCTCATGTTTAGTTTTTCTGTGAAGATGAACCCGTTTCCAACGAAATCTTCACAGAGGTCCACATATCCACTTGTAGAATCCAAAGAAAGAGAGTTTCAAAACTGCTCCATCAGCAGGATTGTTCACCTCTGTGAGTTGAATGCAGTCATCACAGGAAACATTCTGAGAATGCTTCTGTCTAGGTTTGATGTGAAGATATACCCGTTTCGAAGGAAGGCCACAAAGTGGTCCAAATATCCACTTGCAGATTCTACAAAAAGAGTGTTTGAAAGCTGAACTATGAAAGCAAGGTTCAACTCTGTGAGTTGAATGCAAACATCACAAAGAAGTTTCTCACAATGCTTCCGTGTAGTTCTGGGAAGTTTATCCCGTTTCCAACGAAATCCTCAGAGAAGTCCAAATATCCACTTGCAGATTCTACAGAAAGTGGGTTTGGAAACTGCTCCATCTAAAGGAATGTTCAGTTCTGTTAGTTCAATCCAATGATCACTAAGAATTGTCTGTGAATGCTTCCGTTTGGTTTTTAGATGAAGTTATTTCCTTTACTACAGTAGGCCTCAAAGCAGTCCAAATCTCCAATCGCAGATTCTACAAAAAGATTGTTTACAACCTGCTCTATCTATAGGAATGTTCAACTCTGTGAGTCGAATGCAATTATCACAAAGTAGTTTCTGAGAATGCTTCCATCTAGTTTTTATGTGAAGATTTTCCTTTTCCACCACAGGCCTCAAAGCCCTCCAAATGTCCACTTGCAGATTCTAGAATAAGAGGGTTTTAGAGCTGCTCTGTCAAGAGGAAAGTTCAATTCCTGAAGTGGAACACAAACATCACAAAGCAGTTTCTGAGAATGCTCCTGTTTAGTTTTTCTGTGAAAATGAACCCGTTTCCAACGAAATCTTCACAGAGGTCCACATATCCACTTGCAGAATCCAAAGAAAGAGAGTTTCAAAACTGCTCCATCAGCAGGATTGTTCACCTCTGTGAGTTGAATGCAGTCATCACAGGAAACATTCTGAGAATGCTTCTGTCTAGGTTTGATGTGAAGATATACCCGTTTCGAAGGAAGGCCACAAAGTGGTCCAAATATCCACTTGCAGATTCTACAAAAAGAGTGTTTGAAAGCTGAACTATGAAAGCAAGGTTCAACTCTGTGAGTTGAATGCAAACATCACAAAGAAGTTTCTCAGAATGCTTCCGTGTATTTCTGGGAAGTTTATCCCATTTCCAACGAAATCCTCAGAGAGGTCCAAATATCCACCTGCAGATTCTACAGAAAGTGTGTTTGGAAACTGCTCAATCTAAAGGAATGTTCAGCTCTGTTAGTTCAATCAAATGATCACTAAGAATTGTCTGTGAATGCTTCCGTTTGGTTTTTAGATGAAGTTATTTCCTTTACTACAGTAGGCCTCAAAGCAGTCCAAATCTCCAATCGCAGATTCTACAAAAAGATTGTTTACAACCTGCTCTATCTATAGGAATGTTCAACTCTGTGAGTCGAATGCAATCATCACAAAGTAGTTTCTGAGAATGCTTCCATCTAGTTTTTATGTGAAGATTTTCCTTTTCCACCACAGGCCTCAAAGCCCTCCAAATGTCCACTTGCAGATTCTAGAAAAAGAGGGTTTCAGAGCTGCTCTGTCAAGAGGAAAGTTCAATTCCTGAAGTGGAACACAAACATCACAAAGCAGTTTCTGAGAATGCTTCTGTTTAGTTTTTCTGTGAAGATGAACCCGTTTCCAACGAAATCTTCACAGAGGTCCACATATCCACTTGCAGAATCCAAAGAAAGAGAGTTTCAAAACTGCTCCATCAACAGGATTGTTCACCTCTGTGAGTTGAATGCAGTCATCACAGGAAACATTCTGAGAATGCTTCTGTCTAGGTTTGATGTGAAGATATACCCGTTTCGAAGGAAGGCCACAAAGTGGTCCAAATATCCACTTGCAGATTCTACAAAAAGAGTGTTTGAAAGCTGAACTATGAAAGCAAGGTTCAACTCTGTGAGTTGAATGCAAACATCACAAAGAAGTTTCTCACAATGCTCCGTGTAGTTCTGGGAAGTTTTCCCGTTTCCAACGAAATCCTCAGAGAGGTCCAAATATCCACTTGCAGATTCTACAGAAAGTCTGTTTGGAAACTGCGCCATCTTAACGAATGTTCAGCTCTGTTAGTTCAATGGAATGATCACTAAGAATTGTCTGTGAATGCTTCCGTTTGGTTTTTAGATGAAGTTATTTCCTTTACTACAGTAGGCCTCAAAGCAGTCCAAATCTCCAATCGCAGATTCTACAAAAAGATTGTTTACAACCTGCTCTATGTATAGGAATGTTCAACTCTGTGAGTCGAATGCAATCATCACAAAGTAGTTTCTGAGAATGCTTCTATCTAGTTATTATATGCAGATATTTACGTTTCCGCCAAAGGCCCCAAAACCCTCCAAATGTCCACTTGCAGGTTCTAGAAAAACAATGTTTCATAGCTGCTCTGTCAAGAGGAATGTTCAACTCTGCAAGTTGAACACAAACATCACAAAGTTATTTCTGAGAATGCTACTGTTTAGTTTTTCTTTGAAGATGAAACCGTTTCCAACGAAATCTTCAAATAGGTCCACATATCCACTTTCAGATTCCAGAGAAAGAGAGATTCAAAACTGCTCCATCAGCAGGATTGTTCACCTCTGTGCGTTGAATGCAGTAATCACAGGAAACATTGTGAGAATGCTTCTGTCTAGGTTTGATGTGAAGATATAACCGTTTCGAAGGAAGGCCACAAAGTGGTCCAAATATCCACTTGCAGATTCTACAAAAAGAGTGTTTGAAAGCTGAACTATGAAACCAAGGTTCAACTCTGTGAGTTGAATGCAAACATCACAAAGAATTTTCTCACAATGCTTCCGTGTAGTTCTGGGAAGTTTATCCCGTTTCCAACGAAATCCTCAGAGAGGTCCAAATATCCACTTGCAGATTCTACAGAAAGTGTGTTTGGAAACTGCGCCATCTAAGGGAATCTTCAGCTCTGTTAGTTCAATCCAATGATCACTAAGAATTGTCTGTGAATGCTTCCGTTTGGTTTTTAGATGAAGTTATTTCTTTTACTACAGTAGGCCTCAAAGCAGTCCAAATCTCCAATCGCAGATTCTACAAAAAGATTGTTTACAACCTGCTCTATCTATAGGAATGTTCAACTCTGTGGGTCGAATGCAATCATCACAAAGTACTTTCTGAGAATGCTTCCATCTAGTTTTTATGTGAAGATTTTCCTTTTCCACCACAGGCCTCAAAGCCCTCCAAATGTCCACTTGCAGATTCTAGAAAAAGAGGGTTTCAGAGCTGCTCTGACAAGAGGAAAGTTCAATTCCTGAAGTGGAACACAAACATCACAAAGCAGTTTCTGAGAATGCTTCTGTTTAGTTTTTCTGTGAAGATGAACCCGTTTCCAACGAAATCTTCACAGAGGTCCACATATCAACTTGCAGAATCCAAAGAAAGAGAGTTTCAAAACTGCTCCATCAACAGGATTGTTCACCTCTGTGAGTTGAATGCAGTCATCACAGGAAACATTCTGAGAATGCTTCTGTCTAGGTTTGATGTGAAGATATACCCGTTTCGAAGGAAGGCCACAAAGTGGTCCAAATATCCACTTGCAGATTCTACAAAAAGAGTGTTTGAAAGCTGAACTATGAAAGCAAGGTTCAACTCTGTGAGTTGAATGCAAACATCACAAAGAAGTTTCTCAGAATGCTTCCGTGTAGTTCTGGGAAGTTTATCCCGTTTCCAACGAAATCCTCAGAGAAGTCCAAATATCCACTTGCAGATTCTACAGAAAGTGTGTTTGGAAACTGCTCCATCTAAACGAATGTTCAGCTCTGTTACTTCAATCCAATAGATCACAAAGAATTGTCTGTGAATGCTTCCGTTAGGTTTTTAGATGAAGTTATTTCCTTTACTACAGTAGGCCTCAAAGCAGTCCAAATCTCCAATCGCAGATTCTACAAAAAGATTGTTTACAACCTGCTCTATCTATAGGAATGTTCAACTCTGTGAGTCGAATGCAATCATCACAAAATAGTTTCTGAGAATGCTTCCATCTAGTTTTTATGTGAAGATTTTCTTTTTCCACCACAGGCCCCAAAGCCCTCCAAATGTCCACTTGCAGATTCTGGAAAAAGAGGGTTTCAGAGCTGCTCTGTCAAGAGGAAAGTTCAATTCCTGAAGTGGAACACAAACATCACAAAGCAGTTTCTGAGAATGCTCCTGTTTAGTTTTTCTGTGAAGATGAACCCGTTTCCAACGAAATCTTCACAGAGGTCCACATATCCACTTGCAGAATCCAAAGAAAGAGAGTTTCAAAACTGCTCCATCAACAGGATTGTTCACCTCTGTGAGTTGAATGCAGTCATCACAGGAAACATTCTGAGAATGCTTCTGTCTAGGTTTGATGTGAAGATATACCCGTTTCGAAGGAAGGCCACAAAGTGGTCCAAATATCCACTTGCAGATTCTACAAAAAGAGTGTTTGAAAGCTGAACTATGAAAGCAAGGTTCAACTCTGTGAGTTGAATGCAAACATCACAAAGAAGTTTCTCAGAATGCTTCCGTGTAGTTCTGGGAAGTTTATCCCGTTTCCAACGAAATCCTCAGAGAGGTCCAAATATCCACTTGCAGATTCTACAGAAAGTGTGTTTGGAAACTGCTCCATCTAAAGGAATGTTCAGGTCTGTTAGTTCAATCCAATGATCACTAAGAATTGTCTGTGAATGCTTCCGTTTGGTTTTTAGATGAAGTTATTTCCTTTACTACAGTAGGCCTCAACGCAGTCAAAATCTCCAATCGCAGATTCTACAAAAAGATTGTTTACAACCTGCTCTATCTATAGGAATGTTCAACTCTGTGAGTCGAATGCAATCATCACAAAGTAGTTTCTGAGAATGCTTCCATCTAGTTTTTATGTGAAGATTTTCCTTTTCCACCACAGGCCTCAAAGCCCTCCAAATGTCCACTTGCAGATTCTAGAAAAAGAGGGTTTCAGAGCTGCTCTGTCAAGAGGAAAGTTCAATTCTTGAAGTGGAACACAAAGATCACAAAGCAGTTTCTGAGAATGCTTCTGTTTAGTTTTTCTGTGAAGATGAACCAGTTTCCAACGAAATCTTCACAGAGGTCCACATATCTACTTGCAGAATCCAAAGAAAGTGAGTTTCAAAACTGCTCCATCAACAGGATTGTTCACCTCTGTGAGTTGAATGCAGTCATCACAGGAAACATTCTGAGAATGCTTCTGTCTAGGCTTGATGTGAAGATATACCCGTTTCGAAGGAAGGCCACAAAGTGGTCCAAATATCCACTTGCAGATTCTACAAATAGAGTGTTTGAAAGCTGAACTATGAAAAGAAGGTTCAACTCTGTGAGTTGAATGCAAACGTGACAAAGAAGTTTCTGAGAATGCTTCCGTGTAGTTCTGGGAAGTTTATCCCGTTTCCAACGAAATCCTCAGAGAAGTCCAAATATCCACTTGCAGATTCTACAGAAAGTGTGTTTGGAAACTGCGCCATCTAAAGGAATGTTCAGCTCTGTTAGTTCAATGCAATGATCACTAAGAATTGTCTGTGAATCCTTCCGTTTGGTTTTTATGTGAAGTTATTTCCTTTACTTCCGTAGGTCTCAAAGCCGTCCAAATCTCCAATTGCAGATTCTACAAAAAGAGTGTTTACAAACTGTTCTATCCATAGGAATGTCCAACTCTGTGAGTCCGATGCAGTCATCCCAAAGTGGTTTCTGAGAATGCTTCCATCTAGTTTTTATGTGAAGGTTTTCCTTTTCCACCACAGGCCTCAAAGCCCTCCAAATGTCCACTTGCAGATTCTAGAAAAAGAGGGTTTCAGAGCTGCTCTGTCAAGAGGAAAGTTCAATTCCTGAAGTGGAACACAAACATCACAAAGCAGTTTCTGAGAATGCTTCTGTTTAGTTTTTCTGTGAAGATGAACCCGTTTCCAACGAAATCTTCACAGAGGTCCACACATCCACTTGCAGAATCCAAAGAAAGAGAGTTTCAAAACTGCTCCATCAGCAGGATTGTTCACCTCTGTGAGATGAATGCAGTCATCACAGGAAACATTCTGAGAATGCTTCTGTGTAGGTTTGATGTGAAGATATACCCGTTTCGAAGGAAGGCCACAAAGTGGTCCAAATATCCACTTGCAGATTCTACAAAAAGAGTGTTTGAAAGCTGAACTATGAAAGCAAGGTTCAACTCTGTGAGTTGAATGCAAACATCACAAAGAAGTTTCTCACAATGCTTCCGTGTAGTTCTGGGAAGTTTATCCCGTTTCCAACGAAATCCTCAGAGAAGTCCAAATATCCACTTGCAGATTCTACAGAAAGTGTGTTTGGAAACTGCTCCATCTAAAGGAATGTTCAGCTCTGTTAGTTCAATCCAATATCACTAAGAATTATACTGTGAATGCTTCCGTTTGGTTTTTAGATGAAGGTATTTCCTTTACTACAGTAGGCCTCAAAGCAGTCCAAATCTCCAATCGCAGATTCTACAAAAAGATTGTTTACAACCTGCTCTATCTATAGGAATGTTCAACTCTGTGAGTCGAATGCAATCATCACAAAGTAGTTTCTGAGAATGCTTCCATCTAGTTTTTATGTGAAGATATTCCTTTTCCACCACATGCCTCAAAGCCCTCCAAATGTCCACTTGCTGATTCTAGAAAAAGAGGGTTTCAGAGCTGCTCTGTCAAGAGGAAAGTTCAATTCTTGAAGTGGAACACAAACATCACAAAGCAGTTTCTGAGAATGCTTCTGTTAAGTTTTTCTGTGAAGATGAACCCGTTTCCAACGAAATCTTCACAGAGGTCCACATATCCACTTGCAGAATCCAAAGAAAGAGAGTTTCAAAACTGCTCCATCAACAGGATTGTTCACCTCTGTGAGTTGAATGCAGTCATCACAGGAAACATTCTGAGAATGCTTCTGTCTAGGTTTGATGTGAAGATATACCCGTTTCGAAGGAAGGCCACAAAATGGTCCAAATATCCACTTGCAGATTCTACAGAAAGAGTGTTTGAAAGCTGAACTATGAAAGGAAGGTTCAACCCCGTGAGTTGAATGCAAACATCACAAAGAAGTTTCGGAGAATGCTTCCGTGTAGTTCTGGGAAGTTTATCCCGTTTCCAACGAAATCCTCTGAGAAGTCCAAATATCCACTTGCAGATTCTACAGAAAGTGGGTTTGGAAACTGCTCCATCTAAAGGAATGTTCAGCTCTGTTAGTTCAATCCAATGATCACTAAGAATTGTCTGTGAATGCTTCCATTTGGTTTTTAGATGAAGTTATTTCCTTTACTACAGTAGGCCTCAAAGCAGTCCAAATCTCCAATCGCAGATTCTACAAAAAGATTGTTTACAACCTGCTGTATCTATAGGAATGTTCAACTCTGTGAGTCGAATGCAATCATCACAAAGTAGTTTCTGAGAATGCTTCCATCTAGTTTTTATGTGAAGATTTTCCTTTTCCACCACAGGCCTCAAAGCCCTCCAAATGTCCACTTGCAGATTCTAGAAAAAGAGGGTTTCAGAGCTGCTCTGTCAAGAGGAAAGTTCAATTCTTGAAGTGGAACACAAACATCACAAAGTAGTTTCTGAGAATGCTTCTGTTTAGTTTTTCTGTGAAGATGAACCCGTTTCCAACGAAATCTTCACAGAGGTCCACATATCCACTTGCAGAATCCAAAGAAAGAGAGTTTCAAAACTGCTCCATCAGCAGGATTGTTCACCTCTGTGAGTTGAATGCAGTCATCACAGGAAACATTCTGAGAATGCTTCTGTCTAGGTTTGATGTGAAGATTTACCCGTTTCGAAGGAAGGCCACAAAGTGGTCCAAATATCCACTTTCTGTAGATTCTAAAAAAAAGAGTGTTTGAAAGCTGAACTGTGAAAGCAAGGTTCAACTCTATGAGTTGAATGCAAACATCACAAAGAAGTTTCTCAGAATGCTTCCGTGTAGTTCTGGGAATTTTATCCCGTTTCCAACGAAATCCTCAGAGAGGTCCAAATATCCACCTGCAGATTCTACAGAAAGTCTGTTTGGAAACTGCGCCATCTAAACGAATGTTCAGCTGTGTTAGTTCAATGCAATGATCACTAAGAATTGTCTGTGAATGCTTCCGTTTGGTTTTTAGATGAAGTTATTTCCTTTACTACAGTAGGCCTCAAAGCAGTCCAAATCTCCAATCGCAGATTCTACAAAAAGATTGTTTACAACCTGCTCTATCTATAGGAATGTTCAACTCTGTGAGTCGAATGCAATCATCACAAAGTAGTTTCTGAGAATGCTTCCATCTAGTTTTTATGTGAAGATTTTCCTTTTCCACCACAGGCCTCAAAGCCCTCCAAATGTCCACTTGCAGATTCTAGAAAAAGAGGGTTTCAGAGCTGCTCTGTCAAGAGGAAAGTTCAATTCTTGAAGTGGAACACAAACATCACAAAGTAGTTTCTGAGAATGCTTCTGTTTAGTTTTTCTGTGAAGATGAACCCGTTTCCAACGAAATCTTCACAGAGGTCCACATATCCACTTGCAGAATCCAAAGAAAGAGAGTTTCAAAACTGCTCCATCAGCAGGATTGTTCACCTCTGTGAGTTGAATGCAGTCATCACAGGAAACGTTCTGAGAATGCTTCTGTCTAGGTTTGATGTGAAGATATACCCGTTTCGAAGGAAGGCCACAAAGTGGTCCAAATATCCACTTGCAGATTCTACAAAAAGAGTATTTGAAAGCTGAACTATGAAAGCAAGGTTCAACTCTGTGAGTTGAATGCAAACATCACAAAGAAGTTTCTCAGAATGCTTCCGTGTAGTTCTGGGAAGTTTATCCCGTTTCCAACGAAATCCTCAGAGAGGTCCAAATATCCACTTGCAGATTCTACAGAAAGTGTGTTTGGAAACTGCGCCATCTAAAGGAATGTTCAGCTCTGTTAGTTCAATGCAATGATCACTAAGAATTGTCTGTGAATGCTTCCGTTTGGTTTTTAGATGAAGTTATTTCCTTTACTACAGTAGGCCTCAAAGCAGTCCAAATCTCCAATCGCAGATTCTACAAAAAGATTGTTTACAACCTGCTCTATCTATAGGAATGTTCAACTCTGTGAGTCGAATGCAATCATCACAAAGTAGTTTCTGAGAATGCTTCCATCTAGTTTTTATGTGAAGATTTTCCTTTTCCACCACAGGCCTCAAAGCCCTCCAAATGTCCACTTGCAGATTCTAGAATAAGAGGGTTTCAGAGCTGCTCTGTCAAGAGGAAAGTTCAATTCCTGAAGTGGAACACAAACATCACAAAGCAGTTTCTGAGAATGCTCCTGTTTAGTTTTTCTGTGAAGATAAACCCGTTTCCAACGAAATCTTCACAGAGGTCCACATATCCACTTGCAGAATCCAAAGAAAGAGAGTTTCAAAACTGCTCCATCAGCAGGATTGTTCACCTCTGTGAGTTGAATGCAGTCATCACAGGAAACATTCTGAGAATGCTTCTGCCTAGGTTTGATGTGAAGATATACCCGTTTCGAAGGAAGGCCACAAAGTGGTCCAAATATCCACTTGCAGATTCTACAAAAAGAGTGTTTGAAAGCTGAACTATGAAAGCAAGGTTCAACTCTGTGAGTTGAATGCAAACATCACAAAGAAGTTTCTCAGAATGCTTCCGTGTAGTTCTGGGAAGTTTATCCCGTTTCCAACGAAATCCTCAGAGAAGTCCAAATATCCACTTGCAGATTCTACAGAAAGTGTGTTTGGAAACTGCTCCATCTAAAGGAATGTTCAGCTCTGTTAGTTCAATCCAATGATCACTAAGAATTGTCTGTGAATGCTTCCGTTTGGTTTTTAGATGAAGTTATTTCCTATACTACAGTAGGCCTCAAAGCAGTCCAAATCTCCAATCGCAGATTCTACAAAAAGATTGTTTACAACCTGCTCTATCTATAGGAATGTTCAACTCTGTGAGTCGAATGCAATCATCGCAAAGTAGTTTCTGAGAATGCTTCCATCTAGTTTTTATGTGAAGATTTTCCTTTTCCACCACATGCCTCAAAGCCCTCCAAATGTCCACTTGCAGATTCTAGAAAAAGAGGGTTTCAGAGCTGCTCTGTCAAGAGGAAAGTTCAATTCTTGAAGTGGAACACAAACATCACAAAGCAGTTTCTGAGAATGCTCCTGTTTAGTTTTTCTGTGAAGATGAACCCGTTTCCAACGAAATCTTCACAGAGGTCCACATATCCTCTTGCAGAATCCAAAGAAAGAGAGTTTCAAAACTGCTCCATCAACAGGATTGTTCAGCTCTGTGAGTTGAATGCAGTCATCACAGGGAACATTCTGAGAATTCTTCTGTCTGTGTTTGATGTGAAGATATACCCGTTTCGAAGGAAGGCCACAAAGTGGTCCAAATATCCACTTGCAGATTCTACAAAAAGAGTGTTTGAAAGCTGAACTATGAAAACAAGGTTCAACTCTGTGAGTTGAATGCAAACATCACAAAGAAGTTTCTCAGAATGCTTCCGTGTATTTCTGGGAAGTATATCCCTTTTCCAACAAAATCCTCAAAGAGGTCCAAATATCCACTTGCAGATTCTACAGAAAGTGGGATTGGAAACTGCTCCATCTAAAGGAATGTTCAGCTCTGTTAGTTCAATCCAATGATCACTAAGAATTGTCTGTGAATGCTTCCGTTTGGTTTTTAGATGAAGTTATTTCCTTTACTGCAGTAGGCCTCAAAGCAGTCCAAATCTCCAATCGCAGATTCTACAAAAAGATTGTTTACAACCTGCTCTATCTTTAGGAATGTTCAACTCTGTGAGTCGAATGCAATCATCACAAAGTAGTTTCTGAGAATGCTTCCATCTAGTTTTTATGGGAAGATTTTCCTTTTCCACCACAGGCCTCAAAGCCCTCCAAATGTCCACTTGCAGATTCTAGAAAAAGAGGGTTTCAGAGCTGCTCTGTCAAGAGGAAAGTTCAATTGCTTGAAGTGGAACACAAACATCACAAAGCAGTTTCTGAGAATGCTTCTGTTTAGTTTTTCTGTGAAGATGAACCCGTTTCCAACGAAATCTTCACAGAGGTCCACATATCCACTTGCAGAATCCAAAGAAAGAGAGTTTCAAAACTGCTCCATCAGCAGGATTGTTCACCTCTGTGAGTTGAATGCAGTCATCACAGGAAACATTCTGAGAATGCTTCTGTCTAGGTTTGATGTGAAGATATACCCGTTTCGGAGGAAGGCCACAAAGTGGTCCAAATATCCACTTGCAGATTCTACAAAAAGAGGGTTTGAAAGCTGAACTATGAAAGCAAGGTTCAACTCTGTGAGTTGAATGCAAACATCACAAAGAAGTTTCTCAGAATGCTTTCCGTGTAGTTCTGGGAAGTTTATCTCGTTTCCAACGAAATCCTCAGAGAAGTCCAAATATCCACTTGCAGATTCTACAGAAAGTGTGTTTGGAAACTGCTCCATCTAAAGGAATGTTCAGCTCTGTTAGTTCAATCCAATGATCACTAAGAATTGTCTGTGAATGCTTCCGTTTGGTTTTTAGATGAAGTTATTTCCTTTACTACAGTAGGCCTCAAAGCAGTCCAAATCTCCAATCGCAGATTCTACAAAAAGATTGTTTACAACCTGCTCTATCTATAGTAATGTTCAACTCTGTGAGACGAATGTAATCATCACAAAGTAGTTTCTGAGAATGCTTCCGTCTAGTTTTTATGTGAAGATTTTCCTTTTGCACCACAGGCCTCAAAGCCCTCCAAATGTCCACTTGCAGATTCTAGAAAAAGAGGGTATCAGAGCTGCTCTGTCAAGAGGAAAGTTCAGTTCTTGATGTGGAACACAAACATCACAAAGCAGTTTCTGAGAATGCTTCTGTTTAGTTTTTCTGTGAAGATGAACCCGTTTCCAACGAAATCTTCACAGAGGTCCACATATCAACTTGCAGAATCCAAAGAAAGAGAGTTTCAAAAGTGCTCCATCAACAGGATTGTTCACCTCTGTGAGTTGAATGCAGTCATCACAGGAAACATTCTGAGAATTCTTCTGTCTAGGTTTGATGTGAAGATATACCCCTTTCGAAGGAAGGCCACAAAG
The DNA here is from genome assembly GCF_000001405.40 of Homo sapiens. Classification (NCBI taxonomy): domain Eukaryota; kingdom Metazoa; phylum Chordata; class Mammalia; order Primates; family Hominidae; genus Homo; species Homo sapiens. Next base: position 54,084,202 of record NC_000011.10, on the reverse strand, counting down.
TGGTCCAAATATCCACTTGCAGATCCTACAAAAAGAGTGTTTGATAGCTGAACTATGAAAGCAAGGTTCAACTCTGTGAGTTGAATGCAAACATCACAAAGAAGTTTCTCAGAATGCTTCCGTGTAGTTCTGGGAAGTTTATCCCGTTTCCAACGAAATCCTCAGAGAAGTCCAAATATCCACTTGCAGATTCTACCGAAAGTGGGTTTGGAAACTGCTCCATCTAAACGAATGTTCAGCTCTGTTAGTTCAATCCAATGATCACTAAGAATTGTCTGTGAATGCTTCCGTTTGGTTTTTAGATGAAGTTATTTCCTTTACTACAGTAGGCCTCCAAGCAGTCCAAATCTCCAATCGCAGATTCTACAAAAAGATTGTTTACAACCTGCTCTATCTATAGGAATGTTCAACTCTGTGAGTCGAATGCAATCATCACAAAGTAGTTTCTGAGAATGCTTCCATCTAGTTTTTATGGGAAGATTTTCCTTTTCCACCACAGGCCTCAAAGCCCTCCAAATGTCCACTTGCAGATTCTAGAAAAAGAGGGTTTCAGAGCTGCTCTGTCAAGAGGAAAGTTCAATTCTTGAAGTGGAACACAAACATCACAAAGCAGTTTCTGAGTATGCTTCTGTTTAGTTTTTCTGTGAAGATGAACCCGTTTCCAACGAAATCTTCACAGAGGTCCACATATCCACTTGCAGAATCCAAAGAAAGAGAGTTTCAAAACTGCTCCATCAGCAGGATTGTTCACCTCTGTGAGTTGAATGCAGTCATCACAGGAAACATTCTGAGAATGCTTCTGTCTAGGTTTGATGTGAAGATATACCCGTTTCGAAGGAAGGCCACAAAGTGGTCCAAATATCCACTTGCAGATTCTACAAAAAGAGTGTTTGAAAGCTGGACTATGAAAGCAAGGTTCAACTCTGTGAGTTGAATGCAAACATCACAAAGAAGTTTCTCAGAATGCTTCCGTGTAGTTCTGGGAAGTTTATCCCGTTTCCAACGAAATCCTCAGAGAGGTCCAAATATCCACTTGCAGATTCTCCAGAAAGTGTGTTTGGAAACTGCGCCATCTACAGGAATGTTCAGCTCTGTTAGTTCAATGCAATGATCAGTAAGAATTGTCTGTGAATGCTTCCGTTTGGTTTTTAGATGAAGTTATTTCCTTTACTGCAGTAGGCCTCAAAGCATTCCAAATCTCGAATCGCAGATTCTACAAAAAGATTGTTTACAACCTGCTCTATCTATAGGAATGTTCAACTCTGTGAGTCGAATGCAATCATCACAAAGTAGTTTCTGAGAATGCTTCCATCTAGTTTTTATGTGAAGATTTTCCTTTTCCACCACAGGCCTCAAAGCCCTCCAAATGTCCACTTGCAGATTCTAGAAAAAGAGGGTTTCAGAGCTGCTCTGTCAAGAGTAAAGTTCAATTCCTGATGTGGAACACAAACATCACAAAGCAGTTTCTGAGAATGCTTCTGTTTAGTTTTTCTGTGAAGATGAACCCGTTTCCAACGAAATCTTCACAGAGGTCCACATATCAACTTGCAGAATCCAAAGAAAGAGAGTTTCAAAACTGCTCCATCAACAGGATTGTTCACCTCTGTGAGTTGAATGCAGTCATCACAGGAAACATTCTGAGAATGCTTCTGTCTAGGTTTGATGTGAAGATATACCCGTTTCGAAGGAAGGCCACAAAGTGGTCCAAATATCCACTTGCAGATTCTACAAAAAGAGTGTTTGAAAGCTGAACTATGAAAGCAAGGTTCAACTCTGTGAGTTGAATGCAAACATCACAAAGAAGTTTCTCAGAATGCTTCCCTGTAGTTCTGGGAAGTTTATCCCGTTTCCAACGAAATCCTCAGAGAAGTCCAAATATCCACTTGCAGATTCTACAGAAAGTGTGTTTGGAAACTGCTCCATCTAAAGGAATGTTCAGCTCTGTTAGTTCAATCCAATGATCACTAAGAATTGTCTATGAATGCTTCCGTTTGGTTTTTAGATGAAGTTATTTCCTTTACTACAGTAGGCCTCAAAGCAGTCCAGATCTCCAATCGCAGATTCTACAAAAAGATTGTTTACAACCTGCTCTATCTATAGGAATGTTCAACTCTGTGAGTCGAATGCAATCATCACAAAGTAGTTTCTGAGAATGCTTCCATCTAGTTTTTATGTGAAGATTTTCCTTTTCCACCACAGGCCTCAAAGCCCTCCAAATGTCCACTTGCAGATTCTAGAAAAAGAGGGTTTCAGAGCTACTCTGTCAAGAGGAAAGTTCAATTCTTGAAGTGGAACACAAACATCACAAAGCAGTTTCTGAGAATGCTTCTGTTTAGTTTTTCTGTGAAGATGAACCCGTTTCCAACGAAATCTTCACAGAGGTCCACATATCCACTTGCAGAATCCAAAGAAAGAGAGTTTCAAAACTGCTCCATCAGCAGGATTGTTCACCTCTGTGAGTTGAATGCAGTCATCACAGGAAACATTCTGAGAATGCTTCTGTCTAGGTTTGATGTGAAGATATACCCGTTTCGAAGGAAGGCCACAAAGTGGTCCAAATATCCACTTGCAGATTCTACAAAAAGAGTGTTTGAAAGCTGAACTATGAAAGCAAGGTTCAACTCTGTGAGTTGAATGCAAACATCACAAAGAAGTTTCTCAGAATGCTTCCCTGTAGTTCTGGGAAGTTTATCCCGTTTCCAACAAAATCCTCAGAGAAGTCCAAATATCCACTTGCAGATTCTACAGAAAGTGTGTTTGGAAACTGCTCCATCTAAAGGAATGTTCAGCTCTGTTAGTTCAATCCAATGATCACTAAGAATTGTCTGTGAATGCTTCCGTTTGGTTTTTAGATGAAGTTATTTCCTTTACTACAGTAGGCCTCAAAGCAGTCCAAATCTCCAATCGCAGATTCTACAAAAAGATTGTTTACAACCTGCTCTATGTATAGGAATGTTCAACTCTGTGAGTCGAATGCAATCATCACAAAGTAGTTTCTGAGAATGCTTCCATCTAGTTTTTATGTGAAGATTTTCCTTTTCCACCGCAGGCCTCAAAGCCCTCCAAATGTCAACTTGCAGATTCTAGAAAAAGAGGGTTTCAGAGCTGCTCTGTCAAGAGGAAAGTTCAATTCCTGAAGTGGAACACAAACATCACAAAGCAGTTTCTGAGAATGCTTCTGTTTAGTTTTTCTGTGAAGATGAACCCGTTTCCAACGAAATCTTCACAGAGGACCACATATTCACTTGCAGAATCCAAAGAAGGAGAGTTTCAAAAGTGCTCCATCAGCAGGATTGTTCACCTCTGTGAGTTGAATGCAGTCATCACAGGAAACATTCTGAGAATGCTTCTGTCTAGGTTTGATGTGAAGATATACCCGTTTCGAAGGAAGGCCACAAAGTGGTCCAAATATCCACTTGCAGATTCTACAAAAAGAGTGTTTGAAAGCTGAACTATGAAAGCAAGGTTCAACTCTGTGAGTTGAATGCAAACATCACAAAGAAGTTTCTCACAATGCTTCCGTGTAGTTCTGGGAAGTTTATCCCGTTTCCAACGAAATCCTCAGAGAAGTCCAAATATCCACTTGCAGATTCTACAGAAAGTGTGTTTGGAAACTGCTCCATCTAAAGGAATGTTCAGCTCTGTTAGTTCAATCCAATGATCACTAAGAATTGTCTGTGAATGCTTCCGTTTGGTTTTTAGATGAAGTTATTTCCTTTACTACAGTAGGCCTCAAAGCAGTCCAAATCTCCAATCGCAGATTCTACAAAAAGATTGTTTACAACCTGCTCTATCTATAGGAATGTTCAACTCTGTGAGTCGAATGCAATCATCACAAAGTAGTTTCTGAGAATGCTTCCATCTAGTTTTTATGTGAAGATTTTCCTTTTCCACCACAGGCCTCAAAGCCCTCCAAATGTCCACTTGCAGATTCTAGAAAAAGAGGGTTTCAGAGCTGCTCTGTCAAGAGGAAAGTTCAATTCTTGAAGTGGAACACAAACATCACAAAGCAGTTTCTGAGAATGCTCCTGTTTAGTTTTTCTGTGAAGATGAACACGTTTCCAACGAAATCTTCACAGAGGTCCACATATCCACTTGCAGAATCCAAAGAAAGAGAGTTTCAAAACTGCTCCATCAGCAGGATTGTTCACCTCTGTGAGTTGAATGCAGTCATCACAGGAAACATTCTGAGAATGCTTCTGTCTAGGTTTGATGTGAAGATATACCCGTTTCGAAGGAAGGCCACAAAGTGGTCCAAATATCCACTTGCAGATTCTACACAAAGAGTGTTTGAAAGCTGAACTATGAAAGCAAGGTTCAACTCTGTGAGTTGAATGCAAACATCACAAAGAAGTTTCTCACAATGCTTCCGTGTAGTTCTGGGAAGTTTATCCCGTTTCCAACGAAATCCTCAGAGAAGTCCAAATATCCACTTGCAGATTCTACAGAAAGTGGGTTTGGAAACTGCTCCATCTAAAGGAATGTTCAGCTCTGTTAGTTCAATCCAATGATCACTAAGAATTGTCTGTGAATGCTTCCGTTTGGTTTTTAGATGAAGTTATTTCCTTTACTACAGTAGGCCTCAAAGCAATCCAAATCTCCAATCGCAGATTCTACAAAAACATTGTTTACAACCTGCTCTATCTATAGGAATGTTCAACTCTGTGAGTCGAATGCAATCATCACAAAGTAGTTTCTGAGAATGCTTACATCTAGTTTTTATGTGAAGATTTTCCTTTTCCACCACAGGCCACGAAGCCCTCCAAATGTCCACTTGCAGATTCTAGAAAAAGAGGGTTTCAGAGCTGCTCTATCAAGAGGAAAGTTCAATTCTTGAAGTGGAACACAAACATCACAAAGCAGTTTCTGAGAATGCTCCTGTTTAGTTTTTCTGTGAAGATGAACCCGTTTCCAAAGAAATCTTCACAGAGGTCCACATATCCACTTGCAGAATCCAAAGAAAGGAAGTTTCAAAACTGCCCCATCAACAGGATGGTTCACCTCTGTGAGTTGAATGCAGTCATCACAGGAAACATTCTGAGAATGCTTCTGTCTATGTTTGATGTGAAGATATACCCGTTTGGAAGGAAGGCCACAAAGTGGTCCAAATATCCACTTGCAGATTCTACAAAAAGAGTATTTGAAAGCTGAACTATGAAAGCAAGGTTCAAGTCTGTGAGTTGAATGCAAACATCACAAAGAAGTTTCTCAGAATGCTTCCGTGTAGTTCTGGGAATTTTATCCCGTTTCCAACGAAATCTTCAGAGAAGTCCAAATATCCACTTGCAGATTCTACAGAAAGTGTGTTTGGAAACTGCTCCATCTAAAGGAATGTTCAGCTCTGTTAGTTCAATCCAGTGATCACTAAGAATTGTCTGTGAATGTTTCCGTTTGGTTTTTAGATGAAGTTATTTCCTTTACTACAGTAGGCCTCAAAGCAGTCCAAATCTCCAATCGCAGATTCTACAAAAAGATTGTTTACAACCTGCTCTATGTATAGGAATGTTCAACTCTGTGAGTCGAATGCAATCATCACAAAGTAGTTTCTGAGAATGCTTCCATCTAGTTTTTATGTGAAGATTTTCCTTTTCCACCACAGGCCTCAAATCCCTCCAAATGTCCACTTGCAGTTTCTAGAAAAAGAGGGTTTCAGAGCTGCTCTGTCAAGAGGAAAGTTCAATTCTTGAAGTGGAACACAAACATCACAAAGCAGTTTCTGAGAATGCTCCTGTTTAGTTTTTCTGTGAAGATGAACCCGTTTCCAACGAAATCTTCACAGAGTTCAACATATCCACTTGCAGAATCCAAAGAAAGAGAGTTTCAAAACTGCTCCATCAGCAGGATTGTTCACCTCTGTGAGTTGAATGCAGTCATCACAGGAAACATTCTGAGAATGCTTCTGTCTAGGTTTGATGTGAAGATATACCCGTTTCGAAGGAAGGCCACAAAGTGGTCCAAATATCCACTTGCAGATTCTACAAAAAGAGTGTTTGAAAGCTGAACTATGAAAGCAAGGTTCAACTCTGTGAGTTGAATGCAAACATCACAAAGAAGTTTCTCACAATGCTTCCCTGTAGTTCTGGGAAGTTTATCCCGTTTCCAACGAAATCCTCAGAGAAGTCCAAATATCCACTTGCAGATTCTCCAGAAAGTGGGTTTGGAAACTGCGCCATCTAAAGGAATGTTCAGCTCTGTTAGCTCAATCCAATGATCACTAAGAATTGTCTGTGAATGCTTCCGTTTGGTTTTTAGATGAAGTTATTTCCTTTACTACAGTAGGCCTCAAAGCAGTCCAAATCTCCAATCGCAGATTCTACAAAAACATTGTTTACAACCTGCTCTATCTATAGGAATGTTCAACTCTGTGAGTCGAATGCAATCATCACAAAGTAGTTTCTGAGAATGCTTCCATCTAGTTTTTATGTGAAGATTTTCCTTTTCCACCACAGGCCTCAAAGCCCTCCAAATGTCCACTTGCAGATTCTAGAATAAGAGGGTTTTAGAGCTGCTCTGTCAAGAGGAAAGTTCAATTCCTGAAGTGGAACACAAACATCACAAAGCAGTTTCTGAGAATGCTCCTGTTTAGTTTTTCTGTGAAGATGAACCCGTTTCCAACGAAATCTTCACAGAGGTCCACATATCCACTTGTAGAATCCAAAGAAAGAGAGTTTCAAAACTGCTCCATCAGCAGGATTGTTCACCTCTGTGAGTTGAATGCAGTCATCACAGGAAACATTCCGAGAATGCTTCTGTCTAGGTTTGATGTGAAGATATACCCGTTTCGAAGAGAAGGCCATCAAAGTGGTCAAAATATCCACTTGCAGATTCTACAAAAAGAGTGTTTGAAAGCTGAACTATGAAAGCAAGGTTCAACTCTGTGAGTTGAATGCAAACATCCCAAAGAATTTTCTCACAATGCTTCCGTGTAGTTCTGGGAAGTTTATCCCGTTTCCAACGAAATCCTCAGAGAAGTCCAAATATCCACTTGCAGATTCTACAGAAAGTGTGTTTGGAAACTGCTCCATCTAAAGGAATGTTCAGCTCTGTTAGTTCAATCCAATGATCACTAAGAATTGTCTGTGAATGCTTCCGTTTGGTTTTTAGATGAAGTTATTTCCTTTACTACAGTAGACCTCAAAGCAGTCCAAATCTCCAATCGCAGATTCTACAAAAAGATTGTTTACAACCTGCTCTATCTATAGGAATGTTCAACTCCGTGAGTCGAATGCAATCATCACAAAGTAGTTTCTGAGAATGCTTCCATCTAGTTTTTATGTGAAGATTTTCCTTTTCCACCACAGGCCTCAAAGCCCTCCAAATGTCCACTTGCAGATTCTAGAATAAGAGGGTTTCAGAGCTGCTCTGTCAAGAGGAAAGTTCAATTCCTGAAGTGGAACACAAACATCACAAAGCAGTTTCTGAGAATGCTCCTGTTTAGTTTTTCTGTGAAGATGAACCCGTTTCCAACGAAATCTTCACAGAGGTCCACATATCCACTTGCAGAATCCAAAGAAAGAGAGTTTCAAAACTGCTCCATCAGCAGGATTGTTCACCTCTGTGAGTTGAATGCAGTCATCACAGGAAACATTCTGAGAATGCTTCTGTCTAGGTTTGATGTGAAGATATACCCGTTTCGAAGGAAGGCCACAAAGTGGTCCAAATATCCACTTGCAGATTCTACAAAAAGAGTGTTTGAAAGCTGAACTATGAAAGCAAGGTTCAACTCTGTGAGTTGAATGCAAACATCACAAAGAAGTTTCTCACAATGCTTCCGTGTAGTTCTGGGAAGTTTATCCCATTTCCAACGAAATCCTCAGAGAAGTCCAAATATCCACTTGCAGATTCTACAGAAAGTTTGTTTGGAAACTGCCCCATCTAAAGGAATGTTCAGCTCTGTTAGTTCAATCCAATGATCACTAAGAATTGTCTGTGAATGCTTCCGTTTGGTTTTTAGATGAAGTTATTTCCTTTACTACAGTAGGCCTCAAAGCAGTCCAAATCTCCAATCGCAGATTCTACAAAAAGATTGTTTACAACCTGCTCTATCTATAGGAATGTTCAACTCTGTGAGTCGAATGCAATCATCACAAAGTAGTTTCTGAGAATGCTTCCATAAAGTTTTTATGTGAAGATTTTCCTTTTCCACCACAGGCCTCAAAGCCCTCCAAATGTCCACTTGCAGATTCTAGAAAAAGAGGGTTTCAGAGCTGCTCTGTCAAGAGGAAAGTTCAATTCTTTAAGTGGAACACAAACATCACAAAGCAGTTTCTGAGAATGCTTCTGTTTAGTTTTTCTGTGAAGATGAACCAGTTTCCAACGAAATCTTCACAGAGGTCCACATATCAACTTGCAGAATCCAAAGAAAGAGAGTTTCAAAACTGCTCCATCAACAGGATTGTTCACCTCTGTGAGTTGAATGCAGTCATCACAGGAAACATTCTGAGAATGCTTCTGTCTAGGTTTGATGTGAAGATATACCCGCTTCGAACGAAGGACACAAAGTGGTCCAAATATCCACTTGCAGATTCTACTAAAAGAGTGTTTCAAACCTGAACTATCAAAGGAAGGTTCAACACTGTGAGTTGAATGCAAACATCACAAAGAAGTTTCGGAGAATGCTTCCGTGTAGTTCTGGGAAGTTTATCCCGTTTCCAACGAAATCCTCAGAGAAGTCCAAATATCCACTTGCAGATTCTACAGAAAGTGGGTTTGGAAACTGCTCCATCTAAAGGAATGTTCAGCTCTGTTAGTTCAATCCAATGATCACTAAGAATTGTCTGTGAATGCTCCCGTTTGGTTTTTAGATGAAGTTATTTCCTTTACTACAGTAGGCCTCAAAGCAGTCCAAATCTCCAATCGCAGATTCTACAAAAAGATTGTTTACAACCTGCTCTATCTATAGGAATGTTCAACTCTGTGAGTCGAATGCAATCATCACAAAGTAGTTTCTGAGAATGCTTTCCATCTAGTTTTTATGTGAAGATTTTTCCTTTTCCACCACAGGCCTCAAATCCCTCCAAATGTCCACTTGCAGATTCTAGAAAAAGAGGGTTTCAGAGCTGCTCTGTCAAGAGGAAATTTCAATTCTTGAAGTGGAACACAAACATCACAAAGCAGTTTCTGAGAATGCTCCTGTTTAGTTTTTCTGTGAAGATGAACTCGTTTCCAACGAAATCTTCACAGAGGTCCACATATCCACTTGCAGAATCCAAAGAAAGAGAGTTTCAAAACTGCTCCGTCAGCAGGATTGTTCACCTCTGTGAGTTGAATGCAGTCATCACAGGAAACATTCTGAGAATGCTTCTGTCTAGGTTTGATGTGAAGATATACCCGTTTCGAAGGAAGGCCACAAAGTGGTCCAAATATCCACTTGCAGATTCTACAAAAAGAGTGTTTGAAAGCTGAACAATGAAAGCAGGGTTCAACTCTGTGAGTTGAATGCAAACATCCAAAGAAGTTTCTCAGAATGCTTCCCTGTAGTTCTGGGAAGTTTATCCCGTTTCCAACGAAATCCTCAGAGAATTCCAAATATCCACTTGCAGATTCTACAGAAAGTGGGTTTGGAAACTGCTCCATCTAAAGGAATGTTCAGCTCTGTTAGTTCAATCCAATGATCACTAAGAATTGTCTGTGAATGCTTCCGTTTGGTTTTTAGATGAAGTTATTTCCTTTACTACAGTAGGCCTCAAAGCAGTCCAAATCTCCAATCGCAGATTCTACAAAAAGATTGTTTACAACCTGCTCTATCTATAGGAATGTTCAACTCTGTGAGTCGAATGCAATCATCACAAAGTAGTTTCTGAGAATGCTTCCATCTAGTTTTTATGTGAAGATTTTCCTTTTCCACCACAGGCCTCAAAGCCCTCCAAATGTCCACTTGCAGATTCTAGAAAAAGAGGGTTTCAGAGCTGCTCTGTCAAGAGGAAAGTTCAATTCTTGAAGTGGAACACAAACATCACAAAGCAGTTTCTGAGAATGATCCTGTTTAGTTTTTCTGTGAAGATGAACCCGTTTCCAACGAAATCTTCACAGAGGTCCACATATCCACTTGCAGAATCCAAAGAAAGAGAGTTTCAAAACTGCTCCATCAGCAGGATTGTTCACCTCTGTGAGTTGAATGCAGTCATCACAGGAAACATTCTGAGAATGCTTCTGTCTAGGTTTGATGTGAAGATATACCCGTTTCGAAGGAAGGCCACAAAGTGGTCCAAATATCCACTTGCAGATTCTACAAAAAGAGTGTTTGAAAGCTGAACTATGAAAGCAAGGTTCAACTCTGTGAGTGGAATGCAAACATCACAAAGAAGTTTCTCAGCATGCTTCCGTGTAGTTCTGGGAAGTTTATCCCGTTTCCAACGAAATCCTCAGAGAAGTCCAAATATCCACTTGCAGATTCTACAGAAAGTGGGTTTGGAAACTGCTCCATCTAAAGGAATGTTCAGCTGTGTTAGTTCAATCCATTGATCACTAAGAATTGTCTGTGAATGCTTCCGTTTGGTTTTTAGATGAAGTTATTTCCTTTACTACAGTAGGCCTCAAAGCAGTCCAAATCTCCAATCGCAGATTCTACAAAAAGATTGTTTACAACCTGCTCTATCTATAGGAATGTTCAACTCTGTGAGTCGAATGCAATCATCACAAAGTAGTTTCTGAGAATGCTTCCATCTAGTTTTTATGTGAAGATTTTCCTTTTCCACCACAGGCCTCAAAGCCCTCCAAATGTCCACTTGCAGATTCTAGAAAAAGAGGGTTTCAGAGCTGCTCTGTCAAGAGGAAAGTTCAATTCTTGAAGTGGAACAGAAACATCACAAAGCAGTTTCTGGGAATGCTTCTGTTTAGTTTTTCTGTGAAGATGAACCCGTTTCCAACGAAATCTTCACAGAGGTCCACATATCCACTTGCAGAATCCAAAGAAAGAGAGTTTCAAAACTGCTCCATCAGCAGGATTGTTCACCTCTGTGAGTTGAATGCAGTCATCACAGGAAACATTCTGAGAATGCTTCTGTCTAGGTTTGATGTGAAGATATACCCGTTTCGAAGGAAGGCCACAAAGTGGTCCAAATATCCACTTGCAGATTCTACAAAAAGAGTGTTTGAAAGCTGAACTATGAAAGCAAGGTTCAACTCTGTGAGTTGCATGCAAACATCACAAAGAAGTTTCTCAGAATGCTTCCGTGTAGTTCTGGGAAGTTTATCCCGTTTCCAACGAAATCCTCAGAGAAGTCCAAATATCCACTTGCAGATTCTACAGAAAGTGTGTTTGGAAACTGCTCCATCTAAAGGAATGTTCAGCTCTGTTAGTTCAATCCAATGATCACTAAGAATTTTCTGGGAATGCTTCCGTTTGGTTTTTAGATGAAGTTATTTCCTTTACTACAGTAGGCCTCAAAGCAGTACAAATCTCCAATCGCAGATTCTACAAAAAGATTGTTTTCACCCTGCTCTATCTATAGGAATGTTCAACTCTGTGAGTCGAATGCAATCATCACAAAGTAGTTTCTGAGAATGCTTCCATCTAGTTTTTATGTGAAGATTTTCCTTTTCCACCACAGGCCTCAAAGCCCTCCAAATGTCCACTTGCAGATTCTAGAATAAGAGGGTTTCAGAGCTGCTCTGTCAAGAGGAAAGTTCAATTCCTGAAGTGGAACACAAACATCACAAAGCAGTTTCTGAGAATGCTCCTGTTTAGTTTTTCTGTGAAGATGAACCCGTTTCCAACGAAATCTTCACAGAGGTCCACATATCCACTTGCAGAATCCAAAGAAAGAGAGTTTCAAAACTGCTCCATCAGCAGGATTGTTCACCTCTGTGAGTTGAATGCAGTCATCACAGGAAACATTCTGAGAATGCTTCTGTCTAGGTTTGATGTGAAGATATACCCGTTTCGAAGGAAGACCACAAATGGTCCAAATATCCACTTGCAGATTCTACAAAAAGAGTGTTTGAAAGCTGAACTATGAAAGCAAGGTTCAACTCTGTGTGTTGAATGCAAACTTCACAAAGAAGTTTCTCAGAATGCTTCCGTGTAGTTCTGGGAAGTTTATCCCGTTTCCAACGAAATCCTCAGAGAGGTCCAAATATCCACTTGCAGATTCTACAGAAACTGTGTCTGGAAACTGAGCCATCTAAAGGAATGTTCAGCTCTGTTAGTTCAATCCAATGATCACTAAGAATTGTCTGTGAATGCTTCCGTTTGGTTTTTAGATGAAGTTATTTCCTTTACTACAGTAGGCCTCAAAGCAGTCCAAATCTCCAATCGCAGATTCTACAAAAAGATTGTTTACAACCTGCTCTATCTATAGGAATGTTCAACTCTGTGAGTCGAATGCAATCATCACAAAGTAGTTTCTGAGAATGCTTCCATCTAGTTTTATGTGAAGATTTTCCTTTTCCACCACAGGCCTCAAAGCCCTCCAAATGTCCACTTGCAGATTCTAGAATAAGAGGGTTTCAGAGCTGCTCTGTCAAGAGGAAAGTTCAATTCCTGAATTGGAACACAAACATAACAAAGCAGTTTCTGAGAATGCTCCTGTTTACTTTTTCTGTGAAGATGAACCCGTTTCCAACGAAATCTTCACAGAGGTCCACATATCCACTTGCAGAATCCAAAGAAAGAGAGTTTCAAAACAGCTCCATCAGCAGGATTGTTCACCTCTGTGAGTTGAATGCAGTCATCACTGGAAACATTCTGAGAATGCTTCTGTCTAGGTTTGATGTGAAGATATACCCGTTTCGAAGGAAGGCCACAAAGTGCTCCAAATATCCACTTGCAGATTCTACAAAAAGAGTGTTTGAAAGCTGAACTATGAAAGCAAGGTTCAACTCTGTGTGTTGAATGCAAACTTCACAAAGAAGTTTCTCAGAATGCTTCCGTGTAGTTCTGGGAAGTTTATCCCGTTTCCAACGAAATCCTCAGAGAGGTCCAAATATCCACTTGCAGATTCTACAGAAAGTGTGTTTGGAAACTGCGCCATCTAAAGGAATGTTCAGCTCTGTTAGTTCAATGCAATGATCACTAAGGATTGTCTGTGAATGCTTCCGTTTGGTTTTTAGATGAAGTTATTTCCTTTACTACAGTAGGCCTCAAAGCAGTCCAAATCTCCAATCGCAGATTCTACAAAAAGATTGTTTACAACCTGCTCTATGTATAGGAATGTTCAACTCTGTGAGTCGAATGCAATCATCACAAAGTAGTTTCTGAGAATGCTTCCATCTAGTTTTTATGTGAAGATTTTCCTTTTCCACCACAGGCCTCAAAGCCCTCCAAATGTCCACTTGCAGATTCTAGAATAAGAGGGTTTTAGAGCTGCTCTGTCAAGAGGAAAGTTCAATTCCTGAAGTGGAACACAAACATCACAAAGCAGTTTCTGAGAATGCTCCTGTTTAGTTTTTCTGTGAAGATGAACCCGTTTCCAACGAAATCTTCACAGAGGTCCACATATCAACTTGCAGAATCCAAAGAAAGAGAGTTTCAAAACTGCTCCATCAGCAGGATTGTTCACCTCTGTGAGTTGAATGCAGTCATCACAGGAAACATTCTGAGAATGCTTCTGTCTAGGTTTGATGTGAAGATATACCCGTTTCGAAGGAAGGCAACAAAGTGGTCCAAATATCCAATTGCAGATTCTACAAAAAGAGTGTTTGAAAGCTGAACTATGAAAGCAAGGTTCAACTCTCGTGAGTTGAATGCAAACATCACAAAGAAGTTTCTGAGAATGCTTCCGTGTAGTTCTGGGAAGTTTATCCCGTTTCCAACGAAATCCTCAGAGAGGTCCAAATATCCACTTGCAGATTCTATAGAAAGTGTGTTTGGAAACTGCGCCATCTAAATGAGTGTTCACCTCTCTTAGTTCAATCCAATGATCACTAAGAATTGTCTGTGAATGCTTCCGTTTGGTTTTTAGATGAAGTTATTTCCTTTACTACAGTAGGCCTCAAAGCAGTCCAAATCTCCAATCGCAGATTCTACAAAAAGATTGTTTACAACCTGCTCTATCTATAGGAATGTTCAACTCTGTGAGTCGAATGCAATCATCACAAAGTAGTTTCTGAGAATGCTTCCATCTAGTTTTTATGTGAAGATTTTCGTTTTCCACCACAGGCATCAAAGCCCTCCAAATGTCCACTTGCAGATTCTAGAAGAAGAGGGTTTCAGAGCTGCTCTGTCAAGAGGAAAGTTCAATTCTTGAAGTGGAACACAAACATCACAAAGCAGTTTCTGAGAATGCTTCTGTTTAGTTTTTCTGTGAAGATGAACCCGTTTCCAACGAAATCTTCACAGAGGTCCACATATCAACTTGCAGAATCCAAAGAAAGAGAGTTTCAAAACTGGTCCATCAGCAGGATTGTTCACCTCTGTGAGTTGAATGCAGTCATCACAGGAAACATTCTGAGAATGCTTCTGTCTAGGTTTGATGTGAAGATATACCCGTTTCGAAGGAAGGCCACAAAGTGGTCCAAATATCCACTTGCAGATTCTACAAAAAGAGTGTTTGAAAGCTGAACTATGAAAGCAAGGTTCAACTCTGTGAGTTGAATGCAAACATCACAAAGAAGTTTCTCAGAATGCTTCCGTGTAGTTCTGGGAAGTTTATCCCGTTTCCAACGAAATCCTCAGAGAGGTCCAAATATCCACTTGCAGATTCTACAGAAAGTGTGTTTGGAAACTGCTCCATCTAAAGGAATGTTCAGCTCTGTTAGTTCAATCCAATGATCACTAAGAATTGTCTGTGAATGCTTCCGTTTGGTTTTTAGATGAAGTTATTTCCTTTACTACAGTAGGCCTCAAAGCAGTCCAAATCTCCAATCGCAGATTCTACAAAAAGATTGTTTACAACCTGCTCTATCTATAGGAATGTTCAACTCTGTGAGTCGAATGCAATCATCACAAAGTAGTTTCTGAGAATGCTTCCATCTAGTTTTTATGTGAAGATTTTCCTTTTCCACCACAGGCCTCAAAGCCCTCCAAATGTCCACTTGCAGATTCTAGAAAAAGAGGGTTTCAGAGCTGCTCTGTCAAGAGGAAAGTTCAATTCTTGAAGTGGAACACAAACATCACAAAGTAGTTTCTGAGAATGCTCCTGTTTAGTTTTTCTGTGAAGATGAACCCGTTTCCAACGAAATCTTCACAGAGGTCCACATATCCACTTGCAGAATCCAAAGAAAGAGAGTTTCAAAACTGCTCCATCAGCAGGATTGTTCACCTCTGTGAGTTGAATGCAGTCATCACAGGAAACATTCTGAGAATGCTTCTGTCTAGGTTTGATGTGAAGATATACCCGTTTCGAAGGAAGGCCACAAAGTGGTCCAAATATCCACTTGCAGATTCTACAAAAAGAGTGTTTGAAAGCTGAACTATGAAAGCAAGGTTCAACTCTGTGAGTTGAATGCAAACATCACAAAGAAGTTTCTCAGAATGCTTCCGTGTAGTTCTGGGAAGTTTATCCCGTTTCCAACGAAATCCTCAGAGAAGTCCAAATATCCACTTGCAGATTCTACAGAAAGTGGGTTTGGAAACTGCTCCATCTAAAGGAATGTTCAGCTCTGTTAGTTCAATCCAATGATCACTAAGAATTGTCTGTGAATGCTTCCGTTTGGTTTTTAGATGAAGTTATTTCCTTTACTACAGTAGGCCTCAAAGCAGTCCAAATCTCCAATCGCAGATTCTACAAAAAGATTGTTTACAACCTGCTCTATCTATAGGAATGTTCAACTCTGTGAGTCGAATGCAATCATCACAAAGTAGTTTCTGAGAATGCTTCCATCTAGTTTTTATGTGAAGATTTTCCTTTTCCACCACAGGCCTCAAAGCCCTCCAAATGTCCACTTGCAGATTCTAGAATAAGAGGATTTCAGAGCTGCTCTGTCAAGAGGAAAGTTCAATTCCTGAAGTGGAACACAAACATCACAAAGCAGTTTCTGAGAATGCTTCTGTTTAGTTTTTCTGTGAAGATGAACCCGTTTCCAACGAAATCTTCACAGAGGTCCACATATCCACTTGCAGAATCCAAAGAAAGAGAGTTTCAAAACTGCTCCATCAGCAGGATTGTTCACCTCTGTGAGTTGAATGCAGTCATCACTGGAAACATTCTGAGAATGCTTCTGTCTAGGTTTGATGTGAAGATATACCCGTTTCGAAGGAAGGCCACAAAGTGGTCCAAATATCCACTTGCAGATTCTACAAAAAGAGTGTTTGAAAGCTGAACTATGAAAGCAAGGTTCAACTCTGTGAGTTGAATGCAAACATCACATAGAAGTTTCTCAGAATGCTTCCGTGTAGTTCTGGGAAGTTTATCCCGTTTCCAACGAAATCCTCAGAGAAGTCCAAATATCCACTTGCAGATTCTACAGAAAGTGGGTTTGGAAACTGCTCCATCTAAAGGAATGTTCAGCTCTGTTAGTTCAATGCAATGATCACTAAGAATTGTCTGTGAATGCTTCCGTTTGGTTTTTAGATGAAGTAATTTCCTTTACTACAGTAGGCCTCAAAGCAGTCCAAATCTCTAATCGCAGATTCTTGAAAAAGATTGTTTACAACCTGCTCTATCTATAGGAATGTTCAACTCTGTGAGTCGAATGCAATCATCACAAAGTAGTTTCTGAGAATGCTTCCATCTAGTTTTTATATGAAGAGTTTCCTTTTCCACCACAGGCCTCAAAGCCCACCAAATGTCCACTTGCAGATTCTAGAAAAAGAGGGTTTCAGAGCGGTTCTGTCAAGAGGAAAGTTCAATTCTTGAAGTGGAACACAAACATCACAAAGCAGTTTCTGAGAATGCTTCTGTTTAGTTTTTCTGTGAAGATGAACCCGTTTCCAACGAAATCTTCACAGAGGTCCACATATCCACTTGCAGAATCCAAAGAAAGAGAGTTTCAAAACAGCTCCATCAGCAGGATTGTTCACCTCTGTGAGTTGAATGCAGTCATCACAGGAAACATTCTGAGAATGCTTCTGTCTAGGTTTGATGTGAAGATATACCCGTTTCGAAGGAAGGCCACAAAGTGGTCCAAATATCCACTTGCAGATTCTACAAAAAGAGTGTTTGAAAGCTGAACTATGAAAGCAAGGTTCAACTCTGTGAGTTGAATGCAAACATCACAAAGAAGTTTCTCACAATGCTTCCCTGTAGTTCTGGGAAGTTTATCCCGTTTCCAACGAAATCCTCAGAGAAGTCCAAATATCCACTTGCAGATTCTACAGAAAGTGGGTTTGGAAACTGCTCCATCTAAAAGAATGTTCAGCTCTGTTAGTTCAATCCAATGATCACTAAGAATTGTCTGTGAATGCTTCCGTTTGGTTTTTAGATGAAGTAATTTCCTTTACTAAAGTAGGCCTCAAAGCAGTCCAAATCTCCAATCGCAGATTCTACAAAAAGATTGTTTACAACCTGCTCTATCTATAGGAATGTTCAACTCTGTGAGTCGAATGCAATCATCACAAAGAAGTTTCTGTGAATGCTTCCATCTAGTTTTTATGTGAATATTTTCCTTTTCCACCACAGGCCTCAAAGCCCTCCAAATGTCCACTTGCAGATTCTAGAAAAAGAGGGTTTCAGAGCTGCTCTGTCAAGAGGAAAGTTCAATTCTTTAAGTGGAACACAAACATCACAAAGCAGTTTCTGAGAATGCTTCTGTTTAGTTTTTCTGTGAAGATGAACCCGTTTCCAACGAAATCTTCACAGAGGTCCACATATCCACTTGCAGAATCCAAAGAAAGAGAGTTTCAAAACTGCTCCATCAGCAGCATTGTTCACCTCTGTGAGTTGAATGCAGTCATCACAGGAAACATTCTGAGAATGCTTCTGTCTAGGTTTGATGTGAAGATATACCCGTTTCGAAGGAAGGCCACAAAGTGGTCCAAATATCCTCTTGCAGATTCTACAAAAAGAGTGTTTGAAATCTGAACTATGAAAGCAAGGTTCAACTCTGTGAGTTGAATGCAAAAATCACAAAGAAGTTTCTCAGAATGCTTCCGTGTAGTTCTGGGAAGTTTATCCCGTTTCCAACGAAATCCTCAGAGAGGTCCAAATATCCACTTGCAGATTCTACAGAAAGTGTGTTTGGAAACTGCTCCATCTAAAGGAATGTTCAGCTCTGTTAGTTCAATCCAATGATCACTAAGAATTGTCTGTGAATGCTTCCGTTTGGTTTTTAGATGAAGTTATTTCCTTTACTACAGTAGGCCTCAAAGCAGTCCAAATCTCCAATCGCAGATTCTACAAAAACATTGTTTACAACCTGCTCTATCTATAGGAATGTTCAACTCTGTGAGTCGAATGCAATCATCACAAAGTAGTTTCTGAGAATGCTTCCATCTAGTTTTTATGTGAAGATTTTCCTTTTCCACCACAGGCCTCAAAGCCCTCCAAATGTCCACTTGCAGATTCTAGAAAAAGAGGGTTTCAGAGCTGCTCTGTCAAGAGGAAAGTTCAATTCTTGAAGTGGAACACAAACATCACAAAGCAGTTTCTGAGAATGTTTCTTTTTAGTTTTTCTGTGAAGATGAACCCGTTTCCAACGAAATCTTCACAGAGGTCCACATATCCACTTGCAGAAACCAAAGAAAGAGAGTTTAAAAACTGCTCCATCAGCAGGATTGTTCACCTCTGTGAGTTGAATGCAGTCATCACAGGAAACATTCTGAGAATGCTTCTGTCTAGGTTTGATGTGAAGATATACCCGTTTCGAAGGAAGGCCACAAAGTGGTCCAAATATCCACTTGCAGATTCTACAAAAAGAGTGTTTGAAAGCTGAACTATGAAAGCAAGGTTCAACTCTGTGAGTTGAATGCAAACATCACAAAGAAGTTTCTCAGAATGCTTCCGTGTAGTTCTGGGAAGTTTATCCCGTTTCCAACGAAATCCTCAGAGAAGTCCAAATATCCACTTGCAGATTCTACAGAAATTGTGTTTGGAAACTGCTCCATCTAAAGGAATGTTCAGCTCTGTTAGTTCAATCCAATGATCACTAAGAATTGTCTGTGAATGCTTCCGTTTGGTTTTTAGATGAAGTTATTTCCTTTACTACAGTAGGCCTCAAAGCAGTCCAAATCTCCAATCGCAGATTCTACCAAAAGGTTGTTTACAACCTGCTCTATCTATAGGAATGTTCAACTCTGTGAGTCGAATGCAATCATCACAAAGTAGTTTCTGAGAATGCTTCCATAAAGTTCTTATGTGAAGATTTTCCTTTTCCACCACAGGCCTCAAAGCCCTCCAAATGTCCACTTGCAGATTCTAGAAAAAGAGGGTTTCAGAGCTGCTCTGTCAAGAGGAAAGTTCAATTCTTGAAGTGGAACACAAACATCACAATGCAGTTTCTGAGAATGCTTCTGTTTACTTTTTCTGTGAAGATGAACCCGTTTCCAACGAAATCTTCACAGAGGTCCACATATCAACTTGCAGAATCCAAAGAAAGAGAGTTTCAAAAGTGCTCCATCAACAGGATTGTTCACCTCTGTGAGTTGAATGCAGTCATCACAGGAAACATTCTGAGAATGCTTCTGTCTAGGTTTGATGTGAAGATATACCCGTTTCGAAGGAAGGCCTCAAAGTGGTCCAAATATCCACTTGCAGATTCTACAAAAAGAGTATTTGAAAGCTGAACTATGAAAGCAAGGTTCAACTCTGTGAGTTGAATGCAAACATCACAAAGAAGTTTCTCACAATGCTTCCGTGTAGTTCTGGGAAGTTTATCCCGTTTCCAACGAAATCCTCAGAGAAGTCCAAATATCCACTTGCAGATTCTACAGAAAGTGGGTTTGGCAACTGCTCCATCTAAAGGAAATGTTCAGCTCTGTTAGTTCAATCCAATGATCCCTAAGAATTGTCTGTGAATGCTTCCGTTTGGTTTTTAGATGAAGTTATTTCCTTTACTACAGTAGGCCTCAAAGCAGTCCAAATCTCCAATCGCAGATTCTACAAAAAGATTGTTTACAACCTGCTCTATCTATAGGAATGTTCAACTCTGTGAGTCGAATGCAATCATCACAAAGTAGTTTCTGAGAATGCTTCCATCTAGTTTTTATGTGAAGATTTTCCTTTTCCACCACAGGCCTAAAAGCCCTCCAAATGTCCACTTGCAGATTCTAGAAAAAGAGTGTTTCAGAGCTGCTCTGTCAAGAGGAAAGTTCAATTCTTGAAGTGTAACACAAACATCACAAAGCAGTTTCTGAGAATGCTTCTGTTTAGTTTTTCTGTGAAGATGAACCCGTTTCCAATGAAATCTTCATAGAGGTCCACATATCCACTTGCAGAATCCAAAGAAAGAGAGTTTCAAAACTGCTCCATCAACAGGATTGTTCACCTCTGTGAGTTGAATGCAGTCATCACAGGAAACATTCTGAGAATGCTTTCTGTCTAGGTTTGATGTGAAGATATACCCCTTTCGAAGGAAGGCCACAAAGTGGTCCAAATATCCACTTGCAGATTCTACAAAAATAGTGTTTGAAAGCTGAATTATGAAAGCAAGGTTCAACTCTGTGAGTTGAATGCAAACATCACAAAGAAGTTTCTCAGAATGCTTCCGTGTAGTTCTGGGAATTTTATCCCGTTTCCATCGAAATCCTCAGAGAAGTCCAAATATCCACTTGCAGATTCTACAGAAAGTGTGTTTGGAAACTGCTCCATCTAAAGGAATGTTCAGCTCTGTTAGTTCAATGCAATTATCACTAAGAATTGTCTGTGAATGCTTCCGTTTGGTTTTTAGATGAAGTTATTTCCTTTACTACAGTAGGCCTCAAAGCAGTCCAAATCTCCAATCGCAGATTCTACAAAAAGATTGTTTACAACCTGCTCTATCTATAGGAATGTTCAACTCTGTGAGTCGAATGCAATCATCACAAAGTAGTTTCTGAGAATGCTTCCATCTAGTTTTTATGTGAAGATTTTCCTTTTCCACCACAGGCCTCAAAGCCCTCCAAATGTCCACTTGCAGATTCTAGAATAAGAGGGTTTCAGAGCTGCTCTGTCAAGAGGAAAGTTCAAGTCCTGAAGTGGAACACAAACATCACAAAGCAGTTTCTGAGAATGCTCCTGTTTAGTTTTTCTGTGAAGATGAACCCGTTTCCAACGAAATCTTCACAGTAGGTCCACATATCCACTTGCAGAATCCAAAGAAAGAGAGTTTCAAAACTGCTCCATCAACAGGATTGTTCACCTCTGTGAGTTGAATGCAGTCATCACAGGAAACATTCTGAGAATGCTTCTGTCTAGGTTTGATGTGAAGATATACCCGTTTCGAAGGAAGGCCACAAAGTGGTCCAAATATGCACTTGCAGATTCTACAAAAAGAGTGTTTTAAAGCTGAACTATGAAAACAAGGTTCAAGTCTGTGAGTTGAATGCAAACATCACAAAGAAGTTTCTCACAATGCTTCCGTGTAGTTCTGGGAAGTTTATCCCGTTTCCAACGAAATCCTCAGAGAAGTCCAAATATCCACTTGCAGATTCTACAGAAAGTGTGTTTGGAAACTGCTCCATCTAAAGGAATGTTCAGCTCTGTTAGTTCAATCCAATGATCAGTAAGAATTGTCTGTGAATGCTTCCGTTTGGTTTTTAGATGAAGTTATTTCCTTTACTACAGTAGGCCTCAAAGCAGTCCAAATCTCCAATCGCAGATTCTACAAAAAGATTGTTTACAACCTGCTCTATCTATAGGAATGTTCAACTCTGTGAGTCGAATGCAATCATCACAAAGTAGTTTCTGAGAATGCTTCCATCTAGTTTTTATGTGAAGATTTTCCTTTTCCACCACAGGCCTCAAAGCCCTCCAAATGTCCACTTGCAGATTCTAGAAAAAGAGGGTTTCAGAGCTGCTCTGTCAAGAGGAAAGTTCAATTCTTGAAGTGGAACACAAACATCACAAAGCAGTTTCTGAGAATGCTCCTGTTTAGTTTTTCTGTGAAGATGAACCCGTTTCCAACGAAATCTTCACAGAGGTCCACATATCCACTTGCAGAATCCAAAGAAAGAGAGTTTAAAAACTGCTCCATCAGCAGGATTGTTCACCTCTGTGAGTTGAATGCAGTCATCACAGGAAACATTCTGAGAATGCTTCTGCCTAGGTTTGATGTGAAGATATACCCGTTTCGAAGGAAGGCCACAAAGTGGTCCAAATATCCACTTGCAGATTCTACAAAAAGAGTGTTTGAAAGCTGAACTATGAAAGCAAGGTTCAACTCTGTGAGTTGAATGCAAACATCACAAAGAAGTTTCTCACAATGCTTCCCTGTAGTTCTGGGAAGTTTATCCCGTTTCCAAAGAAATCCTCAGAGAAGTCCAAATATCCACTTGCAGATTCTACAGAAAGTGGTTTTGGAAACTGCTCCATCTAAAGGAATGTTCAGCTCTGTTAGTTCAATCCAATGATCACTAAGAATTGTCTGTGAATGCTTCCGTTTGGTTTTTAGATGAAGTTATTTCCTTTACTACAGTAGGCCTCAAAGCAGTCCAAATCTCCAATCGCAGATTCTACAAAAAGATTGTTTACAACCTGCTCTATCTATAGGAATGTTCAACTCTGTGAGTCGAATGCAATCATCACAAAGTAGTTTCTGAGAATGCTTCCATCTAGTTTTTATGTGAAGATTTTCCTTTTCCACCACAGGCCTCAAAGCCCTCCAAATGTCCACTTGCAGATTCTAGAATAAGAGGGTTTCAGAGCTGCTCTGTCAAGAGGAAAGTTCAATTCCTGAAGTGGAACACAAACATCACAAAGCAGTTTCTGAGAATGCTCCTGTTTAGTTTTTCTGTGAAGATGAACCCGTTTCCAACGAAATCTTCACAGAGGTCCACATATCCACTTGCAGAATCCAAAGAAAGAGAGTTTCAAAACTGCTCCATAAGCAGGATTGTTCACCTCTGTGAGTTGAATGCAGTCATCACAGGAAACATTCTGAGAATTCTTCTGTCTAGGTTTGATGTGAAGATATACCCGTTTCGAAGGAAGGCCCCAAAGTGGTCCAAATATCCACTTGCAGATTCTACAAAAAGAGTGTTTGAAAGCTGAACTATGAAAGCAAGGTTCAACTCTGTGAGTTGAATGCAAACATCACAAAGAAGTTTCTCAGAATGCTTCCGTGTAGTTCTGGGAAGTTTATCCCGCTTCCAAAGAAATCCTCAGAGAAGTCCAAATATCCACTTGCAGATTCTACAGAAAGTGGGTTTGGAAACTGCTCCATCTAAAGGAATATTCAGCTCTGTTAGTTCAATCCAATGATCACTAAGAATTGTCCGTGAATGCTTCCGTTTGGTTTTTAGATGAAGTTATTTCCTTTACTACAGTAGGCCTCAAAGCAGTCCAAATCTCCAATCGCAGATTCTACAAAAAGATTGTTTACAACCTGCTCTATCTATAGGAATGTTCAACTCTGTGAGTCGAATGCAATCATCACAAAGTAGTTTCTGAGAATGCTTCCGTCTAGTTTTTATGTGAAGATTTTCCTTTTCCACCACAGGCCTCAAAGCCCTCCAAATGTCCACTTGCAGATTCTAGAATAAGAGGGTTTCAGAGCTGCTCTGTCAAGAGGAAAGTTCAATTCCTGAAGTGGAACACAAACATCACAAAGCAGTTTCTGAGAATGCTCCTGTTTAGTTTTTCTGTGAAGATGAACCCGTTTCCAACGAAATCTTCAGAGAGGTCCACATATCCACTTGCAGAATCCAAAGAAAGAGAGTTTCAAAACTGCTCCATCAACAGGATTGTTCACATCTGTGAGTTGAATGCAGTCATCACAGGAAACATTCTGAGAATGCTTCTGTCTAGGTTTGATGTGAAGATATACCCTTTTCAAAGGAAGGCCACAAAGTGGTCCAAATATCCACTTGCAGATTCTACAAAAAGAGTGTTTGAAAGCTGAACTATGAAAGCAAGGTTCAACTCTGTGAGTTGAATGCAAACATCACACAGAAGTTTCTCAAAATGCTTCCGTGTAGTTCTGGGAAGTTTAGCCCGTTTCCAACGAAATCCTCAGAGAGGTCCAAATATCCAGTGGCAGATTCTACAGAAAGTGTGTTTGGAAACTGCGCCATCTAAAGGAATGTTCAGCTCTGTTAGTTCAATCCAATGATCACTAAGAATTGTCTGTGAATGCTTCCGTTTTGTTTTTAGATGAAGTTATTTCCTTTACTACAGTAGGCCTCAAAGCAGTCCAAATCTCCAATCTCAGATTCTACAAAAAGATTGTTTACAACCTGCTCTATCTATAGGAATGTTCAACTCTGCGAGTCGAATGCAATCATCACAAAGTAGTTTCTGAGAATGCTTCCATCTAGTTTTTATGTGAAGATTTTCCTTTTCCACCACAGGCCTCAAAGCCCTCCAAATGTCCACTTGCAGATTCTAGAATAAGAGGATTTCAGAGCTGCTCTGTCAAGAGGAAAGTTCAATTCCTGAAGTGGAACACAAACATGACAAAGCAGTTTCTGAGAATGCTTCTGTTTAGTTTTTCTGTGAAGATGAACCCGTTTCCAACGAAATCTTCACAGAGGTCCACATATCCACTTGCAGAATCCAAAGAAAGAGAGTTTCAAAACTGCTCCATCAGCAGGATTGTTCACCTCTGTGAGTTGAATGCAGTCATCACAGGAAACATTCTGAGAATGCTTCTGTCTAGGTTTGATGTGAAGATATACCCGTTTCGAAGGAAGGCCAGAAAGTGGTCCAAATATCCACTTGCAGATTCTACAAAAAGAGTGTTTGAAAGCTGAACTATGAAAGCAAGGTTCAACTCTGTGAGTTGAATGCAAACATCACAAAGAAGTTTCTCAGAATGCTTCCGTGTAGTTCTGGGAAGTTTATCCCGTTTCCAACGAAATCCTCAGAGAGGTCCAAATATCCACTTGCAGATTCTACAGAAAGTGTGTTTGGAAACTGCTCCATCTAAAGGAATGTTCAGCTCTGTTAGTTCAATCCAATGATCACTAAGAATTGTCTGTGAATGCTTCCGTTTGGTTTTTAGATGAAGTTATTTCCTTTACTACAGTAGGCCTCAAAGCAGTCCAAATCTCCAATCGCAGATTCTACAAAAAGATTGTTTACTACCTGCTCTATCTATAGGAATGTTCAACTCTGTGAGTCGAATGCAATCATCGCAAAGTAGTTTCTGAGAATGCTTCCATCTAGTTTTTATGTGAAGATTTTCCTTTTCCACCACAGGCCTCAAAGCCCTCCAAATGTCCACTTGCAGATTCTAGAAAAAGAGGGTTTCAGAGCTGCTCTGTCAAGAGGAAAGTTCAATTCTTGAAGTGGAACACAAACATCACAAAGCAGTTTCTGAGAATGCTTCTGTTTAGTTTTTCTGTGAAGATGAACCGGTTTCCAACGAAATCTTCACAGAGGTCCACATATCAACTTGCAGAATCCAAAGAAAGAGAGTTTCAAAAGTGCTCCATCAACAGGATTGTTCACCTCTGTGAGTTGAATGCAGTCATCACAGGAAACATTCTGATAATGCTTCTGTCTTGGTTTGATGTGAGGATATACCCGTTTCGAAGGAAGGCCACAAAGTGGTCCAAATATCCACTTGCAGATTCTACAAAAAGAGTGTTTGAAAGCTGAACTATGAAAGCAAGGTTCAACTCTGTGAGTTGAATGCAAACATCACAAAGAAGTTTCTCAGATTGCTTCCGTGTAGTTCTGGGAAGTTTATCCCGTTTCCAACGAAATCCTCAGAGAAGTCCAAATATCCACTTGCAGATTCTGCAGAAAGTGGGTTTGGAAACTGCTCCATCTAAAGGAATGTTCAGCTCTGTTAGTTCAAACCAATGATCACTAAGAATTGTCTGTGAATGCTTCCGTTTGGTTTTTAGATGAAGTTATTTCCTTTACTACAGTAGGCCTCAAAGCAGTCCAAATCTCCAATCGCAGATTCTACAAAAAGATTGTTTACAACCTGCTCTATCTATAGGAATGTTCAACTCTGTGAGTCGAATGCAATCATCACAAAGTAGTTTCTGAGAATGCTTCCATCTAGTTTTTATGTGAAGATTTTCCTTTTCCACCACAGGCCTCAAAGCCCTCCAAATGTCCACTTGCAGATTCTAGAAAAAGAGGGTTTCAGAGCTGCTCTGTAAAGAGGAAAGTTCAATTCTTGAAGTGGAACACAAACAAACACAAAGTAGTTTCTGAGAATGCTTCTGTTTAGTTTTTCTGTGAAGATGAACCCGTTTCCAACGAAATCTTCACAGAGGTCCACATATCAACTTGCAGAATCCAAAGAAAGAGAGTTTCAAAACTGCTCCATCAACAGGATTGTTCACCTCTGTGAGTTGAATGCAGTCATCACAGGAAACATTCTGAGAATGCTTCTGTCTAGGTTTGATGTGAAGATATACCCGTTTCGAAGGAAGGCCACAAAGTGGTCCAAATATCCACTTGCAGATTCTACAAAAAGAGTGTTTGAAAGCTGAACTATGAAAGCAAGGTTCAACTCTGTCAGTTGAATGCAAACATCACAAAGAAGTTTCTCACAATGCTTCCGTGTAGTTCTGAGAAGTTTATCCCGTTTCCAACGAAATCCTCAGAGAAGTCCAAATATCCACTTTCAGATTCTACAGAAAGTGTGTTTGGAAACTGCTCCATCTAAAGGAATGTTCAGCTCTGTTAGTTCAATGCAATGATCACTAAGAATTGTCTGTGAATGCTTCCGTTTGGTTTTTAGATGAAGTTATTTCCTTTACTACAGTAGGCCTCAAAGCAGTCCAAATCTCCAATCGCAGATTCTACAAAAAGATTGTTTACAACCTGCTCTATCTATAGGAATGTTCAACTCTGTGAGTCGAATGCAATCATCACAAAGTAGTTTCTGAGAATGCTTCCATCTAGTTTTTATGTGAAGATTTTCCTTTTCCACCACAGGCCTCAAAGCCCTCCAAATGTCCACTTGCAGATTCTAGAAAAAGAGGGTTTCAGAGCTGCTCTGTCAAGAGGAAAGTTCAATTCTTGAAGTGGAACACAAACATCACAAAGCAGCTTCTGAGAATGCTTCTGTTTAGTTTTTCTGTGAAGATGAACCCGTTTCCAACGAAATCTTCACAGAGGTCCACATATCAACTTGCAGAATCCAAAGAAAGAGAGTTTCAAAACTGCTCCATCAACAGGATTGTTCACCTCTGTGAGTTGAATGCAGTCATCACAGGAAACATTCTGAGAATGCTTCTGTCTAGGTTTGATGTGAAGATGTACCCGTTTCAAAGGAAGGCCACAAAGTGGTCCATATATCCACTTGCAGATTCCACAAAAAGATTGTTTGAAAGCTGAACTATGAAAGCAAGGTTCAACTCTGTGAGTTGAATGCAAACATCACAAAGAAGTTTCTCAGAATGCTTCCGTGTAGTTCTGGGAAGTTTATCCCGTTTCCAACGAAATCCTCAGAGAGGTCCAAATATCCACTTGCAGATTCTACAGAAAGTGTGTTTGGAAACTGCGCCATCTAAAGGAATGTTCAGCTGCTGTTAGTTCAATCCAATGATCACTAAGAATTGTCTGTGAATGCTTCCGTTTGGTTTTTAGATGAAGTTATTTCCTTTACTACAGTAGGCCTCAAACCAGTCCAAATCTCCAATCGCAGATTCTACAAAATGATTGTTTACAACCTGCTCTATCTATAGGAATGTTCAACTCTCTGAGTCGAATGCAATCATCACAAAGTAGTTTCTGAGAATGCTTCCATCTAGTTTTTATGTGAAGATTTTCCTTTTCCACCACAGGCCTCAAAGCCCTCCAAATGTCCACTTGCAGATTCTAGAAAAAGAGGGTTTCAGAGCTGCTCTGTCAAGAGGAAAGTTCAATTCTTGAAGTGGAACACAAACATCACAAAGTAGTTTCTGAGAATGCTTCTGTTATTTTTTCTGTGAAGATGAACCCGTTTCCAACGAAATCTTCACAGAGGTCCACATATCCACTTGCAGAATCCAAAGAAAGAGAGTTTCAAAACTGCTCCATCAGCAGGATTGTTCACCTCTGTGAGTTGAATGCAGTCATCACAGGAAACATTCTGAGAATGCTTCTGTCTAGGTTTGATGTGAAGATATACCCGTTTCGAAGGAAGGCCACAAAGTGGTCCAAATATCCTCTTGCAGATTCTACAAAAAGAGTGTTTGAAAGCTGAACTATGAAAGCAAGGTTCAACTCTGTGAGTTGAATGCAAACATCACAAAGAAGTTTCTCAGAATGCTTCCGTGTAGTTCTGGGAAGTTTATCTCGTTTCCAACGAAATCCTCAGAGAAGTCCAAATATCCACTTGCAGATTCTACAGAAAGTGGGTTTGGAAACTGCGCCATCTAAAGGAATGTTCAGCTCTGTTAGTTCAATCCAATAGATCACTAAGAATTGTCTGTGAATGCTTCCGTTTGGTTTTTAGATGAAGTTATTTCCTTTACTACAGTAGGCCTCAAAGCAGTCCAAATCTCCAATCGCAGATTCTACAAAAAGATTGTTTACAACCTGCTCTATGTATAGGAATGTTCAACTCTGTGAGTCGAATGCAATCATCACAAAGTAGTTTCTGAGAATGCTTCCATCTAGTTTTTATGTGAAGATTTTCCTTTTCCACCACAGGCCTCAAAGCCCTCCAAATGTCCACTTGCAGATTCTAGAAAAAGAGGGTTTCAGAGCTGCTCTGTCAAGAGGAAAGTTCAATTCCTGAAGTGGAACACAAACATCACAAAGCAGTTTCTGAGAATGCTTCTGTTTAGTTTTTCTGTGAAGATGAACCCGTTTCCAACGAAATCTTCACAGAGGTCCACATATCCACTTGCAGAATCCAAAGAAAGAGAGTTTCAAAACTGCTCCATCAGTAGGATTGTTCACCTCTGTGAGTTGAATGCAGTCATCACAGGAAACATTCTGAGAATGCTTCTGTCTAGGTTTGATGTGAAGATATACCCGTTTCGAAGGAAGGCCACAAAGTGGTCCAAATATCCACTTGCAGATTCTACAAAAAGAGTGTTTGAAAGCTGAACTATGAAAGCAAGGTTCAACTCTGTGAGTTGAATGCAAACATCACAAAGAAGTTTCTCAGAATGCTTCCGTGTAGTTCTGGGAAGTTTATCCCGTTTCCAACGAAATCCTCAGAGAGGTCCAAATATCCACTTGCAGATTCTACAGAAAGTGTGTTTGGAAACTGCGCCATCTAAGGGAATGTTCAGCTCTGTTAGTTCAATCCAATGATCACTAAGAATTGTCTGTGAATGCTTCCGTTTGGTTTTTAGATGAAGTTATTTCCTTTACTACAGTAGGCCTCAAAGCAGTCCAAATCTCCAATCGCAGATTCTACAAAAAGACTGTTTACAACCTGCTCTATCTATAGGAATGTTCAACTCTTTGAGTCGAATGCAATCATCACAAAGTAGTTTCTGAGAATGCTTCCATCTAGTTTTTATGTGAAGATTTTCCTTTTCCACCACAGGCCTCAAAGCCCTCCAAATGTCCACTTGCAGATTCTAGAAAAAGAGGGTTTCAGAGCTGCTCTGTCAAGAGGAAAGTTCAATTCCTGAAGTGGAACACAAACATCACAAAGCAGTTTCTGAGAATGCTTCTGTTAAGTTTTTCTGTGAAGATGAACCCGTTTCCAACGAAATCTTCACAGAGGTCCACATATCCACTTGCAGAATCCAAAGAAGGAGAGTTTCAAAACTGCTCCATCAGCAGGATTGTTCACCTCTGTGAGTTGAATGCAGTCATCACAGGAAACATTCTGAGAATGCTTCTGTCTAGGTTTGATGTGAAGATATACCCGTTTCGAAGGAAGGCCACAAAGTGGTCCAAATATCCACTTGCAGATTCTACAAAAAGAGTGTTTGAAAGCTGAACTATGAAAGCAAGGTTCAACTCTGTGAGTTGAATGCAAACATCACAAAGAAGTTTCTCAGAATGCTTCCGTGTAGTTCTGGGAAGTTTATCCCGTTTCCAACGAAATCCTCAGAGAAGTCCAAATATCCACTTGCAGATTCTACAGAAATTGTGTTTGGAAACTGCTCCATCTAAAGGAGTGTTCAGCTCTGATAGTTCAATCCAATGATCACTAAGAATTGTCTGTGAATGCTTCCGTTTGGTTTTTAGATGAAGTTATTTCCTTTACTACAGTAGGCCTCAAAGCAGTCCAAATCTCCAATCGCAGATTCTACAAAAAGATTGTTTACAACCTGCTCTATGTATAGGAATGTTCAACTCTGTGAGTCGAATGCAATCATCACAAAGTAGTTTCTGAGAATGCTTCCATCTAGTTTTTATGTGAAGATTTTCCTTTTCCACCACAGGCCTCAAAGCCCTCCAAATGTCCACTTGCAGATTCTAGAAAAAGAGGGTTTCAGAGCTGCTCTGTCAAGAGGAAAGTTCAATTCTTGAAGTGGAACACAAACATCACAAAGCAGTTTCTGAGAATGCTTCTGTTTAGTTTTTCTGTGAAGATGAACCCGTTTCCAACGAAATCTTCACAGAGGTCCACATATCAACTTGCAGAATCCAAAGAAAGAGAGTTTCAAAAGTGCTTCATCAACAGGATTGTTCACCTCTGTGAGTTGAATGCAGTCATCACAGGAAACATTCTGAGAATGCTTCTGTCTAGGTTTGATGCGAAGATATACCCGTTTCGAAGGAAGGCCACAAAGTGGTCCAAATATCCACTTGCAGATTCTACAAAAAGAGTGTTTGAAAGCTGAACTATGAAAGCAAGGTTCAACTCTGTGAGTTGAATGCAAACATCACAAAGAAGTTTCTCACAATGCTTCCGTGTAGTTCTGGGAAGTTTATCCCGTTTCCAACGAAATCCTCAGAGAAGTCCAAATATCCACTTGCAGATTCTACAGAAATAGTGTTTGGAAACTGCTCCATCTAAAGGAATGTTCAGCTCTGTTAGTTCAATCCAATGATCACTAAGAATTGTCTGTGAATGCTTCCGTTTGGTTTTTAGATGAAGTTATTTCCTTTACTACAGTAGGCCTCAAAGCAGTCCAAATCTCCAATCGCAGATTCTACAAAAAGATTGTTTACAACCTGCTCTATCTATAGGAATGTTCAACTCTGTGATTCGAATGCAATCATCACAAAGTAGTTTCTGAGAATGCTTCCATCTAGTTTTTATGTGAAGATTTTCCTTTTCCACCACAGGCTTCAAAGCCCTCCAAATGTCCACTTGCAGATTCTAGAAAAAGAGGGTTTCAGAGCTGCTCTGTCAAGAGGAAAGTTCAATTCTTGAAGTGGAACACAAACATCACAATGCAGTTTCTGAGAATGCTCCTGTTTAGTTTTTCTGTGAAGATGAACCTGTTTCCAACGAAATCTTCACAGAGGTCCACATATCCACTTGCAGAATCCAAAGAAAGAGAGTTTCAAAACTGCTCCATCAGCAGGATTGTTCACCTCCTGTGAGTTGAATGCAGTCATCACAGGAAACATTCTGAGAATGCTTCTGTCTAGGTTTGATGTGAAGATATACACGTTTCGAAGGAAGGCCACAAAGTGGTCCAAATATCCACTTGCAGATTCTACAAATAGAGTGTTTGAAAGCTGAACTAAGAAAGGAAGGTTCAACTCTGTGAGTTGAATGCAACAGTGACACACATGTTTCTGAGAATGCTTCCGTGTAGTTCTGGGAAGTTTATCCCGTTTCCAACGAAATCCTCAGAGAGGTCCAAATATCCACTTGCAGATTCTACAGAAAGTGTGTTTGGAAACTGCGCTATCTAAGGGAATGTTCAGCTCTGTTAGTTCAATCCAATGATCACTAAGAATTGTCTGTGAATGCTTCCGTTTGGTTTTTAGATGAAGTTATTTCCTTTACTACAGTAGGCCTCAAAGCAGTCCAAATTTCCAATCGCAGATTCTACAAAAAGATTGTTTACAACCTGCTCTATCTATAGGAATGTTCAACTCTGTGAGTCGAATGCAATCATCACAAAGTAGTTTCTGAGAATGCTTCCATCTAGTTTTTATGTGAAGATTTTCCTTTTCCACCACAGGCCTCAAAGCCCTCCAAATGTCCACTTGCAGATTCTAGAAAAAGAGGGTTTCAGAGCTGCTCTGTCAAGAGGAAAGTTCAATTCTTGAAGTGGAACACAAACATCACAAAGTAGTTTCTGAGAATGCTTCTGTTTAGTTTTTCTGTGAAGATGAACCCGTTTCCAACGAAATCTTCACAGAGGTCCACATATCAACTTGCAGAATCCAAAGAAAGAGAGTTTCAAAAGTGCTCCATCAACAGGATTGTTCACCTCTGTGAGTTGAATGCAGTCATCACAGGAAACATTCTGAGAATGCTTCTGTCTAGGTTTGATGTGAAGATATACCCGTTTCGAAGGAAGGCCACAAAGTGGTCCAAATATCCACTTGCAGATTCTACAAAAAGAGTGTTTGAAAGCTGAACTATGAAAGCAAGGTTCAACTCTGTGAGTTGAATGCAAACATCACAAAGAAGTTTCTCACAATGCTTCCGTGTAGTTCTGGGAAGTTTATCCCGTTTCCAACGAAATCCTCAGAGAAGACCAAATATCCACTTGCAGATTCTACAGAAAGTGGGTTTGGAAACTGCTCCATCTAAAGGAATGTTCAGCTCTGTTAGTTCAATCCAATGATCACTAAGAATTGTCTGTGAATGCTTCCGTTTGGTTTTTAGATGAAGTTATTTCCTTTACTAAAGTAGGCCTCAAAGCAGTCCAAATCTCCAATCGCAGATTCTACAAAAAGATTGTTTACAACCTGCTCTATCTATAGGAATGTTCAACTCTGTGAGTCGAATGCAATCATCACAAAGTAGTTTCTGAGAATGCTTCCATCTAGTTTTTATGTGAAGATTTTCCTTTTCCACCACAGGCCTCAAAGCCCTCCAAATGTCCAGTTGCAGATTCTAGAAAAAGAGTGTTTCAGAGCTACTATGTCAAGAGGA
This sequence comes from Homo sapiens, assembly GCF_000001405.40. Classification (NCBI taxonomy): domain Eukaryota; kingdom Metazoa; phylum Chordata; class Mammalia; order Primates; family Hominidae; genus Homo; species Homo sapiens. Next base: position 54,051,322 of record NC_000011.10, on the reverse strand, counting down.
AAGTTCAATTCCTGAAGTGGAACACAAACATCACAAAGCAGTTTCTGAGAATGCTTCTGTTTAGTTTTTCTGTGAAGATGAACCCGTTTCCAACCAAATCTTCACAGAGGTCCACATATCCACTTGCAGAATCCAAAGAAGGAGAGTTTCAAAACTGCTCCATCAGAAGGATTGTTCACCTCTGTGAGTTGAATGCAGTCATCACAGGAAACATTCTGAGAATGCTTCTGTCTAGGTTTGATGTGAAGATATACCCGTTTCGAAGGAAGGCCACAAAGTGGTCCAAATATCCACTTGCAGATTCTACAAAAAGAGTGTTTGAAAGCTGAACTATGAAAGCAAGGTTCAACTCTGTGAGTTGAATGCAAACATCACAAAGAAGTTTCTCAGAATGCTTCCGTGTAGTTCTGGGAAGTTTATCCCGTTTCCAACGAAATCCTCAGAGAGGTCCAAATATCCACTTGCAGATTTTACAGAAAGTGTGTTTGGAAACTACGCCATCTAAAGGAATGTTCAGCTCTGTTAGATCAATGCAATGATCACTAAGAATTGTCTGTGAATGCTTCCGTTTGGTTTTTAGATGAAGTTATTTCCTTTACTACAGTAGGCCTCAAAGCAGTCCAAATCTCCAATCGCAGATTCTACAAAAAGATTGTTTACAACCTGCTCTCTCTATAGGAATGTTCAACTCTGTGAGTCGAATGCAACCATCACAAAGTAGTTTCTGAGAATGCTTCCATCTAGTTTTTATGGGAAGATTTTCCTTTTCCAGCACAGGCCTCAAAGCCCTCCAAATGTCCACTTGCAGATTCTAGAAAAAGAGGGTTTCAGAGCTGCTCTGTCAAAAGGAAAGTTCAATTCTTCAAGTGGAACACAAACATCACAAAGCAGTTTCTGAGAATGCTCCTGTTAATTTTTCTGTGAAGATGAACCCGTTTCCAACGAAATCTTCACAGAGTTCCACATATCCACTTGCAGAATCAAAAGAAAGGGAGTTTCAAAACGGCTCCATCAACAGGATTGTTCACCTCTGTGAGTTGAATGCAGTCATCACAGGAAACATTCTGAGAATGCTTCTGTCTAGGTTTGATGTGAAGATATACCCGTTTCGAAGGAAAGGCCACAAAGTGGTCCAAATATCCACTTGCAGATTCTACAAAAGGAGTGTTTGAAAGCTGAACTATGAAAGCAAGGTTCAACTCTGTGAGTTGAATGCAAACATCACAAAGAAGTTTCTCAGAATGCTTCTGTCTAGTTTTCATGGGAAGATATTTCCTTTTTCACCATAGGCCTGAAAGCGATCCAAATGTCCACATCCAGATACTACAAAAAGAGTGTTTGAAAGCTGAACTATGAAAGCAAGGTTCAACTCTGTGAGTTGAATGCAAACATCACAAAGAAGTTTCTCAGAATGCTTCCGTTTGGTTTTTAGATGCAGTTATTTCCTTTACTACAGTAGGCCTCAAAGCAGTCCAAATCTCCAATCGCAGATTCTAGAAAAAGATTGTTTACAACCTGCTCTATCTATAGGAATGTTCAACTCTGTGAGTCGAATGCAATCATCACAAAGTAGTTTCTGAGAATGCTTCCATCTAGTTTTTATGTGAAGATTTTCCTTTTCCACCACAGGCTTCAAAGCCCTCCAAATGTCCACTTGCAGATTCTAGAAAAAGAGGGTTTCAGAGCTGCTCTGTCAAGAGGAAAGTTCAATTCTTGAAGTGGAACACAAACATCACAAAGCAGTTTCTGAGAATACTTCTGTTTAGTTTTTCTGTGAAGATGAACCCGTTTCCAACGAAATCTTCACAGAGGTCCACATATCCACTTGCAGAATCCAAAGAAAGAGAGTTTCAAAACTGCTCCATCAGCAGGATTGTTCACCTCTGTGAGTTGAATGCAGTCATCACAGGAAACATTCTGAGAATGCTTCTGTCTAGGTTTGATGTGAAGATATACCCGTTTCGAAGGAAGGCCACAAAGTGGTCCAAATATCCACTTGCAGATTCTACAAAAAGAGTGTTTGAAAGCTGAACTATGAAAGCAAGGTTCAACTCTGTGAGTTGAATGCAAACATCACAAAGAAGTTTCTCACAATGCTTCCGTGTAGTTCTGGGAAGTTTATCCCGTTTCCAACGAAATCCTCAGAGAAGTCCAAATATCCACTTGCAGATTCTACAGAAAGTGTGTTTGGAAACTGCTCCATCTAAAGGAATGTTCAGCTCTGTTAGTTCAATGCAATGATCACTAAGAATTGTCTGTGAATGCTTCCGTTTGGTTTTTAGATGAAGTTATTTCCTTTACTACAGTAGGGCTCAAAGCAGTCCAAATCTCCAATCGCAGATTCTACAAAAAGATTGTTTACAACCTGCTCTATCTATAGGAATGTTCAACTCTGTGAGTCGAATGCAATCATCACAAAGTAGTTTCTGAGAATGCTTCCATCAAGTTTTTATGTGAAGATTTTCCTTTTCCACCACAGGCCTCAAAGCCCTCCAAATGTCCACTTGCAGATTCTAGAAAAAGAGGGTTTCAGAGCTGCTCTGTCAAGAGGAAAGTTCAATTCTTGAAGTGGAACACAAACATCACAAAGCAGTTTCCTGAGAATGCTTCTGTTTAGTTTTTCTGTGAAGATGAACCCGTTTCCAAAGAAATCTCCACAGAGGTCCACATATCCACTTGCAGAATCCAAAGAAAGAGAGTTTCAAAACTGCTCCATCAGCAGGATTGTTCACCTCTGTGAGTTGAATGCAGTCATCACAGGAAACATTCTGAGAATGCTTCTGTCTAGGTTTGATGTGAAGATATACCCGTTTCGAAGGAAGGCCACAAAGTGGTCCAAATATCCACTTGCAGATTCTACAAAAAGAGTGTTTGAAAGCTGAACTATGAAAGCAAGGTTCAACTCTGTGAGTTGAATGCAAACATCACAAAGAAGTTTCTCAGAATGCTTCCGTGCAGTTCTGGGAAGTTTATCCCGTTTCCAACGAAATCCTCAGAGAGGTCCAAATATCCACTTGCAGATTCTACAGAAAGTGGGTTTGGAAACTGCGCCATCTAAAGGAATGTTCAGCTCTGTTAGTTCAATGCAATGATCACTAAGAATTGTCTGTGAATGCTTCCGTTTGGTGTTTAGATGAAGTTATTTCCTTTACTACAGTAGGCCTCAAAGCAGTCCAAATCTCCAATCGCAGATTCTACAAAAAGATTGTTTACAACCTGCTCTATCTGTAGGAAAGTTCAACTCTGTGAGTCGAATGCAATCATCACAAAGGAGTTTCTGAGAATGCTCCATCTAGTTTTTATGTGAAGATTTTCCTTTTCCACCACAGGCCTCAAAGCCCTCCAAATGTCCACTTGCAGATTCTAGAAAAAGAGGGTTTCAGAGCTGCTCTGTCAAGAGGAAAGTTCAATTCTTGAAGTGGAACACAAACATCACAAAGCAGTTTCTGAGAATGCTCTCTGTTTAGTTTTTCTGTGAAGATGAACCCGTTTCCAACGAAATCTTCACAGAGGTCCACATATCCACTTGCAGAATCCAAAGAAAGAGAGTTTCAAAACTGCTCCATCAGCAGGATTGTTCACCTCTGTGAGTTGAATGCAGTCATCACAGGAAACATTCTGAGAATGCTTCTGTCTAGGTTTGATGTGAAGATATACCCGTTTCGAAGGAAGGCCACAAAGTGGTCCAAATATCCACTTGCAGATTCTACAAAAAGAGTGTTTGAAAGCTGAACTATGAAAGCAAGGTTCAACTCTGTGAGTTGAATGCAAACATAACAAAGAAGTTTCTCACAATGCTTCCGTGTAGTTCTGGGAAGCATATCCCGTTTCCAACGAAATCCTCAGAGAAGTCCAAATATCCACTTGCAGATTCTACAGAAAGTGGGTTTGGAAACTGCTCCATCTAAAGGAATGTTCAGCTCTGTTAGTTCAATCCAATGATCACTAAGAATTTTCTGTGAATGCTTCCGTTTGGTTTTTAGATGAAGTTATTTCCTTTACTACAGTAGGCCTCAAAGCAGTCCAAATCTCCAATCGCAGATTCTACAAAAAGATTGTTTACAACCTGCTCTATCTATAGGAATGTTCAACTCTGTGAGTCGAATGCAATCATCACAAAGTAGTTTCTGAGAATGCTTCCATCTAGTTTTTATGTGAAGATTTTCCTTTTCCACCACAGGCCTCAAAGCCCTCCAAATGTCCACTTGCAGATTCTAGAAAAAGAGGGTTTCAGAGCTGCTCTGTCAAGAGGAAAGTTCAATTCTTGAAGTGGAACACAAACATCACAAAGTAGTTTCTGAGAATGCTCCTGTTTAGTTTTTCTGTGAAGATGAACACGTTTCCAACGAAATCTTCACAGAGGTCCACATATCCACTTGCAGAATCCAAAGAAAGAGAGTTTCAAAACTGCTCCATCAGCAGGATTGTTCACCTCTGTGAGTTGAATGCAGTCATCACAGGAAACATTCTGAGAATGCTTCTGTCTAGGTTTGATGTGAAGATATACCCGTTTCCAAGGAAGGCCACAAAGTGGTCCAAATATCCACTTGCAGATTCTACAAAAAGAGTGTTTGAAAGCTGAACTATGAAAGCAAGGTTCAACTCTGTGAGTTGAATGCAAACATCACAAAGAAGTTTCTCAGAATGCTTCCGTGTAGTTCTGGGAAGTTTATCCCGTTTCCAACGAAATCCTCAGAGAAGTCCAAATATCCACTTGCAGATTCTACAGAAAGTGGGTTTGGAAACTGCTCCATCTAAAGGAATGTTCAGCTCTGTTAGTTCAATCCAATGATCACTAAGAATTGTCTGTGAATGCTTCCGTTTGGTTTTTAGATGAAGTTATTTCCTTTACTACAGTAGGCCTCAAAGCAGTCCAAATCTCCAATCGCAGATTCTACAAAAAGATTGTTTACAACCTGCTCTATCTATAGGAATGTTCAACTCTGTGAGTCGAATGCAATCATCACAAAGTAGTTTCTGAGAATGCTTCCATCTAGTTTTTATGGGAAGATTTTCCTTTTCCACCACAGGCCTCAAAGCCCTCCAAATGTCCACTTGCAGATTCTAGAAAAAGAGGGTTTCAGAGCTGCTCTATCAAGAGGAAAGTTCAATTCTTGAAGTGGAACACAAACATCACAAAGCAGTTTCTGAGAATGCTTCTGTTTAGTTTTTCTGTGAAGATGAACCCGTTTCCAACGAAATCTTCACAGAGGTCCACATATCCACTTGCAGAATCCAAAGAAAGAGAGTTTCAAAACTGCTCCATCAGCAGGATTGTTCACCTCTGTGAGTTGAATGCAGTCATCACAGGAAACATTCTGAGAATGCTTCTGTCTAGGTTTGATGTGAAGATATACCCGTTTCGAAGGAAGGCCACAAAGTGGTCCAAATATCCACTTGCAGATTCTACAAAAAGAGTGTTTGAAAGCTGAACTATGAAAGCAAGGTTCAACTCTGTGAGTTGAATGCAAACATCACAAAGAAGTTTCTCACAATGCTTCCGTGTAGTTCTGGGAAGTTTATCCCGTTTCCAACGAAATCCTCGGAGAAGTCCAAATATCCACTTGCAGATTCTACAGAAAGTGGGTTTGGAAACTGCTCCATCTAAAGGAATGTTCAGCTCTGTTAGTTCAATCCAATGATCACTAAGAATTGTCTGTGAATGCTTCCGTTTGGTTTTTAGATGAAGTTATTTCCTTTACTACAGTAGGCCTCAAAGCAGTCCAAATCTCCAATCGCAGATTCTACAAAAAGATTGTTTACAACCTGCTCTATCTATAGGAATGTTCAACTCTGTGAGTCGAATGCAATCATCACAAAGTAGTTTCTGAGAATGCTTCCATCTAGTTTTTATGTGAAGATTTTCCTTTTCCACCACAGGCCTCAAAGCCCTCCAAATGTCCACTTGCAGATTCTAGAAAAAGAGGGTTTCAGAGCTGCTCTGTCAAGAGGAAAGTTCAATTCTTGAAGTGGAACACAAACATCACAAAGCAGTTTCTGAGAATGCTCCTGTTTAGTTTTTCTGTGAAGATGAACCCGTTTCCAACGAAATCTTCACAGAGGTCCACATATCCACTTGCAGAATCCAAAGAAAGAGAGTTTCAAAACTGCTCCATCAGCAGGATTGTTCACCTCTGTGAGTTGAATGCAGTCATCACAGGAAACATTCTGAGAATGCTTCTGTCTAGGTTTGATGTGAAGATATACCCGTTTCGAAGGAAGGCCACAAAGTGCTCCAAATATCCACTTGCAGATTCTACAAAAAGAGTGTTTGAAAGCTGAACTATGAAAGCAAGTTTCAACTCTGTGAGTTGAATGCAAACATCACAAAGAAGTTTCTCAGCATGCTTCCGTGTAGTTCTGGGAAGTTTATCCCGTTTCCAACGAAATCCTCAGAGAGGTCCAAATATCCACTTGCAGACTCTACAGAAAGTGTGTTTGGAAACTGCGCCATCTAAAGGAATGTTCAGCTCTGTTAGTTCAATGCAATGATCACTAAGAATTGTCTGTGAATGCTTCCGTTTGGTTTTTAGATGAAGTTATTTCCTTTACTACAGTAGGCCTCAAAGCAGTCCAAATCTCCAATCGCAGATTCTACAAAAAGACTGTTTACAACCTGCTCTATCTATAGGAATGTTCAACTCTGTGAGTCGAATGCAATCATCACAAAGTAGTTTCTGAGAATGCTTCCATCTAGTTTTTATGTGAAGATTTTCCTTTTCCACCACAGGCCTCAAAGCCCTCCAAATGTCCACTTGCAGATTCTAGAATAAGAGGGTTTCAGAGCTGCTCTGTCAAGAGGAAAGTTCAATTCCTGAAGTGGAACACAAACATCACAAAGCAGTTTCTGAGAATGCTTCTGTTTAGTTTTTCTGTGAAGATGAACCCGTTTCCAACGAAATCTTCACAGAGGTCCACATATCCACTTGCAGAATCCAAAGAAAGAGAGTTTCAAAACTGCTCCATCAGCAGGATTGTTCACCTCTGTGAGTTGAATGCAGTCATCACAGGAAACATTCTGAGAATGCTTCTGTCTAGGTTTGATGTGAAGATATACCCGTTTCGAAGGAAGGCCACAAAGTGGTCCAAATATCCACTTGCAGATTCTACAAAAGGAGTGTTTGAAAGCTGAACTATGAAAGCAAGGTTCAACTCTGTGAGTTGAATGCAAACATCACAAAGAAGTTTCTCACAATGCTTCCCCTGTAGTTCTGGGAAGTTTATCCCGTTTCCAACGAAATCCTCAGAGAAGTCCAAATATCCACTTGCAGATTCTACAGAAAGTGGGTTTGGAAACTGCTCCATCTAAAGGAATGTTCAGCTCTGTTAGTTCAATGCAATGATCACTAAGAATTGTCTGTGAATGCTTCCGTTTGGTTTTTAGATGAAGTTATTTCCTTTACTGCAGTAGGCCTCAAAGCAGTCCAAATCTCCAATCGCAGATTCTACAAAAAGATTGTTTACAACCTGCTCTATCTATAGGAATGTTCAACTCTGTGATTCGAATGCAATCATCACAAAGTAGTTTCTGAGAATGCTTCCATCTAGTTTTTATGTGAAGATTTTCCTTTTCCACCACAGGCCTCAAAGCCCTCCAAATGTCCACTTGCAGATTCTAGAATAAGAGGGTTTCAGAGCTGCTCTGTCAAGAGGAAAGTTCAATTCCTGAAGTGGAACACAAACATCACAAAGCAGTTTCTGAGAATGCTCCTGTTTAGTTTTTCTGTGAAGATGAACCCGTTTCCAACGAAATCTTCACAGAGGTCCACATATCCACTTGCAGAATCCGAAGAAAGAGAGTTTCAAAACTGCTCCATCAGCAGGATTGTTCACCTCTGTGAGTTGAATGCAGTCATCACAGGAAACGTTCTGAGAATGCTTCTCTCTAGGTTTGATGTGAAGATATACCCGTTTCGAAGGAAGGCCACAAAGTGGTCCAAATGTCCACTTGCAGATTCTACAAAAAGAGTGTTTGAAAGCTGAACTATGAAAGCAAGGTTCAACTCTGTGAGTTGAATGCAAACATCACAAAGAAGTTTCTCAGAATGCTTCCGTGTAGTTCTGGGAATTTTATCCCGTTTCCAACGAAATCCTCAGAGAGGTCCAAATATCCACTTGCAGATTCTACAGAAAACGTGTTTGGAAACTGCGCCATCTAAGGGAATGTTCAGCTCTGTTAGTTCAATCCAATGATCACTAAGAATTGTCTGTGAATGCTTCCGTTTGGTTTTTAGATGAAGTTATTTCCTTTACTACAGTAGGCCTCAAAGCAGTCCAAATCTCCAATCGCAGATTCTACAAAAAGATTGTTTACAACCTGCTCTATCTATAGGAATGTTCAACTCTTTGAGTCGAATGCAATCATCACAAAGTAGTTTCTGAGAATGATTCCATCTAGTTTTTATGTGAAGATTTTCCTTTTCCACCACAGGCCTCAAAGCCCTCCAAATGTCCACTTGCAGATTCTAGAAAAAGAGGGTTTCAGAGCTGCTCTGTCAACAGGAAAGTTCAATTCTTGAAGTGGAACACAAACATCACAAAGTAGTTTCTGAGAATGCTTCTGTTTAGTTTTTCTGTGAAGATGAACCCGTTTCCAATGAAATCTTCACATAGTCCACATATCAACTTGCGGAATCCAAAGAAAGAGAGTTTGAAAAGTGCTCCATCAACAGGATTGTTCACCTCTGTGAGTTGAATGCAGTCATCACAGGAAACATTCTGAGAATGCTTCTGTCTAGGTTTGATGTGAAGATATACCCGTTTCGAAGGAAGGCCACAAAGTGGTCCAAATATCCACTTGCAGATTCTACAAAAAGAGTGTTTGAAAGCTGAACTATGAAAGCAATGTTCAACTCTGTGAGTTGAATGCAAACATCACAAAGAAGTTTCTCAGAATGCTTCCGTGTAGTTCTGGGAAGTTTATCCCGTTTCCAACGGAATCCTCAGAGAAGTCCAAATATCCACTTGCAGATTCTACAGAAAGTGGGTTTGGAAACTGCGCCATCTAAAGGAATGTTCAGCTCTGTTAGTTCAATCCAATGATCACTAAGAATTGTCTGTGAATGCTTCCGTTTGGTTTTTAGATGAAGTTATTTCCTTTACTACAGTAGGCCTCAAAGCAGTCCAAATCTCCAATCGCAGATTCTACAAAAAGATTGTTTACAACCTGCTCTATCTATAGGAATGTTCAACTCTGTGAGTCGAATGCAATCATCACAAAGCAGTTTCTGAGAATGCTTCCATCTAGTTTTTATGTGAAGATTTTCCTTTTCCACCACAGGCCTCAAAGCCCTCCAAATGTCCACTTGCAGATTCTAGAAAAAGAGGGTTTCAGAGCTGCTCTGTCAAGAGGAAAGTTCAATTCTTGAAGTGGAACACAAACATCACAAAGCAGTTTCTGAGAATGCTCCTGTTTAGTTTTTCTGTGAAGATGAACTCGTTTCCAACGAAATCTTCACAGAGGTCCACATATCCACTTGCAGAATCCAAAGAAAGAGAGTTTCAAAACTGCTCCAACAGCAGGATTGTTCACCTCTGTGAGTTGAATGCAGTCATCACAGGAAACATTCTGAGAATGCTTCTGTCTAGCTTTGATGTGAAGATATACCCGTTTCGAAGGAAGGCCATAAAGTGGTCCAAATATCCACTTGCAGATTCTACAAAAAGAGTGTTTGAAAGCTGAACTATGAAAGCAAGGTTCAACTCTGTGTGTTGAATGTAAACATCACAAAGAAGTTTCTCAGAATACTTCCGTGTAGTTCTGGGAAGTTTATCCCGTTTCCAACGAAATCCTCAGAGAGTTCCAAATATCCACTTGCAGATTCTACAGAAAGTGGGTTTGGAAACTGCTCCATCTAAAGGAATGTTCAGCTCTGTTAGTTCAATCCAATGATCACTAAGAATTGTCTGTGAATGCTTCCGTTTGGTTTTTAGATGAAGTTATTTCCTTTACTACAGTAGGCCTCAAAGCAGTCCAAATCTCCAATCGCAGATTCTACAAAAAGATTGTTTACAACCTGCTCTATCTATAGGAATGTTCAACTCTGTGAGTCGAATGCAATCATCACAAAGTAGTTTCTGAGAATGCTTCCATCTAGTTTTTATGTGAAGATTTTCCTTTTCCACCACAGGCCTCAAAGCCCTCCAAATGTCCACTTGCAGATTCTAGAATTCTGTCAAGAGGAAAGTTCAATTCCTGAAATGGAACACAAACATCACAAAGCAGTTTCTGAGAATGCTCCTGTTTAGTTTTTCTGTGAAGATGAACCCGTTTCCAACGAAATCTTCACAGAGGTCCACATATCCACTTGCAGAATCCAAAGAAAGAGAGTTTCAAAACTGCTCCATCAGCAGGATTGTTCACCTCTGTGAGTTGAATGCAGTCATCACAGGAAACATTCTGAGAATGCTTCTGTCTAGGTTTGATGTGAAGATATACCCGTTTCGAAGGAAGGCCACAAAGTGGTCCAAATATCCACTTGCAGATTCTACAAAAAGAGTGTTTGAAAGCTGAACTATGAAAGCAAGGTTCAACTCTGTGAGTTGAATGCAAACATCACAAAGAAGTTTCTCAGATGCTTCCGTGTAGTTCTGGGAAGTTTATCCCGCTTCCAACGAAATCCTCAGGAGAAGTCCAAATATCCACTTGCAGATTCTACAGAAAGTGTGTTTGGAAACTGCGCCATCTAAAGGAATGTTCAGTTCTGTTAGTTCAATGCAATGATCACTAAGAATTGTCTGTGAATGCTTCCGTTTGGTTTTTAGATGAAGTTATTTCCTTTACTACAGTAGGCCTCAAAGCAGTCCAAATCTCCAATCGCAGATTCTACAAAAAGATTGTTTACAACCTGCTCTATCTATAGGAATGTTCAACTCTGTGAGTCGAATGCAATCATCACAAAGTAGTTTCTGAGAATGCTTCCATCTAGTTTTTATGTGAAGATTTTCCTTTTCCACCACAGGCCTCAAAGCCCTCAAAATGTCCACTTGCAGATTCTAGAATAAGAGGGTTTCAGAGCTGCTCTGTCAAGAGAAAAGTTCAATTCCTGAAGTGGAACACAAACATCACAAAGCAGTTTCTGAGAATGCTTTTGTTTAGTTTTTCTGTGGAGATGAACCCGTTTCCAACGAAATCTTCATAGAGGTCCACATATCAACTTGCAGAATCCAAAGAAAGAGAGTTTCAAAAGTGCCCCATCAACAGGATTGTTCACCTCTGTGAGTTGAATGCAGTCATCACAGGAAACATTCTGAGAATGCTCTGTCTAGGTTTGATGTGAAGATATACCCGTTTCGAAGGAAGGCCACAAAGTGGTCCAAATATCCACTTGCAGATTCTACAAAAAGAGTGTTTGAAAGCTGAACTATGAAAGCAAGGTTCAACTCTGTGAGTTGAATGCAAACATCACAAAGAAGTTTCTCACAATGCTTCCGTGTAGTTCTGGGAAGTTTATCCCGTTTCCAACGAAATCCTCAGAGAGGTCCAAATATCCACTTGCAGATTCTACAGAAAGTGTGTTTGGAAACTGCGCCATCTAAAGGAATGTTCAGCTCTGTTAGTTCAATCCAATGATCACTAAGAATTGTCTGTGAATGGTTCCGTTTGGTTTTTAGATGAAGTTATTTCCTTTACTACAGTAGGCCTCAAAGCAGTCCAAATCTCCAATCGCAGATTCTACAAAAAGATTGTTTACAACCTGCTCTATGTATAGGAATGTTCAACTCTGTGAGTCGAATGCAATCATCACAAAGTAGTTTCTGAGAATGCTTCCATCTAGTTTTTATGTGAAGATTTTCCTTTTCCACCACAGGCCTCAAAGCCCTCCAAATGTCCACTTGCAGATTCTAGAAAAAGAGGGTTTCAGAGCTGCTCTGTCAAGAGGAAAGTTCAATTCCTGAAGTGGAACACAAACATCACAAAGCAGTTTCTGAGAATGCTCCTGTTTAGTTTTTCTGTGAAGATGAACCCGTTTCCAACGAAATCTTCACAGAGGTCCACATATCCACTTGCAGAATCCAAAGAAAGAGAGTTTCAAAACTGCTCCATCAGCAGGATTGTTCACCTCTGTGAGTTGAATGCAGTCATCACAGGAAACATTCTGAGAATGCTTCTGTCTAGGTTTGATGTGAAGATATACCCGTTTCGAAGGAAGGCCAGAAAGTGGTCCAAATATCCACTTGCAGATTCTACAAAAAGAGTGTTTGAAAGCTGAACTATGAAAGCAAGGTTCAACTCTGTGAGTTGAATGCAAACATCACAAAGAAGTTTCTCAGAATGCTTCCGTGTAGTTCTGGGAAGTTTATCCCGTTTCCAACGAAATCCTCAGAGAAGTCCAAATATCCACTTGCAGATTCTACAGAAAGTGTGTTTGGAAACTGCTCCATGTAAAGGAATGTTCAGCTCTGTTAGTTCAATCCAATGATCACTAAGAATTGTCTGTGAATGCTTCCGTTTGGTTTTTAGATGAAGTTATTTCCTTTACTACAGTAGGCCTCAAAGCAGTCCAAATCTCCAATCGCAGATTCTACAAAAAGATTGTTTACAACCTGCTCTATCTATAGGAATGTTCAACTCTGTGAGTCGAATGCAATCATCACAAAGTAGTTTCTGAGAATGCTTCCCATAAAGTTTTTATGTGAAGATTTTCCTTTTCCACCACAGGCCTCAAAGCCCTCCAAATGTCCACTTGCAGATTCTAGAAAAAGAGGGTTTCAGAGCTGCTCTGTCAAGAGGAAAGTTCAATTCTTGAAGTGGAACACAAACATCACAAAGCAGTTTCTGAGAATGCTCCTGTTTAGTTTTTCTGTGAAGATGAACCCGTTTCCAACGAAATCTTCACAGAGGTCCACATATCCACTTGCAGAATCCAAAGAAAGAGAGTTTCAAAACTGCTCCATCAGCAGGATTGTTCACCTCTGTGAGTTGAATGCAGTCATCACAGGAAACATTCTGAGAATGCTTCTGTCTAGGTTTGATGTGAAGATATACCCGTTTCGAAGGAAGGCCACAAAGTGGTCCAAATATCCACTTGCAGATTCTACAAAAAGAGTGTTTGAAAGCTGAACTATGAAAGCAAGGTTCAACTCTTGTGAGTTGAATGCAAACATCACAAAGAAGTTTCTCACAATGCTTCCGTGTATTTCTGGGAAGTTTATCCCGTTTCCAACGAAATCCTCAGAGAGGTCCAAATATCCACTTGCAGATTCTACAGAAAGTGTGTTTGGAAAATGCTCCATCTAAAGGAATGTTCAGCTCTGTTAGTTCAATCCAATGATCACTAAGAATTGTCTGTGAATGCTTCCGTTTGGTTTTTAGATGAAGTTATTTCCTTTACTACAGTAGGCCTCAAAGCAATCCAAATCTCCAATCGCAGATTCTACAAAAAGATTGTTTACAACCTGCTCTATCTATAGGAATGTTCAACTCTGTGAGTCGAATGCAATCATCACAAAGTAGTTTCTGAGAATGCTTCCATCTAGTTTTTATGTGAAGATTTTCCTTTTCCAACACAGGCCCCAAAGCCCTCCAAATGTCCACTTGCAGATTCTAGAAAAAGAGGGTTTCAGAGCTGCTCTGTCAAGAGGAAAGTTCAGTTCTTGAAGTGGAACACAAACATCACAAAGCAGTTTCTGAGAATGCTTCTGTTTAGTTTTTCTGTGAAGATGAACACGTTTCCAACGAAATCTTCACAGAGGTCCACATATCCACTTGCAGAATCCAAAGAAAGAGAGTTTCAAAACTGCTCCATCAACAGGATTGTTCACCTCTGTGAGTTGAATGCAGTCATCACAGGAAACATTCTGAGAATGCTTCTGTCTAGGTTTGATGTGAAGATATACCCGTTTCGAAGGAAGGCCACAAAGTGGTCCAAATATCCACTTGCAGATTCTACAAAAAGAGTGTTTGAAAGCTGAACTATGAAAGCAAGGTTCAACTCTGTGAGTTGAATGCAAACATCACAAAGAAGTTTCTCAGAATGCTTCCGTGTAGTTCTGGGAAGTTTATCCCGTTTCCAACGAAATCCTCAGAGAAGTCCAAATATCCACTTGCAGATTCTACAGAAAGTGGGTTTGGAAACTGCTCCATCTAAAGGAATGTTCAGCTCTGTTAGTTCAATCCAATGATCCCTAAGAATTGTCTGTGAATGCTTCCGTTTGGTTTTTAGATGAAGTTATTTCCTTTACTACAGTAGGCCTCAAAGCAGTCCAAATCTCCAATCGCAGATTCTACAAAAAGATTGTTTACAACCTGCTCTATCTATAGGAATGTTCAACTCTGTGAGTCGAATGCAATCATCACAAAGTAGTTTCTGAGAATGCTTCCATCTAGTTTTTATGTGAAGATTTTCCTTTTCCACCACAGGCCTCAAAGCCCTCCAAATGTCCACTTGCAGATTCTAGAATAAGAGGGTTTCAGAGCTGCTCTGTCAAGAGGAAAGTTCAATTCCTGAAGTGGAACACAAACATCACAAAGCAGTTTCTGAGAATGCTCCTGTTTAGTTTTTCTGTGAAGATGAACCCGTTTCCAACGAAATCTTCACAGAGGTCAACATATCCACTTGCAGAATCCAAAGAAAGAGAGTTTCAAAACTGCTCCATCAGCAGCATTGTTCACCTCTGTGAGTTGAATGCAGTCATCACAGGAAACATTCTGAGAATGCTTCTGTCTAGGTTTGATGTGAAGATATACCCGTTTCGAAGGAAGGCCACAAAGTGGTCCAAATATCCACTTGCAGATTCTAACCAAAAAAGAGTGTTTGAAAGCTGAACTATGAAAGCAAGGTTCAACTCTGTGAGTTGAATGCAAACATCACAAAGAAGTTTCTCACAATGCTTCCGTGTAGTTCTGGGAAGTTTATCCCGTTTCCAACGAAATCCTCAGAGAGGTCCAAATATCCACTTGCAGATTCTACAGAAAGTGTGTTTGAAAACTGCGCCATCTAAAGGAATGTTCAGCTCTGTTAGTTCAATGCAATGATCACTAAGAATTGTCTGTGAATGCTTCCGTTTGGTTTTTAGATGAAGTTATTTCCTTTACTACAGTAGGCCTCAAAGCAGTCCAAATCTCCAATTGCAGATTCTACAAAAAGATTGTTTACAACCTGCTCTATCTATAGGAATGTTCAACTCTGTGAGTCGAATGCAATCATCACAAAGTAGTTTCTGAGAATGCTTCCATCTAGTTTTTATGTGAAGATTTTCCTTTTCCACCACAGGCCTCAAAGCCCTCCACATGTTCACTTGCAGATTCTAGAAAAAGAGGGTTTCAGAGCTGCTCTCTCAAGAGGAAATTTCAATTCTTGAAGTGGAACACAAACATCACAAAGCAGTTTCTGAGAATGCTTCTGTTTAGTTTTTCTGTGAAGATGAACCCGTTTCCAACGAAATCTTCACAGAGGTCCACATATCCACTTGCAGAATCCAAAGAAAGAGAGTTTCAAAACTGCTCCATCAGCAGGATTGTTCACCTCTGTGAGTTGAATGCAGTCATCACAGGAAACATTCTGAGAATGCTTCTGTCTAGGTTTGATGTGAAGATATACCCGTTTCGAAGGAAGGCCACAAAGTGGTCCAAATATCCACTTGCAGATTCTACAAAAAGAGTGTTTGAAAGCTGAACTATGAAAGCAAGGTTCAACTCTGTGAGTTGAATGCAAACATCACAAAGAAGTTTCTCACAATGCTTCCGTGTAGTTCTGGGAAGTTTATCCCGTTTCCAACGAAATCCTCAGAGAAGTCCAAATATCCACTTGCAGATTCTACAGAAAGTGTGTTTGGAAACTGCTCCATCTAAAGGAATGTTCAGCTCTGTTAGTTCAATGCAATGATCACTAAGAATTGTCTGTGAATGCTTCCGTTTGGTTTTTAGATGAAGTTATTTCCTTTAGCACCGTAGGCCTCAATGCAGTCCAAATCAGCAATCACAGATTCTACAAAAAGAGTGTTTAAAACTGCTCTCTCCATTGGAAGGTTCAACTCTGTGAGTCGAATGCAATCATCACAAAGTAGATTCTCAGAATGCTTCCATCTAGTTTTTATGTGAAGATTTTCCCTTTCCACCACAGGCCTCAAAGCCCTCCAAATGTCCACTTGCAGATTCTAGAAAAAGAGGGTTTCAGAGCTGTTCTGTCAAGAGGAAAGTTCAATTCTTGAAGTGGAACACAAACATCACAAAGCAGTTTCTGAGAATGCTCCTGTTTAGTTTTTCTGTGAAGATGAACCCGTTTCGAAGGAAGGCCCCAAAGTGGTCCAAATATCCACTTGCAGATTCTACAAAAAGAGTGTTTGAAAGCTGAACTTGGAAAGCAAGGTTCAACTCTGTGAGTTGAATGCAAACATCACAAAGAAGTTTCTCAGAATGCTTCCGTGTAGTTCTGGGAAGTTTATCCCGTTTCCAACGAAATCCTCAGAGGGTCCAAATATCCACTTGCAGATTCTACAGAAAGTGTGTTTGGAAACTGCGCCATCTAAAGGAATGTTCAGCTCTGTTAGTTCAATGCAATGATCACTAAGAATTGTCTGTGAATGCTTCCGTTTGGTTTTTAGATGAAGTTATTTCCTTTACTACAGTAGGCCTCAAAGCAGTCCAAATCTCTAATCGCAGATTCTACAAAAAGATTGTTTACAACCTGCTCTATCTATAGGAATGTTCAACTCTGGGAGTCGAATGCAATCATCACAAAGTAGTTTCTGAGAATGCTTCCATCTAGTTTTTATGTGAAGATTTTCCTTTTCCACCACAGGCCTCAAAGCCCTCCAAATGTCCACTTGCAGATTCTAGAAAAAGAGGGTTTCAGAGCTGCTCTGTCAAGAGGAAAGTTCAATTCCTGAAGTGGAACACAAACATCACAAAGCAGTTTCTGAGAATGCTCCTGTTTAGTTTTTCTGTGAAGATGAACCCGTTTCCAACGAAATCTTCACAGAGGTCCACATATCCACTTGCAGAATCCAAAGAAAGAGAGTTTCAAAACTGCACCATCAGCAGGATTGTTCACCTCTGTGAGTTGAATGCAGTCATCACAGGAAACATTCTGAGAATGCTTCTGTCTAGGTTTGATGTGAAGATATACCCGTTTCGAAGGAAGGCCACAAAGTGGTCTAAATATCCACTTGCAGATTCTACAAAAAGAGTGTTTGAAAGCTGAACTATGAAAGCAAGGTTCAACTCTGTGAGTTGAATGCAAACATCACAAAGAAGTTTCTCAGAATGCATCCGTGTAGTTCTGGGAAGTTTATCCCGTTTCCAACGAAATCCCCAGAGAGGTCCAAATATCCACTTGCAGATTCTACAGAAAGTGTGTTTGGAAACTGCGCCATCTAAAGGAATGTTCAGCTCTGTTAGTTCAATGCAATGATCACTAAGAATTGTCTGTGAATGCTTCCGTTTGGTTTTTAGATGAAGTTATTTCCTTTACTACAATAGGCCTCAAAGCAGTCCAAATCTCCAATCGCAGATTCTACAAAAAGATTGTTTACAACCTGCTCTATGTATAGGAATATTCAACTCTGTGAGTCGAATGCAATCATCACAAAGTAGTTTCTGAGAATGCTTCCATCCAGTTTTTATGTGAAGATTTTCCTTTTCCACCACAGGCCTCAAAGCCCTCCAAATGTCCACTTGCAGATTGTAGAAAAAGAGGGTTTCAGAGCTGCTCTGTCAAGAGGAAAGTTCAATTCTTGAAGTGGAACACAAACATCACAAAGCAGTTTCTGAGAATGCTTCTGTTTAGTTTTTCTGTGAAGATGAACCCGTTTCCAACGAAATCTTCACAGAGGTCCTCATATCAACTTGCAGAATCCAAAGAAAGAGAGTTTCAAAAGTGCTCCATCAACAGGATTGTTCACCTCTGTGAGTTGAATGCAGTCATCACAGGAAACATTCTGAGAATGCTTCTGTCTAGGTTTGATGTGAAGATATACCCGTTTCGAAGGAAGGCCACAAAGTGGTCCAAATATCCACTTGCAGATTCTACAAAAAGAGTGTTTGAAAGCTGAACTATGAAAGCAAGGTTCAACTCTGTGAGTTGAATGCAAACATCACAAAGAAGTTTCTCAGAATGCTTCCGTGTAGTTCTGGGAAGTTTATCCCGTTTCCAACGAAATCCTCAGAGAAGTCCAAATATCCACTTGCAGATTCTACAGAAAGTGGGTTTGGAAACTGCTCCATCTAAAGGAATGTTCAGCTCTGTTAGTTCAATCCAATGATCACTAAGAATTGTCTGTGAATGCTTTCCGTTTGGTTTTTAGATGAAGTTATTTCCTTTACTACAGTAGGCCTCAAAGCAGTCCAAATCTCCAATCGCAGATTCTACAAAAAGATTGTTTACAACCTGCTCTATCTATAGGAATGTTCAACTCTGTGAGTCGAATGCAATCATCACAAAGTAGTTTCTGAGAATGCTTCCATCTAGTTTTTATGTGAAGATTTTCCTTTTCCACCACAGGCCTCAAAGCCCTCCAAATGTCCACTTGCAGATTCTAGAATAAGAGGGTTTCAGAGCTGCTCTGTCAAGAGGAAAGTTCAATTCCTGAAGTGGAACACAAACATCACAAAGCAGTTTCTGAGAATGCTCCTGTTTAGTTTTTCTGTGAAGATGAACCCGTTTCCAACGAAATCTTCAAAGAGGTCCACATATCCACTTGCAGAATCCAAAGAAAGAGAGTTTCAAAACTGCTCCATCAGCAGGATTGTTCACCTCTGTGAGTTGAATGCAGTCATCACAGGAAACATTCTGAGAATGCTTCTGTCTAAGTTTGATGTGAAGATATACCCGTTTCGAAGGAAGGCCACAAAGTGGTCCAAATATCCACTTGCAGATTCTACAAAAAGAGTGTTTGAAAGCTGAACTATGAAAGCAAGGTTCAACTCTGTGAGTTGAATGCAAACATCACAAAGAAGTTTCTCAGAATACTTCCGTGTAGTTCTGGGAAGTTTATCCCGTTTCCAACGAAATCCTCAGAGAAGTCCAAATATCCACTTGCAGATTCTACAGAAAGTGTGTTTGGAAACTGCGCCATCTAAAGGAATGTTCAGCTCTGTTAGTTCAATGCAATGATCACTAAGAATTGTCTGTGAATGCTTCCGTTTGGTTTTTAGATGAAGTTATTTCCTTTACTACAGTAGGCCTCAAAGCAGTCCAAATCTCCAATCGCAGATTCTACAAAAAGATTGTTTACAGCCTGCTCTATCTATAGGAATGTTCAACTCTGTGAGTCGAATGCAATCATCACAAAGTACTTTCTGAGAATGCTTCCATCTAGTTTTTATGTGAAGATTTTCCTTTTCCACCACAGGCCTCAAAGCCCCCCAAATGTCCACTTGCAGATTCTAGAAAAAGAGGGTTTCAGAGCTGCTCTGTCGAGAGGAAAGTTCAATTCTTGAAGTGGAACACAAACATCACAAAGCAGTTTCTGAGAATGCTCCTGTTTAGTTTTTCTGTGAAGATGAACCCGTTTCCAACGAAATCTTCACAGAGGTCCACATATCCACTTGCAGAATCCAAAGAAAGAGAGTTACAAAACTGCTTCCATCAGCAGGATTGTTCACCTCTGTGAGTTGAATGCAGTCATCACAGGAAACATTCTGAGAATGCTTCTGTCTAGGTTTGATGTGAAGATATACCCGTTTCGAAGGAAGGCCACAAAGTGGTCCAAATATCCACTTGCAGATTCTACAAAAAGAGTGTTTGAAAGCTGAACTATGAAAGCAAGGTTCAACTCTGTGAGTTGAATGCAAACATCACAAAGAAGTTTCTCAGAATACTTCCGTGTAGTTCTGGGAAGTTTATCCCGTTTCCAACGAAATCCTCAGAGAGGTCCAAATATCCACTTGCAGATTCTACAGAAAGTGTGTTTGGAAACTGCTCCATCTAAAGGAATGTTCAGCTCTGTTAGTTCAATCCAATGATCACTAAGAATTGTCTGTGAATGCTTCCGTTGGGTTTTTAGATGAAGTTATTTCCTTTACTACAGTAGGCCTCAAAGCAGTCCAAATCTCCAATCGCAGATTCTACAAAAAGATTGTTTACAACCTGCTCTATCTATAGGAATGTTCAACTCTGTGAGTCGAATGCAATCATCACAAAGGAGTTTCTGAGAATGCTTCCATCTAGTTTTTATGTGAAGATTTTCCTTTTCCACCACAGGCCTCAAAGCCCTCCAAATGTCCACTTGCAGATTCTAGAAAAAGAGGGTTTCAGAGCTGCTCTGTCAAGAGGAAAGTTCAATTCTTGAAGTGGAACACAAACATCACAAAGCAGTTTCTGAGAATGCTTCTGTTTAGTTTTTCTGTGAAGATGAACCCGTTTCCAACGAAATCTTCAAAGAGGTCCACATATCCACTTGCAGAATCCAAAGAAAGAGAGTTTCAAAACTGCTCCATCAACAGGATTGTTCACCTCTGTGAGTTGAATGCAGTCATCACAGGAAACATTCTGAGAATGCTTCTGTCTAGGTTTGATGTGAAGATATACCCGTTTCGAAGGAAGGCCACAAAGTGGTCCAAATATCCACTTGCAGATTCTACAAAAAGAGTGTTTGAAAGCTGAACTATGAAAGCAAGTTTCAACTCTGTGAGTTGAATGCAAACAACACAAAGAAGTTTCTCAGAATGCTTCCGTGTAGTTCTGGGAATTTTATCCCGTTTCCAACGAAATCCTCAGAGACGTCCAAATATCCACTTGCAGATTCTACAGAAAGTGGGTTTGGAAACTGCGCCATCTAAAGGAATGTTCAGCTCTGTTAGTTCAATGCAATGATCACTAAGAATTGTCTGTGAATGCTTCCGTTTGGTTTTTAGATGAAGTTATTTCCTTTACTACAGTAGGCCTCAAAGCAGTCCAAATCTCCAATCGCAGATTCTACAAAAAGATTGTTTACAACCTGCTCTATCTATAGGAATGTTCAACTCTGTGAGTCGAATGCAATCATCACAAAGTAGTTTCCTGAGAATGCTTCCATCTAGTTTGTATGTGAAGATTTTCCTTTTCCACCACAGGCCTCAAAGCCCTCCAAATGTCCACTTGCAGATTCTAGAATAAGAGGGTTTCAGAGCTGCTCTGTCAAGAGGAAAGTTCAATTCCTGAAGTGGAACACAAACATCACAAAGCAGTTTCTGAGAATGCTCCTGTTTAGTTTTTCTGTGAAGATGAACCCGTTTCCAACGAAATCTTCACAGAGGTCCACATATCCACTTGCAGAATCCAAAGAAAGAGAGTTTCAAAACTGCTCCATCAGCAGGATTGTTCACCTCTGTGAGTTGAATGCAGTCACCACAGGAAACATTCTGAGAATCCTTCTGTCTAAGTTTGATGTGAAGATATACCCGTTTCGAAGGAAGGCCACAAAGTGGTCCAAATATCCACTTGCAGATTCTACAAAAAGAGTGTTTGAAAGCTGAACTATGAAAGAAAGGTTCAACTCTGTGAGTTGAATGCAAACATCACAAAGAAGTTTCTCAGAATGCTTCCGTGTAGTTCTGGGAAGTTTATCCCGTTTCCAACGAAATCCTCAGAGAAGTCCAAATATCCACTTGCAGATTCTACAGAAAGTGTGTTTGGAAACTGCTCCATCTAAAGGAATGTTCAGCTCTGTTAGTTCAATCCAATGATCACTAAGAATTGTCTGTGAATGCTTCCGTTTGGTTTTTAGATGAAGTTATTTCCTTTACTACAGTAGGCCTCAAAGCAGTCCAAATCTCCAATCGCAGATTCTACAAAAAGATTGTTTACAACCTGCTCTATCTATAGGAATGTTCAACTCTGTGAGTCGAATGCAATCATCACAAAGTAGTTTCTGAGAATGCTTCCATCTAGTTTTATGTGAAGATTTTCCTTTTCCACCACAGGCCTCAAAGCCCTCCAAATGTCCACTTGCAGATTCTAGAAAAAGAGGGTTTCAGAGCTGCTCTGTCAAGAGGAAAGTTCAATTCTTGAAGTGGAACACAAACATCACAAAGCAGTTTCTGAGAATGCTTCTGTTTAGTTTTTCTGTGAAGAAGAAACCGTTTCCAACGAAATCCTCAAAGAGGTCCACATATCCACTTGCAGAATCCAAAGAAAGAGAGTTTAAAAACTGCTCCATCATCAGGATTGTTCACCTCTGTGAGTTGAATGCAGTCATCACAGGAAACATTCTGAGAATGCTTCTGTCTAGGTTTGATGTGAAGATATACCCGTTTCGAAGGAAGGCCACAAAGTGGTCCAAATATCCACTTGCAGATTCTACAAAAAGAGTGTTTGAAAGCTGAACTGTGAAAGCAAGGTTCAACTCTGTGGGATGAATGCATACATCACAAAGAAGTTTCTGAGAATGCTTCCGTGTAGTTCTGGGAAGTTTATCCCGTTTCCAAAGAAATCCTCAGAGAGGTCCAAATATCCACTTGCAGATTCTACAGAAATTGTGTTTGCAAACTGCGCCATCTAAAGGAATGTTCAGCTCTCTTAGTTCAATCTAATGAAAACTAAGAATTGTCTGTAAATGCTTCCGTTTGGTTTTTAGATGAAGTTATTTCCTTTACTACAGTAGGCCTCAAAGCAGTCCAAATCTCCAATCGCAGATTCTACAAAAAGATTGTTTACAACCTACTCTATCTATAGGAATGTTCAACTCTGTGAGTCGAATGCAATCATTACAAAGGAGTTTCTGAGAATGCTTCCATCTAGTTTTTATGTGAAGATTTTCCTTTTCCACCACAGGCCTCAAAGCCCTCCAAATGTCCACTTGCAGATTCTAGAATAAGAGGGTTTCAGAGCTGCTCTGTCAAGAGGAAAGTTCAATTCTTGAAGTGGAACACAAACATCACAAAGCAGTTTCTGAGAATGCTTCTGTTTAGTTTTTCTGTGAAGATGAACCCGTTTCCAACGAAATCTTCACAGAGGTCCACATATCCACTTGCAGAATCCAAAGAAGGAGAGTTTCAGAACTGCTCCATCAGCAGGATTGTTCACCTCTGTGAGTTGAATGCAGTCATCACAGGAAACATTCTGAGAATGCTTCTGTCTAGGTTTGATGTGAAGATATACCCGTTTCGAAGGAAGGCCACAAAGTGGTACAAATATCCACTTGCAGATTCTACAAAAAGAGTGTTTGAAAGCTGAACTATGAAAGCAAGGTTCAACTCTGTGAGTTGAATGCAAACATCACAAAGAAGTTTCTCACAATGCTTCCGTGTAGTTCTGGGAAGTTTATCCCGTTTCCAACGAAATCCTCAGAGAGGTCCAAATATCCACTTGCAGGTTCTACAGAAAGTTTGTTTGGAATCTGCTCCATCTAAAGGAATGTTCAGCTCTGTTAGTTCAATCCAATGATCACTAAGAATTGTCTGTGAATGCTTCCGTTTGGTTTTTAGAATGAAGTTATTTCCTTTACTACAGTAGGCCTCAAAGCAGTCCAAATCTCCAATCGCAGATTCTACAAAAAGATTGTTTACAACCTGCTCTATCTATAGGAATGTTCAACTCTGTGAGTCGAATGCAATCATCACAAAGTAGTTTCTGAGAATGCTTCCATCTAGTTTTTATGTGAAGATTTTCCTTTTCCACCACATGCCTCAAAGCCCTCCACATGTCCACTTGCAGATTCTAGAAAAAGAGGGTTTCAGAGCTGCTCTGTCAAGAGGAAAGTTCAATTCTTGAAGTGGAACACAAACATCACAAAGCAGTTTCTGAGAATGCTTCTGTTTAGTTTTTCTGTGAAGATGAACCCGTTTCCAACGAAATCTTCACAGAGGTCCACATATCCACTTGCAGAATCCAAAGAAAGAGAGTTTCAAAACTGCTCCATCAGCAGGATTGTTCACCTCTGTGAGTTGAATGCAGTCATCACAGGAAACATTCTGAGAATGCTTCTGTCTAGGTTTGATGTGAAGATATACCCGTTTCAAAGGAAGGCCACAAAGTGGTCCAAATATCCACTTGCAGATTCTACAAAAAGAGTGTTTGAAAGCTGAACTATGAAAGCAAGGTTCAACTCTGTGAGTTGAATGCAAACATCACAAAGAAGTTTCTCACAATGCTTCCGTGTAGTTCTGGGAAGTTTATCCCGTTTCCAACGAAATCCTCAGAGAAGTCCAAATATCCAGTTGCAGATTCTAGAGAAAGTGTGTTTGGAAACTGCTCCATCTAAAGGAATGTTCAGCTCTGTTAGTTCAATCCAATGATCACTAAGAATTGTCTGTGAATGCTTCCGTTTGGTTTTTAGATGAAGTTATTTCCTTTACTACAGTAGGCCTCAAAGCAGTCCAAATCTCCAATCGCAGATTCTACAAAAAGATTGTTTACAACCTGCTCTATCTATAGGAATGTTCAACTCTGTGAGTCGAATGCAATCATCACAAAGTAGTTTCTGAGAATGCTTCCATCTAGTTTTTATGTGAAGATTTTCCTTTTGCACCACAGGCCTCAAAGCGCTCCAAATGTCCACTTGCAGATTCTAGAAAAAGAGGGTTTCAGAGCTGCTCTATCAAGAGGAAAGTTCAATTCCTGAAGTGGAACACAAACATCACAAAGCAGTTTCTGAGAATGCTCCTGTTTAGTTTTTCTGTGAAGATGAACCCGTTTCCAACGATATCTTCACAGAGGTCCACATATCCACTTGCAGAATCCAAAGAAAGAGAGTTTCAAAACTGCTCCATCAGCAGGATTGTTCACCTCTGTTTGTTGAATGCAGTCATCACAGGAAACATTCTGAGAATGCTTCTGTCTAGGTTTGATGTGAAGATATACCCGTTTCGAAGGAAGGCCAGAAAGTGGTCCAAATATCCACTTGCAGATTCTACAAAAAGAGTGTTTGAAAGCTGAACTATGAAAGCAAGGTTCAACTCTGTGAGTTGAATGCAAACATCACAAAGAAGTTTCTCAGAATGCTTCGTGTAGTTCTGGGAAGTTTATCCCGTTTCCAACGAAATCCTCAGAGAGGTCCAAATATCCACTTGCAGATTCTACAGAAAGTGTGTTTGGAAACTGCGCTATCTAAGGGAATGTTCAGCTCTGTTAGTTCAATCCAATGATCACTAAGAATTGTCTGTGAATGCTTCCGTTTGGTTTTTAGATGAAGTTATTTCCTTTACTACAGTAGGCCTCAAAGCAGTCCAAATCTCCAATCGCAGATTCTACAAAAAGATTGTTTACAACCTGCTGTATCTATAGGAATGTTCAACTCTGTGAGTCGAATGCAATCATCACAAAGTAGTTTCTGAGAATGCTTCCATCTAGTTTTTATGTGAAGATTTTCCTTTTCCACCACAGGCCTCAAAGCCCTCCAAATGTCCACCTGCAGATTCTAGAAAAAGAGGGTTTCAGAGCTGCTCTGTCAAGAGGAAAGTTCAATTCCTGAAGTGGAACACAAACATCACAAAGCAGTTTCTGAGAATGCTTCTGTTTAGTTTTTCTGTGAAGATGAACCCGTTTCCAACGAAATCTTCACAGAGGTCCACATATCAACTTGCAGAATCCAAAGAAAGAGAGTTTCAAAACTGCTCCATCAACAGGATTGTTCACCTCTGTGAGTTGAATGCAGTCATCACAGGAAACATTCTGAGAATGCTTCTGTCTAGGTTTGATGTGAAGATATACCCGTTTCGAAGGAAGGCCACAAAGTGGTCCAAATATCCACTTGCAGATTCTACAAAAAGAGTGTTTGAAAGCTGAACTATGAAAGCAAGGTTCAACTCTGTGAGTTGAATGCAAACATCACAAAGAAGTTTCTCACAATGCTTCCCTGTAGTTCTGGGAAGTTTATCCCGTTTCCAACGAAATCCTCAGAGAAGTCCAAATATCCACTTGCAGTTTCTTCAGAAAGTGGGTTTGGAAACTGCTCCATCTAAAGGAATGTTCAGCTCTGTTAGTTCAATGCAATGATCACTAAGAATTGTCTGTGAATGCTTCCGTTTGGTTTTTAGATGAAGTTATTTCCTTTACTACAGTAGGCCTCAAAGCAGTCCAAATCTCCAATCGCAGATTCTACAAAAAGATTGTTTACAACCTGCTCTATCTATAGGAATGTTCAACTCTGTGAGTCGAATGCAATCATCACAAAGTAGTTTCTGAGAATGCTTCCATCTAGTTTTTATGTGAAGATTTTCCTTTTCCACCACAGGCCTCAAAGCCCTCCAAATGTCCACTTGCAGATTCTAGAAAAAGAGGGTTTCAGAGCTGCTCTGTCAAGAGGAAAGTTCAATTCTTGAAGTGGAACACAAACATCACAAAGTAGTTTCTGAGAATGCTCCTGTTAATTTTTCTGTGAGGATGAACCCGTTTCCAACGAAATCTTCACAGAGGTCCACATATCTACTTGCAGAATCCAAAGAAAGAGAGTTTCAAAACTGCTCCATCAGCAGGATTGTTCACTTCTGTGAGTTGAATGCAGTCATCACAGGAAACATTCTGAGAATGCTTCTGTCTAGGTTTGATGTGAAGATATACCCGTTTCGAAGGAAGGCCACAAAATGGTCCAAATATCCACTTGCAGATTCTACAAAAAGAGTGTTTGAAAGCTGAACTATGAAAGCAAGGTTCAACTCTGTGTGTTGAATGCAAACATCACAAAGAAGTTTCTCACAATGCTTCCGTGTAGTTCTGGGAAGTTTATCCCGTTTCCAACGAAATCCTCAGAGAAGTCCAAATATCCACTTGCAGATTCTACAGAAAGTGTGTTTGGAAACTGCTCCATCTAAAGGAATGTTCAGCTCTGTTAGTTCAATCCAATGATCACTAAGAATTGTCTGTGAATGCTTCCGTTTGGTTTTTAGATGAAGTTATTTAATTTACTACAGTAGGCCTCAAAGCAGTCTAAATCTCCAATCGCAGATTCTACAAAAAGATTGTTTACAACCTGCTCTATCTATAGGAATGTTGAACTCTGTGAGTCGAATGCAATCATCACAAAGTAGTTTCTGAGAATGCTTCCATCTAGTTTTTATGTGAAGATTTTCCTTTTCCACCACAGGCCTCAAACCCTCCATATGTCCACTTGCAGATTCTAGAAAAAGAGGGTTTCAGAGCTGCTCTGTCAAGAGGAAAGTTCAATTCTTGAAGTGGAACACAAACATAACAAAGCAGTTTCTGAGAATGTTTCTGTTTAGTTTTTCTGTGAAGATGAACCCGTTTCCAACGAAATCTTCACAGAGGTCCACATATCAACTCGCAGAATCCAAAGAAAGAGAGTTTCAAAACTGCTCCATCAACAGGATTGTTCACCTCTGTGAGTTGAATGCAGTCATCACAGGAAACATTCTGAGAATGCTTCTGTCTAGGTTTGATGTGAAGATATACCCGTTTCGAAGGAAGGCCACAAAGTGGTCCAAATATCCACTTGCAGATTCTACAAAAAGAGTGTTTGAAAGCTGAACTATGAAAGCAAGGTTCAACTCTGTGAGTTGAATGCAAACATCACAAAGAAGTTTCTCAGCATGCTTCCGTGTAGTTCTGGGAAGTTTATCCCGTTTCCAACGAAATCCTCAGAGAGGTCCAAATATCCACTTGCAGATTCTACAGAAAGTGTGTTTGGAAACTGCGCCATCTAAAGCAATGTTCAGCTCTGTTAGTTCAACGCAATGATCACTAAGAATTGTCTGTGAATGCTTCCGTTTGGTTTTTAGATGAAGTTATTTCCTTTACTACAGTAGGCCTCAAAGCAGTCCAAATCTCCAATCGCAGATTCTACAAAAAGATTGTTTTCAACCTGCTCTATCTATAGGAATGTTCAACTCTGTGAGTCGAATGCAATCATCACAAAGTAGTTTCTGAGAATGCTTCCATCTAGTTTTTATGTGAAGATTTTCCTTTTCCACCACAGGCCTCAAAGCCCTCCCAATGTCCACTTGCAGATTCTAGAAAAAGAGGGTTTCAGAGCTGCTCTGTCAAGAGGAAAGTTCAATTCCTGAAGTGGAACACAAACATCACAAAGCAGTTTCTGAGAATGCTTCTGTTTAGTTTTTCTGTGAAGATGAACCCGTTTCCAACGAAATCTTCACAGAGGTCCACATATCCACTTGCAGAATCCAAAGAAAGAGAGTTTCAAAAGTGCTCCATCAACAGGATTGTTCACCTCTGTGAGTTGAATGCAGTCATCACAGGAAACATTCTGAGAATGCTTCTGTCTAGGTTTGATGTGAAGATATACCCGTTTCGAAGGAAGGCCACAAAGTGTTCGAAATATCCTCTTGCAGATTCTACAAAAAGAGTGTTTGAAAGCTGAACTATGAAAGCAAGGTTCAACCCTGTGACTTGAATGCAAACATCACAAAGAAGTTTCTCAGAATGCTTCCCGTGTAGTTCTGGGAAGTTTATCCCGTTTCCAACGAAATCCTCAGAGAAGTCCAAATATCCACTTGCAGATTCTACAGAAAGTGGGTTTGGAAACTGCTCCATCTAAAGGAATGTTCAGCTCTGTTAGTTCAATCCAATGATCACTAAGAATTGTCTGTGAATGCTTCCGTTTGGTTTTTAGATGAAGTTATTTCCTTTACTACAGTAGGCCTCAAAGCAGTCCAAATCTCCAATCGCAGATTCTACAAAAAGATTGTTTACAACCTGCTCTATGTATAGGAATGTTCAACTCTGTGAGTCGAATGCAATCATCACAAAGTAGTTTCTGAGAATGCTTCCATCTAGTTTTTATGTGAAGATTTTCCTTTTCCACCACAGGCCTCAAAGCCCTCCAAATGTCCACTTGCAGATTCTAGAATAAGAGGGTTTTAGAGCTGCTCTGTCAAGAGGAAAGTTCAATTCCTGAAGTGGAACACAAACATCACAAAGCAGTTTCTGAGAATGCTCCTGTTTAGTTTTTCTGTGAAGATGAACCCGTTTCCAACGAAATCTTCACAGAGGTCCACATATCCACTTGCAGAATCCAAAGAAAGAGAGTTTCAAAACTGCTCCATCAGAAGGATTGTTCACCTCTGTGAGTTGAATGCAGTCATCACAGGAAACATTCTGAGAATGCTTCTGTCTAGGTTTGATGTGAAGATGTACCCGTTTCAAAGGAAGGCCACAAAGTGGTCCATATATCCACTTGCAGATTCCACAAAAAGAGTGTTTGAAAGCTGAACTATGAAAGCAAGGTTCAACTCTGTGAGTTGAATGCAAACATCACAAAGAAGTTTCTCAGAATGCTTCCGTGTAGTTCTGGGAAGTTTATCCCGTTTCCAACGAAATCCTCAGAGAGGTCCATATCTCCACTGGCAGATTCTACAGAAAGTGTGTTTGGAAACTGCGCCATCTAAAGGAATGTTAAGCTCTGTTAGTTCAATGCAATGATCACTAAGAATTGTCTGTGAATGCTTCCGTTTGGTTTTTAGGTGAAGTTATTTCCTTTACTACAGTAGGCCTCAAAGCAGTCCAAATCTCCAATCGCAGATTCTACAAAAAGATTGTTTACAACCTGCTCTATCTATAGGAATGTTGAACTCTGTGAGTCGAATGCAATCATCACAAAGTAGTTTCTGAGAATGCTTCCATCTAGTTTTTATGTGAAGATTTTCCTTTTCCACCACAGGCCTCAAAGCCCTCCAAGTGTCCCCTTGCAGATTCTAGAAAAAGAGGGTTTCAGAGCTGCTCTGTCAAGAGGAAAGTTCAATTCTTGAAGTGGAACACAAACATCACAAAGCAGTTTCTGAGAATGCTCCTGTTTAGTTTTTCTGTGAAGATGAACCCGTTTCCAACGAAATCTTCACAGAGGTCCACATATCCACTTGCAGAATCCAAAGAAAGAGAGTTTCAAAACTGCTCCATCAGCAGGATTGTTCACCTCTGTGAGTTGAATGCAGTCATCACAGGAAACATTCTGAGAATGCTTCTGTCTAGGTTTGATGTGAAGATATACCCGTTTCGAAGGAAGGCCACAAAGTGGTCCAAATATCCTCTTGCAGATTCTACAAAAAGAGTGTTTGAAAGCTGAACTATGAAAGCAAGGTTCAACTCTGTGAGTTGAATGCAAACATCACAAAGAAGTTTCTCAGAATGCTTCCGTGTAGTTCTGGGAAGTTTATCCCGTTTCCAACGAAATCCTCAGAGAGGTCCAAATATCCACTTGCAGATTCTACAGAAAGTGTGTTTGGAAACTGCGCCATCTAAAGGAATGTTCAGATCTGTTAGTTCAATGCAATGATCACTAAGAATTGTCTGTGAATGCTTCCGTTTGGTTTTTAGATGAAGTTATTTCCTTTACTACAGTAGGCCTCAAAGCAGTCCAAATCTCCAATCGCAGATTCTACAAAAAGATTGTTTACAACCTGCTCTATCTATAGGAATGTTCAACTCTGTGAGTCGAATGCAATCATCACAAAGTAGTTTCTGAGAATGCTTCCATCTAGTTTTTATGTGAAGATTTTCCTTTTCCACCACAGGCCTCAAAGCCCTCCAAATGTCCACTTGCAGATTCTAGAATAAGAGGGTTTCAGAGCTGCTCTGTCAAGAGGAAAGTTCAATTCCTGAAGTGGAACACAAACTTCACAAAGCAGTTTCTGAGAATGTTTCTGTTTAGTTTTTCTGTGAAGATGAACCCGTTTCCAACGAAATCTTCACAGAGGTCCACATATCCACTTGCAGAATCCAAAGAAAGAGAGTTTCAAAACTGCTCCATCAACAGGATTGTTCACCTCTGTGAGTTGAATGCAGTCATCACAGGAAACATTCTGAGAATGCTTCTGTCTAGGTTTGATGTGAAGATATACCCGTTTCGAAGGAAGGCCACAAAGTGGTCCAAATATCCACTTGCAGATTCTACAAAAAGAGTGTTTGAAAGCTGAACTATGAAAGCAAGGCTCAACTCTGTGAGTTGAATGCAAACATCACAAAGAAGTTTCTCACAATGCTTCCGTGTAGTTCTGGGAAGTTTATCCCGTTTCCAACGAAATCCTCAGAGAAGTCCAAATATCCACTTGCAGATTCTACAGAAAGTGTGTTTGGAAACTGCGCCATCTAAAGGAATGTTCAGCTCTGTTAGTTCTATCCAATGATCACTAAGAATTGTCTGTGAATGCTTCCGTTTGGTTTTTAGATGAAGTTATTTCCTTTACTACAGTAGGCCTCAAAGCAGTCCAAATCTCCAATCGCAGATTCTACAAAAAGATTGTTTACAACCTGCTTGCTCTATCTATAGGAATGTTCAACTCTGTGAGTCGAATGCAATCATCACAAAGTAGTTTCTGAGAATGCTTCCATCTAGTTTTTATGTGAAGATTTTCCTTTTCCACCACAGGCCTCAAAGCCCTCCAAATGTCCACTTGCAGATTCTAGAATAAGAGGGTTTCAGAGCTGCTCTGTCAAGAGGAAAGTTCAATTCTTGAAGTGGAACACAAACATCACAAAGCAGTTTCTGAGAATGTTTCTGTTTAGTTTTTCTGTGAAGATGAACCCGTCTCCAACGAAATCTTCACAGAGGTCCACATATCCACTTGCAGAATCCAAAGAAAGAGAGTTTCAAAACTGCTCCATCAGCAGGATTGTTCACCTCTGTGAGTTGAATGCAGTCATCACAGGAAACATTCTGAGAATGCTTCTGTCTAGGTTTGATGTGAAGATATACCCGTTTCGAAGGAAGGCCACAAAGTGGTCCAAATATCCACTTGCAGATTCTACAAAAAGAGTGTTTGAAAGCTGAACTATGAAAGCAAGGTTCAACTCTGTGAGTTGAATGCAAACATCACAAAGAAGTTTCTCAGAATGCTTCAGTGTAGTTTTGGGAAGTTTATCCCGTTTCCAACGAAATCCTCAGAGAGGTCCAAATATCCACTTGCAGATTCTACAGAAAGTGTGTTTGGAAACTGCGCCATCTAAAGGAATGTTCAGCTCTGTTAGTTCAATGCAATGATCACTAAGAATTGTCTGTGAATGCTTCTGTTTGGTTTTTAGATGAAGTTATTTCCTTTACTACAGTAGGCCTCAAAGCAGTCCAAATCTCCAATCGCAGATTCTACAAAAAGATTGTTTACAACCTGCTCTATCTATAGGAATGTTCAACTCTGTGAGTCGAATGCAATCATCACAAAGTAGTTTCTGAGAATGCTTCCATCTAGTTTTTATGTGAAGATTTTCCTTTTCCACCACAGGCCTCAAAGCCCTCCAAATGTCCACTTGCAGATTCTAGAATAAGAGGATTTCAGAGCTGCTCTGTCAAGAGGAAAGTTCAATTCCTGAAGTGGAACACAAACATCACAAAGCAGTTTCTGAGAATGCTTCTGTTTAGTTTTTCTGTGAAGATGAACCCGTTTCCAACGAAATCTTCACAGAGGTCCACACATCCACTTGCAGAATCCAAAGAAAGAGAGTTTCAAAACTGCTCCATCAGCAGGATTGTTCACCTCTGTGAGTTGAATGCAGTCATCACAGGAAACATTCTGAGAATGCTTCTGTCTAGGTTTGATGTGAAGATATACCCGTTTCGAAGGAAGGCCACAAAGTGGTCCAAATATCCACTTGCAGATTCCACAAAAAGAGTGTTTGAAAGCTGAACTATGAAAGCAAGGTTCCACTCTGTGAGTTGAATGCAAACATCACAAAGAAGTTTCTCAGCATGCTTCCGTGTAGTTCTGGGAAGTTTATCCCGTTTCCAACGAAATCCTCAGAGAAGTCCAAATATCCACTTGCAGATTCTACAGAAAGTGTGTTTGGAAACTGCGCCATCTAAAGGAATGTTCAGCTCTGTTAGTTCAATGCAATGATCACTAAGAATTGTCTGTGAATGCTTCCGTTTGGTTTTTAGATGAAGTTATTTCCTTTACTACAGTAGGCCTCAAAGCAGTCCAAATCTCCAATCGCAGATTCTACAAAAAGATTGTTTACAACCTGCTCTATCTATAGGAATGTTCAACTATGTGAGTCGAATGCAATCATCACAAAGTAGTTTCTGAGAATGCTTCCATCTAGTTTTTATGTGAAGATTTTCCTTTTCCACCATAGGCCTCAAAGCCCGCCAAATGTCCACTTGCAGATTCTAGAAAAAGAGGGTTTCAGAGCTGCTCTGTCAAGAGGAAAGTTCAATTCTTGAAGTGGAACACAAACATCACAAAGCAGTTTCTGAGAATGCTCCTGTTTAGTTTTTCTGTGAAGATGAACCCGTTTCCAACGAAATCTTCACAGAGGTCCACATATCCACTTGCAGAATCCAAAGAAAGAGAGTTTCAAAACTGCTCCATCAGCAGGATTGTTCACCTCTGTGACTTGAATGCAGTCATCACAGGAAACATTCTGAGAATGCTTCTGTCTAGGTTTGATGTGAAGATATACCCGTTTCGAAGGAAGGCCACAAAGTGGTCCAAATATCCACTTGCAGATTCTACAAAAAGAGTGTTTGAAAGCTGAACTATGAAAGCAAGGTTCAACTCTGTGAGTTGAATGCAAACATCACAAAGAAGTTTCTCACAATGCTTCCGTGTAGTTCTGGGAATTTTATCCCGTTTCCAACGAAATCCTCAGAGAAGTCCAAATATCCACTGGCAGATTCTACAGAAAGTGTGTTTGGAAACTGCTCCATCTAAAGGAATGTTCAGCTCTGTTAGTTCAATCCAATGATCACTAAGAATTGTCTGTGAATGCTTCCGTTTGGTTTTTAGATGAAGTTATTTCCTTTACTACAGTAGGCCTCAAAGCAGTCGAAATCTCCAATCGCAGATTCTACAAAAAGATTGTTTACATCCTGCTCTATCTATATGAATGTTCAACTCTGTGAGTCGAATGCAATCATCACAAAGTAGTTTCTGAGAATGCTTCCATCTAGTTTTTATGTGAAGATTTTCCTTTTGCACCACAGGCCTCAAAGCCCTCCAAATGTCCACTTGCAGATTCTAGAAAAAGAGGGTTTCAGAGCTGCTCTGTCAAGAGGAAAGTTCAATTCTTGATGTGGAACACAAACATCACAAAGCAGTTTCTGAGAATGCTTCTGTTTAGTTTTTCTGTGAAGATGAACCCGTTTCCAACGAAATCTTCACAGAGGTCCACATATCCACTTGCAGAATCCAAAGAAAGAGAGTTTCAAAACTGCTCCATCAGCAGGATTGTTCACCTCTGTGAGTTGAATGCAGTCATCACAGGAAACATTCTGAGAATGCTTCTGTCTAGGTTTGATGTGAAGATATACCCGTTTCGAAGGAAGGCCACAAAGTGGTCCAAATATCCACTTGCAGATTCTACAAAAAGAGTGTTTGAAAGCTGAACTATGAAAGCAAGGTGCAACTCTGTGAGTTGAATGCAAACATCACAAAGAAGTTTCTCACAATGCTTCCGTGTAGTTCTGGGAAGTTTATCCCGTTTCCAACGAAATCCTCAGTAGAAGTCCAAATATCCACTTGCAGATTCTACAGAAAGTGGGTTTGGCAACTGCTCCATCTAAAGGAATGTTCAGCTCTGTTAGTTCAATCCAATGATCACTAAGAATTGTCTGTGAATGCTTCCGTTTGGTTTTTAGATGAAGTTATTTCCTTTACTACAGTAGGCCTCAAAGCAGTCCAAATCTCCAATCGCAGATTCTACAAAAAGATTGTTTACAACCTGCTCTATATATAGGAATGTTCAACTCTGTGAGTCGAATGCAATCATCACAAAGTAGTTTCTGAGAATGCTTCCATCTAGTTTTTATGGGAAGATTTTCCTTTTCCACCACAGGCCTCAAAGCCCTCCAAATGTCCACTTGCAGATTCTAGAAAAAGAGGGTTTCAGAGCTGCTCTGTCAAGAGGAAAGTTCAATTCTTGAAGTGGAACACAAACATCACAAAGCAGTTTCTGAGAATGCTTCTGTTTAGTTTTTCTGTGAAGATGAACCCGTTTCCAACGAAATCTTCACAGAGGTCCACATATCCACTTGCAGAATCCAAAGAAAGAGAGTTTCAAAACTGCTCCATCAGCAGGATTGTTCACCTCTGTGAGTTGAATGCAGTCATCACAGGAAACATTCTGAGAATGCTTCTGTCTAGGTTTGATGTGAAGATATACCCTTTTCGAAGGAAGGCCACAAAGTGGTCCAAATATCCACTTGCAGATTCTACAAAAAGAGTGTTTGAAAGCTGAACTATGAAAGCAAGGTGCAAATCCTGTGAGTTGAATGCAAACATCACAAAGAAGTTTCTCAGAATGCTTTCCGTGTAGTTCTGGGAAGCTTATCCCCTTTCCAACGAAATCCTCAGAGAGGTCCAAATATCCACTTGCAGATTCTACAGAAAGTGTGTTTGGAAACTGCGCCATCTAAAGGAATGTTCAGCTCTGTTAGTTCTATCCAATGATCACTAAGAATTGTCTGTGAATGCTTCCGTTTGGTTTTTAGATGAAGTTATTTCCTTTACTACAGTAGGCCTCAAAGGAGTCCAAATCTCCAATCGCAGATTCTACAAAAAGATTGTTTACAACCTGCTCTATCTATAGGAATGTTCAACTCTGTGGGTCGAATGCAATCATCACAAAGTAGTTCCTGAGAATGCTTCCATCTAGTTTTTATGTGAAGATTTTCCTTTTCCACCACAGGCCTCAAAGCCCTCCAAATGTCCACTTGCAGATTCTAGAAAAAGAGGGTTTCAGAGCTGCTCTGTCAAGAGGAAAGTTCAATTCTTGAAGTGGAACACAAACATCACAAAGCAGTTTGCTGAGAATGCTCCTGTTTAGTTTTTCTGTGAAGATGAACCCGTTTCCAACGAAATCTTCACAGAGGTCCACATATCCACTTGCAGAATCCAAAGAAAGAGAGTTTCAAAACTGCTCCATCAGCAGGATTGTTCACCTCTGTGAGTTGAATGCAGTCATCACAGGAAACATTCTGAGAATGCTTCTGTCTAGGTTTGATGTGAAGATATACCCGTTTCGAAGGAAGGCCAGAAAGTGGTCCAAATATCCACTTGCAGATTCTACAAAAAGAGTGTTTGAAAGCTGAACTATGAAAGCAAGGTTCAACTCTGTGAGTTGAATGCAAACATCACAAAGAAGTTTCTCAGAATGCTTCCGTGTAGTTCTGGGAAGTTTATCCCGTTTCCAACGAAATCCTCAGAGAGGTCCAAATATCCACTTGCAGATTCTACAGAAAGTGTGTTTGGAAACTGCGCCATCTAAAGGAATGTTCAGCAATGTTAGTTCAATCCAATGATCACTAAGAATTGTCTGTGAATGCTTCCGTTTGGTTTTTAGATGAAGTTATTTCCTTTACTACAGTAGGCCTCAAAGCAGTCCAAATCTCCAATCGCAGATTCTACAAAAAGATTGTTTACAACCTGCTCTATCTATAGGAATGTTCAACTCTGTGAGTCGAATGCAATCATCACAAAGTAGTTTCTGAGAATGCTTCCATCTAGTTTTTATGTGAAGATTTTCCTTTTCCACCACAGGCCTCAAAGCCCTCCAAATGTCCACTTGCAGATTCTAGAATAAGAGGGTTTCAGAGCTGCTCTGTCAAGAGGAAAGTTCAATTCCTGAAGTGGAACACAAACATCACAAAGCAGTTTCCGAGAATGCTTCTGTTTAGTTTTTCTGTGAAGAAGAACCCGTTTCCAACGAAATCTTCAAAGAGGTCCACACATCCACTTGCAGATTCCAAAGAAAGAGAGTTTCAAAACTGCTCCATCAACAGGATTGCTCACCTGTGTGAGTTGAATGCAGTCATCACAGGAAACATTCTGAGAATGCTTCTGTCTAGGTTTGATGTGAAGATATACCCGTTTCGAAGGAAGGCCACAAAGTGGTCCAAATATCCACTTGCAGATTCTATAAAAAGAGTGTTTGAAAGCTGAACTATGAAAGCAAGGTTCACCTCTGTGAGTTGAATGCAAACATCACAAAGAAATTTCTCAGAATGCTTCCGTGTAGTTCTGGGAAGTTTATCCCGTTTCCAACGAAATCCTCAGAGAGGTCCAAATATCCACTTGCAGATTCTACAGAAAGTGTGTTTGGAAACTGCGCCATCTAAGGGAACGTTCAGCTCTGTTAGTTCAATCCAATGATCACTAAGAATTGTCTGTGAATGCTTCCGTTTGGTTTTTAGATGAAGTTATTTCCTTTACTACAGTAGGCCTCAAAGCAGTCCAAATCTCCAATCGCAGATTCTACAAAAAGATTGTTTACAACCTGCTCTATCTATAGGAATGTTCAACACTGTGAGTCGAATGCAATCATCACAAAGTAGTTTCTGAGAATGCTTCTATCTAGGTTTTATGTGAAGATATTTCCTTTTCCACCGAAGGCCTCCAAGCCCTCCAAATGTCCACTTGCAGATTCTAGAAAAAGAGGGTTTCAGAGCTGCTCTGTCAAGAGGAAAGTTCAATTCTTGAAATGGAACACAAACATCACAAAGCAGTTTCTGAGAATGCTTCTGTTTACTTTTTATGTGAAGATGAACCCGT
This sequence comes from Homo sapiens, assembly GCF_000001405.40. NCBI lineage: Eukaryota > Metazoa > Chordata > Mammalia > Primates > Hominidae > Homo > Homo sapiens. The sequence continues at coordinate 54,014,010 of NC_000011.10, read as the reverse complement.
TTCCAAGGAAATCTTCAAAGAGGTCCACATATCCACTTGCAGAATCCAAAGAAAGAGAGTTTCAAAACTGCTCCATCAGCAGGATTGTTCAACTCTGTGAGTTGAATGCAGTCATCACAGAAAACATTCTGAGAATGCTTCTGTCTAGGTTTGATGTGAAGATATACCCGTTTCGAAGGAAGGCCTCAAGGTGGTCCAAATATCCACTTGCAGATTCTACAAATAGAGTGTTTGAAAGCTGAACTATGAAAGGAAGTTTCAACTCTGTGAGTTGAATGCAATCATCACAAAGTAGATTCTCAGAATGCTTCCGTGTAGTTCTGGGAAGTTTATCCCGTTTCCAACGAAATCCTCAGAGAAGTCCAAATATCCACTTGCAGATTCTACAGAAAGTGTGTTTGGAAACTGCGCCATCTAAAGGAATGTTCAGCTCTGTTAGTTCAATGCAATGATCACTAAGAATTGTCTGTGAATGCTTCCGTTTGGTTTTTAGATGAAGTTATTTCCTTTACTACAGTAGGCCTCAAAGCAGTCCAAATTTGCAATCGCAGATTCTACAAAAAGATTGTTTACAACCTGCTCTATCTATAGGAATGTTCAACTCTGTGAGTCGAATGCAATCATCACAAAGTAGTTTCTGAGAATGCTTCCATCTAGTTTTTATGTGAAGATTTTCCTTTTCCACCACAGGCCTCAAATCCCTCCAAATGTCCACTTGCAGATTCTAGAAAAAGAGGGTTTCAGAGCTGCTCTGTCAAGAGGAAAGTTCAATTCTTGAAGTGGAACACAAACATCACAAAGTAGTTTCTGAGAATGCTTCTGTATAGTTTTTCTGTGAAGATGAACCCGTTTCCAACGAAATCTTCACAGAGGTCCACATATCCACTTGCAGAATCCAAAGAAAGAGAGTTTCAAAAGTGCTCCATCAACAGGATTGTTCACCTCTGTGAGTTGAATGCAGTCATCACAGGAAACATTCTGAGAATGCTTCTGTCTAGGTTTGATGTGAAGATATACCCGTTTCGAAGGAAGGCCAGAAAGTGGTCCAAATATCCACTTGCAGATTCTACAAAAAGAGTGTTTGAAAGCTGAACTATGAAAGCAAGGTTCAACTCTGTGAGTTGAATGCAAACATCACAAAGAAGTTTCTCAGAATGCTTCCGTGTAGTTTTGGGAAGTTTATCCCTTTTCCAACGAAATCCTCAGAGAGGTCCAAATATCCACTTGCAGATTCTACAGAAAGTGTGTTTGGAAACTGCGCCATCTAAAGGAATGTTCAGCTCTGTTAGTTCAATCCAATGATCACTAAGAATTGTCTGTGAATGCTTCCGTTTGGTTTTTAGATGAAGTTATTTCCTTTACTACAGTAGGCCTCGAAGCAGTCCAAATCTCCAATCGCAGATTCTACAAAAAGATTGTTTACAACCTGCTCTATCTATAGGAATGTTCAACTCTTTGAGTCGAATGCAATCATCACAAAGTAGTTTCTGAGAATGCTTCCATCTAGTTTTTATGTGAAGATTTTCCTTTTCCACCACAGGCCTCAAAGCCCTCCAAATGTCCACTTGCAGATTCTAGAAAAAGAGGGTTTCAGAGCTGCTCTGTCAAGAGGAAAGTTCAATTCTTGAAGTGGAACACAAACATCACAAAGCAGTTTCTGAGAATGTTTCTGTTTAGTTTTTCTCTGAAGATGAACCCGTTTCCAACGAAATCTTCACAGAGGTCCACATATCAACTTGCAGAATCCAAAGAAAGAGAGTTTCAAAAGTGCTCCATCAACAGGATTGTTCACCTCTGTGAGTTGAATGCAGTCATCACAGGAAACATTCTGAGAATGCTTCTGTCTAGGTTTGATGTGAAGATATACCCGTTTCGAAGGAAGGCCACAAAGTGGTCCAAATATCCACTTGCAGATTCTACAAAAAGAGTGTTTGAAAGCTGAACTATGAAAGCAAGGTTCAACTCTGTGAGTTGAATGCAAACATCACAAAGAAGTTTCTCACAATGCTTCCGTGTAGTTCTGGGAAGTTTATCCCGTTTCCAACGAAATCCTCAGAGAAGTCCAAATATCCACTTGCAGATTCTACAGAAAGTGGGTTTGGAAACTGCTCCATCTAAAGGAATGTTCAGCTCTGTTAGTTCAATCCAATGATCACTAAGAATTGTCTGTGAATGCTTCCGTTTGGTTTTTAGATGAAGTTATTTCCTTTACTACAGTAGGCCTCAAAGCAGTCCAAATCTCCAATCACAGATTCTACAAAAAGATTGTTTACAACCTGCTCTATCTATAGGAATGTTCAACTCTGTGAGTCGAATGCAATCATCACAAAGTAGTTTCTGAGAATGCTTCCATCTAGTTTTTATGGGAAGATTTTCCTTTTCCACCACAGGCCTCAAAGCCCTCCAAATGTCCACTTGCAGATTCTAGAAAAAGAGGGTTTCAGAGCTGCTCTGTCAAGAGGAAAGTTCAATTCTTGAAGTGGAACACAAACATCACAAAGCAGTTTCTGAGAATGCTTCTGTTTAGTTTTTCTGTGAAGATGAACCCGTTTCCAACGAAATCTTCACAGAGGTCCACATATCCAGTTGCAGAATCCAAAGAAAGAGAGTTTCAAAACTGCTCCATCAACAGGATTGTTCACCTCTGTGAGTTGAATGCAGTCATCACAGGAAACATTCTGAGAATGCTTCTGTCTAGGTTTGATGTGAAGATATACCCGTTTCGAAGGAAGGCCACAAAGTGGACCAAATATCCACTTGCAGATTCTACAAAAAGAGTGTTTGAAAGCTGAACTATGAAAGCAAGGTTCAACTCTGTGAGTTGAATGCAAACATCACAAAGAAGTTTCTCAGAATGCTTCCGTGTAGTTCTGGGAAGTTTATCCCGTTTCCAACGAAATCCTCAGAGAAGTCCAAATATCCACTTGCAGATTCTACAGAAAGTGTGTTTGGAAACTGCTCCATCTAAAGGAATGTTCAGCTCTGTTAGTTCAATGCAATGATCACTAAGAATTGTCTGTGAATGCTTCCGTTTGGTTTTTAGATGAAGTTATTTCCTTTACTACAGTAGGCCTCAAAGCAGTCCAAATCTCCAATCGCAGATTCTACAAAAAGATTGTTTACAACCTGCTCTATCTATAGGAATGTTCAACTCTGTGAGTCGAATGCAATCATCACAAAGTAGTTTCTGAGAATGCTTCCATCTAGTTTTTATGTGAAGATTTTCCTTTTCCACCACAGGCCTCAAAGCCCTCCAAATGTCCACTTGCAGATTCTAGAAAAAGAGGGTTTCAGAGCTGCTCTGTCAAGAGGAAAGTTCAATTCTTGAAGTGGAACACAAACATCACAAAGTAGTTTCTGAGAATGCTTCTGTTTAGTTTTTCTGTGAAGATGAACCCGTTTCCAACGAAATCTTCACAGAGGTCCACATATCCACTTGCAGAATCCAAAGAAAGAGAGTTTCAAAACTGCTCAATCAGCAGGATTGTTCACCTCTGTGAGTTGAATGCAGTCATCACAGGAAACATTCTGAGAATGCTTCTGTCTAGGTTTGATGTGAAGATATACCCGTTTCGAAGGAAGGCCACAAAGTGGTCCAAATATCCACTTGCAGATTCTACAAAAAGAGTGTTTGAAAGCTGAACTATGAAAGCAAGGTTCAACTCTGTGAGTTGAATGCAAACATCACAAAGAAGTTTCTCAGAATGCTTCCGTGTAGTTCTGGGAAGTTTATCCCGTTTCCAACGAAATCCTCAGAGAGGTCCAAATATCCACTTGCAGAATCTAGAGAAAGTGTGTTTGGAAACTGCGCCATCTAAAGGAATGTTCAGCTCTGTTAGTTCAATCCAATGATCACTAAGAATTGTCTGTGAATACTTCCGTTTGGTTTTTAGATGAAGTTCTTTCCTTTACTACAGTAGGCCTCAAAGCAGTCCAAATCTCCAATCGCAGATTCTACAAAAAGATTGTTTACAACCTGCTCTATCTATAGGAATGTTCAACTCTGTGAGTCGAATGCAATCATCACAAAGTAGTTTCTGAGAATGCTTCCATCTAGTTTTTATGTGAAGATTTTCCTTTTCCACCACAGGCCTCAAAGCCCTCCAAATGTCCACTTGCAGATTCTAGAAAAAGAGGGTTTCAGAGCTGCTCTGTCAAGAGGAAAGTTCAATTCTTGAAGTGGAACACAAACATCACAAAGTAGTTTCTGAGAATGCTCCTGTTTAGTTTTTCTGTGAAGATGAACCCGTTTCCAACGAAATCTTCACAGAGGTCCACATATCCACTTGCAGAATCCAAAGAAAGACAGTTTCAAAACTGCTCCATCAGCAGGATTGTTCACCTCTGTGAGTTGAATGCAGTCATTACAGGAAACACTCTGAGAATGCTTCTGTCTAGGTTTGATGTGAAGGTATACCCGTTTCGAAGGAAGGCCACAAAGTGGTCCAAATATCCACTTGCAGATTCTACAAAAAGAGTGTTTGAAAGCTGAACTATGAAAGCAAGGTTCAACTCGGTGAGTTGAATGCAAACATCACAAAGAAGTTTCTCAGAATGCTTCCGTGTAGTTCTGGGAAGTTTATCCCGTTTCCAACGAAATCCTCAGAGAGGTCCAAATATCCACTTGCAGATTCTACAGAAAGTGTGTTTGGAAACTGCGCCATCTAAAGGAATGTTCAGCTCTGTTAGTTCAATGCAATGATCACTAAGAATTGTCTGTGAATGCTTCCATTTTGGTTTTTAGATGAAGTTATTTCCTTTACTACAGTAGGCCTCAAAGCAGTCCAAATCTCCAATCGCAGATTCTACAAAAAGATTGTTTACAACCTGCTCTATCTATAGGAATGTTCAACTCTGTGAGTCGAATGCAATCATCACAAAGTAGTTTCTGAGAATGCTTCCATCTAGTTTTTATGTGAAGATTTTCCTTTTCCACCACAGGCCTCAAAGCCCTCCAAATGTCCACTTGCAGATTCTAGAATAAGAGGGTTTCAGAGCTGCTCTGTCAAGAGGAAAGTTCAATTCCTGAAGTGGAACACAAACATCACAAAGCAGTTTCTGAGAATGCTTCTGTTTAGTTTTTCTGTGAAGATGAGCCCGTTTCCAACGAAATCTTCACAGAGGTCCACATATCAACTTGCAGAATCCAAAGAAAGAGAGTTTCAAAAGTGCTCCATCAGCAGGATTGTTCACCTCTGTGAGTTGAATGCAGTCATCACAGGAAACATTCTGAGAGTGCTTCTGTCTAGGTTTGATGTGAAGATATACCCGTTTCGAAGGAAGGCCAGAAAGTGGTCCAAATATCCACTTGCAGATTCTACAAAAAGAGTGTTTGAAAGCTGAACTATGAAAGCAAGGTTCAACTCTGTGAGTTGAATGCAAACATCACAAAGAAGTTTCTCAGAATGCTTCCCTGTAGTTCTGGGAAGTTTATCCCGTTTCCAACGAAATCCTCACAGAGGTCCAAATATCCACTTGCAGATTCTACAGAAAGTGTGTTTGGAAACTGCGCCATCTAAAGGAATGTTCAGCTCTGTTAGTTCAATGCAATGATCACTAAGAATTGTCTGTGAATGCTTCCGTTTGCTTTTTAGATGAAGTTATTTCCTTTACTACAGTAGGCCTCAAAGCAGTCCAAATCTCCAATCGCAGATTCTACAAAAAGATTGTTTACAACCTGCTCTCTCTATAGGAATGTTCAACTCTGTGAGTCGAATGCAATCATCACAAAGTAGTTTCTGAGAATGCTTCCATCTAGTTTTTATGTGAAGATTTTCCTTTTCCACCACAGGCCTCAAAGCCCTCCAAATGTCCACTTGCAGATTCTAGAATAAGAGGTTTTCAGAGCTGCTCTGTCAAGAGGAAAGATCAATTCCTGAAGTGGAACACAAACATCACAAAGCAGTTTCTGAGAATGCTTCTGTTTAGTTTTTCTGTGAACATGAAACCGTTTCCAACGAAATCTTCACAGAGGTCCACATATCCACTTGCAGAATCCAAAGAAAGAGAGTTTCAAAACTGCTCCATCAACAGGATTGTTCACCTCTGTGAGTTGAATGCAGTCATCACAGGAAACATTCTGAGAATGCTTCTGCCTAGGTTTGATGTGAAGATATACCCGTTTCGAAGGAAGGCCACAAAGTGGTCCAAATATCCACTTGCAGATTCTACAAAAAGAGTGTTTGAAAGCTGAACTATGAAAGCAAGGTTCAACTCTGTGAGTTGAATGCAAACATCACAAAGATGTTTCTCACAATGCTTCCCTGTAGTTCTGGGAAGTTTATCCCGTTTCCAACGAAATCCTCAGAGAAGTCCAAATATCCACTTGCAGATTCTACAGAAAGTGTGTTTGGAAACTGCTCCATCTAAAGGAATGTTCAGCTCTGTTAGTTCAATCCAATGATCACTAAGAATTGTCTGTGAATGCTTCCGTTTGGTTTTTAGATGAAGTTATTTCCTTTACTACAGTAGGCCTCAAAGCAGTCCAAATCTCCAATCGCAGATTCTACAAAAAGATTGTTTACAACCTGCTCTATCTATAGGAATGTTCAACTCTGTGAGTCGAAAGCCATCATCACAAAGTAGTTTCTGAGAATGCTTCCATCTAGTTTTTATGTGAAGATTTTCCTTTTCCACCACAGGCCTCAAAGCCCTCCAAATGTCCACTTGCAGATTCTAGAATAAGAGGGTTTCAGAGCTGCTCTGTCAAGAGGAAAGTTCAATTCCTGAAGTGGAACACAAACATCACAAAGCAGTTTCTGAGAATGCTCCTGTTTAGTTTTTCTGTGAAGATGAACCCGTTTCCAACAAAATCTTCACAGAGGTCCACATATCCAATTGCAGAATCCAAAGAAAGAGAGTTTCAAAAGTGCTCCATCAGCAGGATTGTTCACCTCTGTGAGTTGAATGCAGTCATCACAGGAAACATTCTGAGAATGCTTCTGTCTAGGTTTGATGTGAAGATATACCCGTTTCGAAGGAAGGCCACAAAGTGGTCCAAATATCCACTTGCAGATTCTACAAAAAGAGTGTTTGAAAGCTGTCCTATGAAAGCAAGGTTCAACTCTGTGAGTTGAATGCAAACATCACAAAGAAGTTTCTCACAATGCTTCCCTGTAGTTCTGGGAAGCATATCCCTTTTCCAACGAAATCCTCAGAGAGGTCCAAATATCCACTTGCAGATTCTACAGAAAGTGTGTTTGGAAATGCTCCATCTAAAGGAATGTTCAGCTCTGTTAGTTCAATGCAATGATCATTAAGAATTGTCTGTGAATGCTTCCGTTTGGTTTTTAGATGAAGTTATTTCCTTTACTACAGTAGGCCTCAAAGCAGTCCAAATCTCCAATCGCAGATTCTACAAAAAGATTGTTTACAACCTGCTCTATGTATAGGAATGTTCAACTCTGTGAGTCGAATGCAATCATCACAAAGTAGTTTCTGAGAATGCTTCCATCTAGTTTTTATGTGAAGATTTTCCTTTTCCACCACAGGCCTCAAAGCCCTCCAAATGTCCACTTGCAGATTCTAGAAAAAGAGGGTTTCAGAGCTGCTCTGTCAAGAGGAAAGTTCAATTCTTGAAGTGGAACACAAACATCACAAAGCAGTTTCTGAGAATGCTCCTGTTTAGTTTTTATGTGAAGATGAACCCGTTTCCAACGAAATCTTCAAACAGGTCCACACATCCATTTGCAGATTCCAAAGAAAGAGAGTTTCAAAACTGCTCCATCAACAGGATTGTTCACCTCTGTGAGTTGAATGCAGTCATCACAGGAGACATTCTGAGAATGCTTCTGTCCAGGTTTGATGTGAAGATATACCCGTTTCGAAGGAAGGCCACAAAGTGGTCCAAATATCCACATGCAGACTCTACAAAAAGAGTGTTTGAAAGCTGAACAATGAAAGCAAGGTTCAACTCTGTGAGTTGAATGCAACATCACAAAGAAGTTTCTGAGAATCCTTCCGTGTAGTTCTGGGAAGTTTATCCCGTTTCCAACGAAATCCTCAGAGAAGTCCAAATATCCACTTGCAGATTCTACAGAAAGTGTGTCTGGAAACTGCGCCATCTAAAGGAATGTTCAGCTCTGTTAGTTCAATGCAATGATCACTAAGAATTGTCTGTGAATGCTTCCGTTTGGTTTTTAGATGAAGTTATTTCCTTTACTACAGTAGGCCTCAAAGCAGTCCAAATCTCCAATCGCAGATTCTACAAAAAGATTGTTTACAACCTGCTCTCCCTATAGGAATGTTGAACTTTGTGAGTCGAATGCAATCATCACAAAGTAGTTTCTGAGAATGCTTCCATCTAGTTTTTATGTGAAGATTTTCCTTTTCCACCACAGGCCTCAAAGCCCTCCAAATGTCCACTTGCAGATTCTAGAATAAGAGGGTTTCAGAGCTGCTCTGTCAAGAGGAAAGTTCAATTCCTGAAGTGGAACACAAACATCAGAAAGCAGTTTCTGAGAATGCTTCTGTTTAGTTTTTCTGTGAAGATGAACCCGTTTCCAACGAAATCTTCACAGAGGTCCACATATCCACTTGCAGAATCCAAAGAAAGAGAGTTTCAAAACTGCTCCATCAGCAGGATTGTTCACCTCTGTGAGTTGAATGCAGTCATCACAGGAAACATTCTGAGAATGCTTCTGTCTAGGTTTGATGTGAAGATATACCCGTTTCGAAGGAAGGCCACAAAGTGGTCCAAATATCCACTTGCAGATTCTACAAAAAGAGTGTTTGAAAGCTGAACTATGAAAGCAAGGTTCAACTCTGTGAGTTGAATGCAAACATGACAAAGAAGTTTCTCAGAATGCTTCCGTGTAGTTCTGGGAAGTTTATCCCGTTTCCAACGAAATCCTCAGAGAGGTCCAAATATCCACTTGCAGACTCTACAGAAAGTGTGTTTGGAAACTGCGCCATCTAAAGGAATGTTCAGCTCTGTTAGTTCAATGCAATGATCACTAAGAATTGTCTGTGAATGCTTCCGTTTGGTTTTTAGATGAAGTTATTTCCTTTACTACAGTAGGCCTCAAAGCAGTCCAAATCTCCAATCGCAGATTCTACAAAAAGATTGTTTACAACCTGCTCTATCTATAGGAATGTTCAACTCTGTGAGTCGAATGCAATCATCCCAAAATAGTTTCTGAGAATGCTTCCATCTAGTTTTTATGTGAAGATTTTCCTTTTCCACCACAGGCCTCAAAGCCCTCCAAATGTCCACTTGCAGATTCTAGAAAAAGAGGGTTTCAGAGCTGCTCTGTCAAGAGGAAAGTTCAATTCTTGAAGTGGAACACAAACATCACAAAGTAGTTTCTGAGAATGCTTCTGTTTAGTTTTTCTGTGAAGATGAACCCGTTTCCAACGAAATCTTCACAGAGGTCCACATATCCACTTGCAGAATCCAAAGAAAGAGAGTTTCAAAACTGCTCCATCAGCAGGATTGTTCACCTCTGTGAGTTGAATGCAGTCATCACAGGAAACATTCTGAGAATGCTTCTCTCTAGGTTTGATGTGAAGATATACCCGTTTCGAAGGAAGGCCACAAAGTGGTCCAAATATCCACTTGCAGATTCTACAAAAAGAGTGTTTGAAAGCTGAACTATGAAAGCAAGGTTCAACTCTGTGGGTTGAATGCAAACATCACAAAGAAGTTTCTCAGAATGCTTCCGTGTAGTTCTGGGAAGTTTATCCCGTTTCCAACGAAATCCTCAGAGAGGTCCAAATATCCACTTGCAGATTCTACAGAAAGTGTGTTTGGAAACTGCGCCATCTAAAGCAATGTTCAGCTCTGTTAGTTCAATGCAATGATCACTAAGAATTGTCTGTGAATGCTTCCGTTTGGTTTTTAGAATGAAGTTATTTCCTTTACTACAGTAGGCCTCAAAGCAGTCCAAATCTCCAATCGCAGATTCTACAAAAAGATTGTTTACAACCTGCTCTATCTATAGGAATGTTCAACTCTGTGAGTCGAATGCAATCATCACAAAGTAGTTTCTGAGAATGCTTCCATCTAGTTTTTATGTGAAGATTTTCCTTTTCCACCACAGGCCTCAAAGCCCTCCAAATGTCCACTTGCAGATTCTAGAATAAGAGGGTTTCAGAGCTGCTCTGTCAAGAGGAAAGTTCAATTCCTGAAGTGGAACACAAACATCACAAAGCAGTTTCTGAGAATGCTTCTGTTTAGTTTTTCTGTGAAGATGAACCCGTTTCCAACGAAATCTTCACAGAGGCCCACATATCCACTTGCAGAATCCAAAGAAAGAGAGTTTCAAAACTGCTCCATCAGCAGGATTGTTCACCTCTGTGAGTTGAATGCAGTCATCACAGGAAACATTCTGAGAATGCTTCTGTCTAGGTTTGATGTGAAGATATACCCGTTTCGAAGGAAGGCCACAAAGTGGTCCAAATATCCACTTGCAGATTCCACAAAATGAGTGTTTGAAAGCTGAACTATGAAAGCAAGGTTCAACTCTGTGAGTTGAATGCAAACACCACAAAGAAGTTTCTCACAATGCTTCCGTGTAGTTCTGGGAAGTTTATCCCGTTTCCAACGAAATCCTCAGAGAAGTCCAAATATCCACTTGCAGATTCTACAGAAAGTGTGTTTGGAAACTGCGCCATCTAAAGGAATGTTCAGCTCTGTTAGTTCAATGCAATGATCACTAAGAATTGTCTGTGAATGCTTCCGTTTGGTTTTTAGATGAAGTTATTTCCTTTACTACAGTAGGCCTCAAAGCAGTCCAAATCTCCAATCGCAGATTCTACAAAAAGATTGTTTACAACCTGCTCTATCTATAGGAATGCTCAACTCTGTGAGTCGAATGCAATCATCACAAAGTAGTTTCTGAGAATGCTTCCATCTAGTTTTCATGTGAAGATTTTCCTTTTCCACCACAGGCCTCAAAGCCCTCCAAATGTCCACTTGCAGATTCTAGAAAAAGAGGGTTTCAGAGCTGCTCTGTCAAGAGGAAAGTTCAATTCCTGAAGTGGAACACAAACATCACAAAGCAGTTTCTGAGAATGCTCCTGTTTAGTTTTTCTGTGAAGATGAACCCGTTTCCAACGAAATCTTCACAGAGGTCCACATATCCACTTGCAGAATCCAAAGAAAGAGAGTTTCAAAACTGCTCCATCAGCAGGATTGTTCACCTCTGTGAGTTGAATGCAGTCATCACAGGAAACATTCTGAGAATGCTTCTGTCTAGGTTTGATGTGAGGATATACCCGTTTCGAAGGAAGGCCACAAAGTGGTCCAAATATCCACTTGCAGATTCTACAAAAAGAGTGTTTGAAAGCTGAACTATGAAAGCAAGGTTCAACTCTGTGAGTTGAATGCAAACATCACAAAGAAGTTTCTCAGAATGCTTTCCGTGTAGTTCTGGGAAGTTTATCCCGTTTCCAACGAAATCCTCAGAGAAGTCCAAATATCCACTTGCAGATTCTACAGAAAGTGTGTTTGGAAACTGCTCCATCTAAAGGAATGTTCAGCTCTGTTAGTTCAATCCAATGATCACTAAGAATTGTCTGTGAATGCTTCCGTTTGGTTTTTAGATGAAGTTATTTCCTTTACTACAGTAGGCCTCAAAGCAGTCCAAATCTCCAATCGCAGATTCTACAAAAAGATTGTTTACAACCTGCTCTATCTATAGGAATGTTCAACTCTGTGAGACGAATGCAATCATCACAAAGTAGTTTCTGAGAATGCTTCCATCTAGTTTTTATGTGAAGATTTTCCTTTTCCACCACAGGCCTCAAAGCCCTCCAAATGTCCACTTGCAGATTCTAGAAAAAGAGGGTTTCAGAGCTGCTCTGTCAAGAGGAAAGTTCAATTCTTGAAGTGGAACACAAACATCACAAAGCAGTTTCTGAGAATGCTCCTGTTTAGTTTTTCTGTGAAGATGAACCCGTTTCCAACGAAATCTTCACAGAGGTCCACATATCAACTTGCAGAATCCAAAGAAAGAGAGTTTCAAAACTGCTCCATCAGCAGGATTGTTCACCTCTGTGAGTTGAATGCAGTCATCACAGGAAACATTCTGAGAATGCTTCTGTCTAGGTTTGATGTGAAGATTTACCCGTTTGGAAGGAAGGCCACAAAGTGGTCCAAATATCCACTTGCAGATTCCACAAAAAGAGTGTTTGAAAGCTGAACTATGAAAGCAAGGTTCAACTCTGTGAGTTGAATGCAAACATCACAAAGAAGTTTCTCACAATGCTTCCCTGTAGTTCTGAGAAGTTTATCCCGTTTCCAACGAAATCCTCAGAGAAGTCCAAATATCCACTTGCAGATTCTACAGAAAGTGTGTTTGGAAGCTGCTCCATCTAAAGGAATGTTCAGCTCTGTTACTTCAATCCAATGATCACTAAGAATTGTCTGTGAATGCTTCCGTTTGGTTTTTAGATGAAGTTATTTCCTTTACTACAGTAGGCCTCAAAGCAGTCCAAATCTCCAGTCGCAGATTCTACAAAAAGATTGTTTACAACCTGCTCTATCTATAGGAATGTTCAACTCTGTGAGTCGAATGCAATCATCACAAAGTAGTTTCTGAGAATGCTTCCATCTAGTTTTTATGTGAAGATTTTCCTTTTCCACCACAGGCCTCAAAGCCCTCCAAATGTCCACTTGCAGATTCTAGAATAAGAGGGTTTCAGAGCTGCTCTGTCAAGAGGAAAGTTCAATTCTTGAAGTGGAAAACAAACATCACAAAGCAGTTTCTGAGAATGCTTCTGTTTAGTTTTTCTGTGAAGATGAACCCGTTTCCAACGAAATCTTCACAGAGGTCCACATATCCACTTGCAGAATCCAAAGAAAGAGAGTTTCAAAACTGCTCCATCAGCAGCATTGTTCACCTCTGTGAGTTGAATGCAGTCATCACAGGAAACATTCTGAGAATGCTTCTGTCTAGGTTTGATGTGAAGATATACCCGTTTCGAAGGAAGGCCACAAAGTGGTCCAAATATCCACTTGCAGATTCTACAAAAAGAGTGTTTGAAAGCTGAACTATGAAAGCAAGGTTCAACTCTGTGAGTTGAATGCAAACATCACAAAGAAGTTTCTCAGAATGCTTCCCTGTAGTTCTGGGAAGCATATCCCTTTTCCAACGAAATCCTCAGAGAAGTCCAAATATCCACTTGCAGATTCTACAGAAAGTGGGTTTGGAAACTGCTCCATCTAAAGGAATGTTCAGCTCTGTTAGTTCAATGCAATGATGACTAAGAATTGTCTGTGAATGCTTCCGTTTGGTTTTTAGATGAAGTTATTTCCTTTACTACAGTAGGCCTCAAAGCAGTCCAAATCTCCAATCGCAGATTCTACAAAAAGATTGTTTACAACCTGCTCTATCTATAGGAATGTTCAACTCTGTGAGTCGAATGCAATCATCACAAAGTAGTTTCTGAGAATGCTTCCATCTAGTTTTTATGTGAAGATTTTCCTTTTCCACCACAGGCCTCAAAGCCCTCCAAATGTCCACTTGCAGATTCTAGAATAAGAGGGTTTCAGAGCTGCTCTGTCAAGAGGAAAGTTCAATTCCTGAAGTGGAACACAAACATCACAAAGCAGTTTCTGAGAATGCTTCTGTTTAGTTTTTCTGTGAAGATGAACCCGTTTCCAACGAAATCTTCACAGAGGTCCACATATCCACTTGCAGAATCCAAAGAAAGAGAGTTTCAAAACTGCTCCATCAGCAGGATTGTTCACCTCTGTGAGTTGAATGCAGTCATCACAGGAAACATTCTGAGAATGCTTCTGTCTAGGTTTGATGTGAAGATATACCCGTTTCGAAGGAAGGCCACAAAGTGGTCCAAATATCCACTTGCAGATTCTACAAAAAGAGTGTTTGAAAGCTGAACTATGAAAGCAAGGTTCAACTCTTTGAGTTGAATGCAAACATCACAAAGAAGTTTCTCAGAATACTTCCAGTGTAGTTCTGGGAAGTTTATCCCGTTTCCAACGAAATCCTCAGAGAGGTCCAAATATCCACTTGCAGATTCTACAGAATGTGTGTTTGGAAACTGCGCCATCTAAAGGAATGTTCAGCTCTGTTAGTTCAATGCAATGATCACTAAGAATTGTCTGTGAATGCTTCCGTTTGGTTTTTAGATGAAGTTATTTCCTTTACTACAGTAGGCCTCAAAGCAGTCCAAATCTCCAATCGCAGATTCTACAAAAAGATTGTTTTCAACCTGCTCTATCTATAGGAATGTTCAACTCTGTGAGTCGAATGCAATCATCACAAAGTAGTTTCTGAGAATGCTTCCATCTAGTTTTTATGTGAAGATTTTCCTTTTCCACCACAGGCCTCAAAGCCCTCCAAATGTCCACTTGCAGATTCTAGAATAAGAGGGTTTTAGAGCTGCTCTGTCAAGAGGAAAGTTCAATTCCTGAAGTGGAACACAAACATCACAAAGCAGTTTCTGAGAATGCTCCTGTTTAGTTTTTCTGTGAAGATGAACCCGTTTCCAACGAAATCTTCACAGAGGTCCACATATCCACTTGCAGAATCCAAAGAAAGAGAGTTTCAAAACTGCTCCATCAGCAGGATTGTTCACCTCTGTGAGTTGAATGCAGTCATCACAGGAAACATTCTGAGAATGCTTCTGTCTAGGTTTGATGTGAAGATATACCCGTTTCGAAGGAAGGCCACAAAGTGGTCCAAATATCCACTTTCTGTAGATTCTACAAAAAGAGTGTTTGAAAGCTGAACTATGAAAGCAAGGTTCAACTCCTGTGAGTTGAATGCAAACATCACAAAGAAGTTTCTCAGAATGCTTCCGTGTTGTTCTGGGAAGTTTATCCAGTTTCCAACGAAATCCTCAGAGAAGTCCAAATATCCACTTGCAGATTCTACAGAAAGTGGGTTTGGAAACTGCTCCATCTAAAGGAATGTTCAGCTCTGTTAGTTCAATCCAATGATCACTAAGAATTGTCTGTGAATGCTTCCGTTTGGTTTTTAGATGAAGTTATTTCCATTACCACAGTAAGCCTCAAAGCAGTCCAAATCTCCAATCGCAGATTCTACAAAAAGATTGTTTACAACCTACTCTATCTATAGGAATGTTCAACTCTGTGAGTCGAATGCAATCATCAGAAAGTAGTTTCTGAGAATGCTTCCATCTAGTTTTTATGTGAAGATTTTCCTTTTCCACCACAGGCCTCAAAGCCCTCCAAATGTCCACTTGCAGATTCTAGAAAAAGAGGGTTTCAGAGCTGCTCTGTCAAGAGGAAACTTCAATTCCTGAAGTGGAACACAAACATCACAAAGCAGTTTCTGAGAATGCTCCTGTTTAGTTTTTCTGTGAAGATGAACCCGTTTCAAACGAAATCTTCACAGAGGTCCACATATCAACTTGCAGAATCCAAAGAAAGAGAGTTTCAAAACGGCTCCACCAACAGGATTGTTCACCTCGGTGAGTTGAATGCAGTCATCACAGGAAACATTCTGAGAATGCTTCTGTCTAGGTTTGATGTGAAGATATACCCGTTTCGAAGGAAGGCCACAAAGTGGTCCAAATATCCACTTGCAGATTCTACAAAAAGAGTGTTTGAAAGCTGAACTATGAAAGCAAGGTTCAACTCTGTGAGTTGAATGCAAACATCACAAAGAAGTTTCTCAGAATGCTTCCGTGTAGTTCTGGGAAGTTTATCCCGTTTCCAACGAAATCCTCAGAGAGGTCCAAATATCCACTTGCAGATTCTACAGAAAGTGTGTTTGGAAACTGCGCCATCTAAGGGAATGTTCAGCTCTGTTAGTTCAATCCAATGATCACTAAGAATTGTCTGTGAATGCTGCCGTTTGGTTTTTAGATGAAGTTATTTCCTTTACTACAGTAGGCCTCAAAGCAGTCCAAATCTCCAATCGCAGATTCTACAAAAAGATTGTTTACAACCTGCTCTATCTATAGGAATGTTCAACTCTGTGAGTCGAATGCAATCATCACAAAGTAGTTTCTGAGAATGCTTCCATCTAGTTTTTATGTGAAGATTTTCCTTTTCCACCACAGGCCTCAAAGCCCTCCAAATGTCCACTTGCAGATTCTAGAATAAGAGGATTTCAGAGCTGCTCTGTCAAGAGGAAAGTTCAATTCCTGAAGTGGAACACAAACATCACAAAGCAGTTTCTGAGAATGCTTCTGTTTAGTTTTTCTGTGAAGATGAACCCGTTTCCAACGAAATCTTCACAGAGGTCCACATATCCACTTGCAGAATCCAAAGAAAGAGAGTTTCAAAACTGCTCCATCAGCAGGATTGTTCACCTCTGTGAGTTGAATGCAGTCATCACAGGAAACATTCTGAGAATGCTTCTGTCTAGGTTTGATGTGAAGATATACCCGTTTCGAAGGAAGGCCACAAAGTGGTCCAAATATCCACTTGCAGATTCTACAAAAAGAGTGTTTGAAAGCTGAACTATGAAAGCAAGGTTCAACTCTGTGAGTTGAATGCAAACATCACAAAGAAGTTTCTCAGAATACTTCCGTGTAGTTCTGGGAAGTTTAGCCCTTTTCCAACGAAATCCTCAGAGAGGTCCAAATATCCACTTGCAGATTCTACAGAAAGTGTGTTTGGAAACTGTGCCATCTAAAGGAATGTTCAGCTCTGTTAGTTCAATCCAATGATCACTAAGAAGTTTCTGTGAATGCTTCCGTTTGGTTTTTAGATGAAGTTATTTCCTTTACTACAGTAGGCCTCAAAGCAGTCCAAATCTCCAATCGCAGATTCTACAAAAACATTGTTTACAACCTGCTCTATCTATAGGAATGTTCAACTCTGTGAGTCGAATGCAATCATCACAAAGTAGTTTCTGAGAATGCTTCCATCTAGTTTTTATGTGAAGATTTTCCTTTTCCACCACAGGCCTCAAAGCCCTCCAAATGTCCACTTGCAGATTCTAGAATAAGAGGGTTTCAGAGCTGCTCTGTCAAGAGGAAAGTTCAATTCCTGAAGTGGAACACAAACATCACAAAGCAGTTTCTGAGAATGTTCCTGTTTAGTTTTTCTGTGAAGATGAACCCGTTTCCAACGAAATCTTCACAGAGGTCCACATATCCACTTGCAGAATCCAAAGAAAGAGAATTTCAAAACTGCTCCATCAGCAGGATTGTTCACCTCTGTGAGTTGAATGCAGTCATCACAGGAAACATTCTGAGAATGGTTCTGTCAAGGTTTGATGTGAAGATATACCCGTTTCGAAGGAAGGCCACAAAATGGTCCAAATATCCACTTGCAGATTCTACAAAAAGAGTGTTTGAAAGCTGAACTATGAAAGCAAGGTTCAACTCTGTGAGTTGAATGCAAACATCACGAAGAAGTTTCTCAGAATACTTCCGTGTAGTTCTGGGAAGTTTATCCCGTTTCCAACGAAATCCTCAGAGAGGTCCAAATATCCACTTGCAGATTCTACAGAAAGTGTGTTTGGAAACTGCGCCATCTAAAGGAATGTTCAGCTCTGTTAGTTCAATGCAATGATCACTAAGAATTGTCTGTGAATGCTTCCGTTTGGTTTTTAGATTAAGTTATTTCCTTTACTACAGTAGGCCTCAAAGCAGTCCAAATCACCAATCGCAGATTCTACAAAAAGATTGTTTACAACCTGCTCTATCTATAGGAATGTTCAACTCTGTGAGTCGAATGCAATCATCACAAAGTAGTTTCTGAGAATGCTTCCATCTAGTTTTTATGTGAAGATTTTCCTTTTCCACCACAGGCCTCAAAGCCCTCCAAATGTCCACTTGCAGATTCTAGAATAAGAGGGTTTCAGAGCTGCTCTGTCAAGAGGAAAGTTCAATTCCTGAAGTGGAACACAAACATCACAAAGCAGTTTCTGAGAATGCTTCTGTTTAGTTTTTCTGTGAAGATGGACCCGTTTCCAACGAAATCTTCACAGAGGTCCACATATCCACTTGCAGAATCCAAAGAAAGGGAGTTTCAAAACTGCTCCATCAGCAGGATTGTTCACCTCTGAGAGTTGAATGCAGTCATCACAGGAAACATTCTGAGAATGCTTCTGTCTAGGTTTGATGTGAAGATATACCCGTTTCGAAGGAAGGCCACAAAGTGGTCCAAATATCCACTTGCAGATTCTACAAAAAGAGTGTTTGAAAGCTGAACTATGAAAGCAAGGTTCAACTCTGTGAGTTGAATGCAAACATCACAAAGAAGTTTCTCAGAATGCTTCCGTGTAGTTCTGGGAAGTTTATCCCGTTTCCAACGAAATCCTCAGAGAAGTCCAAATATCCACTTGCAGATTCTACAGAAAGTGTGTTTGGAAACTGCGCCATCTAAAGGAATGTTCAGCTCTGTTAGTTCAATCCAATGATCACTAAGAATTGTCTGTGAATGCTTCCGTTTGGTTTTTAGATGAAGTTATTTCCTTTACTACAGTAGGCCTCCAAGCAGTCCAAATCTCCAATCGCAGATTCTACAAAAAGATTGTTTACAACCTGCTCTATCTATAGCAATGTTCAACTCTGTGAGTCGAATGCAATCATCACAAAGTAGTTTCTGAGAATGCTTCCATCTAGTTTTTATGTGAAGATTTTTCCTTTTCCACCACAGGCCTCAAATCCCTCCAAATGTCCACTTGCAGATTCTAGAAAAAGAGGGTTTCAGAGCTGCTCTGTCAAGAGGAAATTTCAATTCTTGAAGTGGAACACAAACATCACAAAGCAGTTTCTGAGAATGCTCCTGTTTAGTTTTTCTGTGAAGATGAACCCGTTTCCAACGAAATCTTCACAGAGGTCCACATATCCACTTGCAGAATCCAAAGAAAGAGAGTTTCAAAACTGCTCCATCAGCAGGATTGTTCACCTCTGTGAGTTGAATGCAGTCATCACAGGAAACATTCTGAGAATGCTTCTGTCTAGGTTTGATGTGAAGATATACCCTTTTCAAAGGAAGGCCACAAAGTGGTCCAAATATCCACTTGCAGATTCTACAAAAAGAGTGTTTGAAAGCTGAACTATGAAAGCAAGGTTCAACTCTGTGAGTTGAATGCAAACATCACAAAGAAGTTTCTCACAATGCTTCCGTGTATTTCTGGGAAGTATATCCCGTTTCCAACAAAATCCTCAGAGAGGTCCAAATATCCACTTGCAGATTCTACAGAAAGTGGGTTTGGAAACTGCTCCATCTAAAGGAATGTTCAGCTCTGTTAGTTCAATCCAATGATCACTAAGAATTGTCTGTGAATGCTTCCGTTTGGTTTTTAGATGAAGTTATATCCTTTACTACAGTAGGCCTCAAAGCAGTCCAAATCTCCAATCGCAGATTCTACAAAAAGATTGTTTACAACCTGCTCTATCTATAGGAATGTTCAACTCTGTGAGTCGAATGCAATCATCACAAAGTAGTTTCTGACAATGCTTTCATCTAGTTTTTATGTGAAGATTTTCCTTTTCCACCACAGGCCTCAAAGCCCTCCAAATGTCCACTTGCAGATTCTAGAAAAAGAGGGTTTCAGAGCTGCTCTGTCAAGAGGAAAGTTCAATTCTTGAAGTGGAACACAAACATCACAAAGCAGTTTACTGAGAATGCTCCTGTTTAGTTTTTCTGTGAAGATGAACCCGTTTCCAACGAAATCTTCACAGAGGTCCACATATCCACTTGCAGAATCCAAAGAAAGAGAGTTTCAAAACTGCTCCATCAGCAGGATTGTTCACCTCTGTGAGTTGAATGCAGTCATCACAGGAAACATTCTGAGAATGCTTCTGTCTAGGTTTGATGTGAAGATATACCCGTATCGAAGGAAGGCCACAAAGTGGTCCAAATATCCACTTTCAGATTCTACAAAAAGAGTGTTTGAAAGCTGAACTATGAAAGCAAGGTTCAACTCTGTGAGTTGAATGCAAACATCACAAAGAAGTTTCTCAGAATGCTTCCGTGTAGTTCTGGGAAGTTTATCCCGTTTCCAACGAAATCTTCAGAGAGGTCCAAATATCCACTTGCAGATTCTACAGAAAGTGTGTTTGGAAACTGCGCCATCTAAAGGAATGTTCAGCTCTCTGAGTTCAAACCAACCATCACAAAGGATTGTCTGTGAATGCTTCCGTTTGGTTTTTAGATGAAGTTATTTCCTTTACTACAGTAGGCCTCAAAGCAGTCCAAATCTCCAATCGCAGACTCTACAAAAAGATTGTTTACAACCTGCTCTATCTATAGGAATGTTCAACTCTGTGAGTCGAATGCAGTCATCACAAAGTAGTTTCTGAGAATGCTTCCATCTAGTATTTATGTGAAGATTTTCCTTTTCCACCACAGGCCTCAAAGCCCTCCAAATGTCCACTTGCAGATTCTAGAATAAGAGGGTTTCAGAGCTGCTCGGTCAAGAGGAAAGTTCAATTCTTGAAGTGGAACACAAACATCACAAAGCAGTTTCTGAGAATGCTTCTGTTTAGTTTTTCTGTGAAGATGAACCCGTTTCCAACGAAATCTTCACAGAGGTCCACATATCCACTTGCAGAATCCAAAGAAAGAGAGTTTCAAAACTGCTCCATCAGCAGGATTGTTCACCTCTGTGAGTTGAATGCAGTCATCACAGGAAACATTCTGAGAATGCTTCTGTCTAGGTTTGATGTGAAGATATACCCGTTTCGAAGGAAGGCCACAAAGTGGTCCAAATATCCACTTGCAGATTCTACAAAAAGAGTGTTTGAAAGCTGAACTATGAAAGCAAGGTTCAACTCTGTGAGTTGAATGAAAACATCACAAAGAAGTTTCTCACAATGCTTCCGTGTAGTTCTGGGAAGTTTATCCCGTTTCCAACGAAATCCTCAGAGAAGTCCAAATATCCACTTGCAGATTCTACAGAAAGTGGGTTTGGAAACTGCTCCATCTAAAGGAATGTTCAGCTCTGTTAGTTCAATCCAATGATCACTAAGAATTGTCTGTGAATGCTTCCGTTTGGTTTTTAGATGAAGTAATTTCCTTTACTACAGTAGGCCTCAAAGCAGTCCAAATCTCCAATCGCAGATTCTACAAAAAGATTGTTTACAACCTGCTCTATCTATAGGAATGTTCAACTCTGTGAGTCGAATGCAATCATCACAAAGAAGTTTCTGAGAATGCTTCCATCTAGTTTTTATGGGAAGATTTTCCTTTTCCACCACAGGCCTCAAAGCCCTCCAAATGTCCACTTGCAGATTCTAGAAAAAGAGGGTTTCAGAGCTGCTCTGTCAAGAGGAAAGTTCAATTCTTGAAGTGGAACACAAACATCACAAAGCAGTTTCTGAGAATGCTTCTGTTTAGTTTTTCTGTGAAGATGAACCCGTTTCCAACGAAATCTTCACAGAGGTCCACATATCCACTTGCAGAATCCAAAGAAGGAGAGTTTCAAAACTGCTCCATCAGCAGGATTGTTCACCTCTGTGAGTTGAATGCAGTCATTACAGGAAACATTCTGAGAATGCTTCTGTCTAGGTTTGAAGTGAAGATATACCCGTTTCGAAGGAAGGCCACAAAGTGGTCCAAATATCCACTTGCAGATTCTACAAAAAGAGTGTTTGAAAGCTGAACTATGAAAGCAAGTTTCAACTCTGTGAGTTGAATGCAAACATCACAAAGAAGTTTCTCAGCATGCTTCCGTGTAGTTCTGGGAAGTTTATCCCATTTCCAACGAAATCCTCAGAGAAGTCCAAATATCCACTTGCAGATTCTACAGAAAGTGTGTTTGGAAACTGCTCCATCTAAAGGAATGTTCAGCTCTGTTAGTTCAAACCAATGATCACTAAGAATTGTCTGTGAATGCTTCCGTTTGGTTTTTAGATGAAGTTATTTCCTTTACTACAGTAGGCCTCAAAGCAGTCCAAATCTCCAATCGCAGATTCTACAAAAACATTGTTTACAACCTGCTCTATCTATAGGAATGTTCAACTCTGTGAGTCGAATGCAATCATCACAAAGTAGTTTCTGAGAATGCTTCCATCTAGTTTTTATGTGAAGATTTTCCTTTTACACCACAGGCCTCAAAGCCCTCCAAATGTCCACTTGCAGATTCTAGAAAAAGAGGGTTTCAGAGCTGCTCTGTCAAGGGGAAAGTTCAATTCTTGATGTGGAACACAAACATCACAAAGCAGTTTCTGAGAATGCTCCTGTTTAGTCTTTCTGTGAAGATGAACCCGTTTCCAACGAAATCTTCACAGAGGTCCACATATCCACTTGCAGAATCCAAAGAAAGAGAGTTTCAAAACTGCTCCATCAGCAGGATTGTTCACCTCTGTGAGTTGAATGCAGTCATCACAGGAAACATTCTGAGAATGCTTCTGTCTAGGTTTGATGTGAAGATATACCCGTTTCGAAGAAGGCCACAAAGTGGTCCAAATATCCACTTGCAGATTCTACAAAAAGAGTGTTTGAAAGCTGAACTATGAAAGCAAGGTTCAACTCTGTGAGTTGAATGCAAACATCACAAAGAAGTTTCTCACAATGCTTCCGTGTAGTTCTGGGAAGTTTATCCCGTTTCCAACGAAATCCTCAGAGAGGTCCAAATATCCACTTGCAGATTCTACAGAAAGTGTGTATGGAAACTGCTCCACCTAAAGGAATGTTCAGCTCTCTTAGTTCAATCCAATGATCACTAAGAATTGTCTGTGAATGCTTCCGTTTGGTTTTTAGATGAAGTTATTTCCTTTACTACAGTAGGCCTCAAAGCAGTCCAAATCTCCAATCGCAGATTCTACAAAAAGATTGTTTACAACCTGCTCTATCTATAGGAATGTTCAACTCTGTGAGTCGAATGCAATCATCACAAAGTAGTTTCTGAGAATGCTTCCATCTAGTTTTTATGTGAAGATTTTCCTTTTCCACCACAGGCCTCAAAGCCCTCCAAATGTCCACTTGCAGATTCTAGAAAAAGAGGGTTTCAGAGCTGCTCTGTCAAGAGGAAAGTTCAATTCTTGAAGTGGAACACAAACATCACAAAGTAGTTTCTGAGAATGCTCCTGTTTAGTTTTTCTGTGAAGATGAACCCGTTTCCAACGAAATCTTCACAGAGGTCCACATATCCACTTGCAGAATCCAAAGAAAGAGAGTTTCAAAACTGCTCCAACAGCAGGATTGTTCACCTCTGTGAGTTGAATGCAGTCATCACAGGAAACATTCTGAGAATGCTTCTGTCTAGGTTTGATGTGAAGATATACCCGTTTCGAAGGAAGGCCACAAAGTGGTCCAAATATCCACTTGCAGATTCTACAAAAAGAGTGTTTGAAAGCTGAACTATGAAAGCAAGGTTCAACTCTGTGAGTTGAATGCAAACATCACAAAGAAGTTTCTCAGCATGCTTCCGTGTAGTTCTGGGAAGTTTATCCCTTTACCAACGAAATCCTCAGAGAGTTCCAAATATCCACTTGCAGATTCTACAGAAAGTGTGTTTGGAAACTGCTCCATCTAAAGGAATGTTCAGCTCTGTTAGTTCAATCCAATGATCACTAAGAATTGTCTGTGAATGCTTCCGTTTGGTTTTTAGATGAAGTTATTTCCTTTACTACAGTAGGCCTCAAAGCAGTCCAAATCTCCAATCGCAGATTCTACAAAAAGATTGTTTACAACCTGCTCTATCTATAGGAATATTCAACTCTGTGAGTCGAATGCAATCATCACAAAGTAGTTTCTGAGAATGCTTCCATAAAGTTTTTATGTGAAGATTTTCCTTTTCCACCACAGGCCTCAAAGCCCTCCAAATGTCCACTTGCAGATTCTAGTAAAAGAGGGTTTCAGAGCTGCTCTGTCAAGAGAAAAGTTCAACTCTTTAAGTGGAACACAATCATGATAATGCAGTTTCTGAGAATGCTTCTGTTTAGTTTTTCTGTGAAGATGAACCCGTTTCCAACGAAATCTTCACAGAGGTCCACATATCAACTTGCAGAATCCAAAGAAAGAGAGTTTCAAAAGTGCTCCATCAACAGGATTGTTCACCTCTGTGAGTTGAATGCAGTCATCACAGGAAACATTCTGAGAATGCTTCTGTCTAGGTTTGATGTGAAGATATACCCGTTTCGAAGGAAGGCCACAAAGTGGTCCTAATATCCACTTGCAGATTCTACAAAAAGAGTGTTTGAAAGCTGAACTATGAAAGCAAGGTTCAACTCTGTGAGTTGAATGCAAACATCACAAAAAAGTTTCTCAGAATGCTTCCGTGTAGTTCTGGGAAGTTTATCCCGTTTCCAACGAAATCCTCAGAGAAGTCCAAATATCCACTTGCAGATTCTACAGAAAGTGGGTTTGGAAACTGCTCCATCTAAAGGAATGTTCAGCTCTGTTAGTTCAATCCAATGATCACTAAGAATTGTCTGTTAATGCTTCCGTTTGGTTTTTAGATGAAGTTATTTCCTTTACTAAAGTAGGCCTCAAAGCAGTCCAAATCTCCAATCGCAGATTCTACAAAAAGTTTGTTTACAACCTGCTCTATCTATAGGAATGTTCAACTCTGTGAGTAGAATGCAATCATCACAAAGTAGTTTCTGAGAATGCTTCCATCTAGTTTTTATGTGAAGATTTTCCTTTTCCACCACAGGCCTCAAAGCCCTCCAAATGTCCACTTGCAGATTCTAGTAAAAGAGGGTTTCAGAGCTGCTCTGTCAAGAGGAAAGTTCAATTCTTGAAGTGGAACACAAACATCACAAAGTAGTTTCTGAGAATGCTCCTGTTTAGTTTTTCTGTGAAGATGAACCCGTTTCCAACGAAATCTTCACAGAGGTCCACATATCCACTTGCAGAATCCAAAGAAAGAGAGTTTCAAAACTGCTCCATCAGCAGGATTGTTCACCTCTGTGAGTTGAATGCAGTCATCACAGGAAACATTCTGAGAATGCTTCTGTCTAGGTTTGATGTGAAGATATACCCTTTTCAAAGGAAGGCCACAAAGTGGTCCAAATATCCACTTGCAGATTCTACAAAAAGAGTGTTTGAAAGCTGAACTATGAAAGCAAGGTTCAACTCTGTGAGTTGAATGCAAACATCACAAAGAAGTTTCTCACAATGCTTCCGTGTAGTTCTGGGAAGTTTATCCCGTTTCCAACGAAATCCTCAGAGAAGTCCAAATATCCACTTGCAGATTCTACAGAAAGTGTGTTTGGAAACTGCGCCATCTAAAGGAATGTTCAGCTCTGTTAGTTCAATGCAATGATCACTAAGAATTGTCTGTGAATGCTTCCGTTTGGTTTTTAGGTGAAGTTATTTCCTTTACTACAGTAGGCCTCAAAGCAGTCCAAATCTCCAATCGCAGATTCTACAAAAAGATTGTTTACAACCTGCTCTATCTATAGGAATGTTCAACTCTGTGAGTCGAATGCAATCATCACAAAGTAGTTTCTGAGAATGCTTCCATCTAGTTTTTATGTGAAGATTTTCCTTTTCCACCACAGGCCTCAAAGCCCTCCAAATGTCCACTTGCAGATTCTAGAATAAGAGGGTTTTAGAGCTGCTCTGTCAAGAGGAAAGTTCAATTCCTGAAGTGGAACACAAACATCACAAAGCAGTTTCTGAGAATGCTTCTATTTAGTTTTTCTGTGAAGATGAACCCGTTTCCAACGAAATCTTCACAGAGGTCCACATATCAACTTGCAGAATCCAAAGAAAGAGAGTTTCAAAAGTGCTTCATCAACAGGATTGTTCACCTCTGTGAGTTGAATGCAGTCATCACAGGAAACATTCTGAGAATGCTTCTGTCTAGGTTTGATGTGAAGATATACCCGTTTCGAAGGAAGGCCACAAAGTGGTCCAAATATCCACTTGCAGATTCTACAATAAGAGTGTTTGAAAGCTGAACTATGAAAGCAAGGTTCAACTCTGTGAGTGGAATGCAAACATCACAAAGAAGTTTCTCAGCATGCTTCCGTGTAGTTCTGGGAAGTTTATCCCGTTTCCAACGAAATCCTCAGAGAAGTCCAAATATCCACTTGCAGATTCTACAGAAAGTGTGTTTGGAAACTGCTCCATCTAAAGGAATGTTCAGCTCTGTTAGTTCAATGCAATGATCACTAAGAATTGTCTGTGAATGCTTCCGTTTGGTTTTTAGATGAAGTTATTTCCTTTACTACAGTAGGCCTTAAAGCAGTCCAAATCTCCAATCGCAGTATTCTACAAAAAGATTGTTTACAACCTGCTCTATCTATAGGAATGTTCAACTCTGTGAGTCGAATGCAATCATCACAAAGATAGTTTCTGAGAATGCTTCCATCTAGTTTTTATGTGAAGATTTTCCTTTTCCACCACAGGCCTCAAAGCCCTCCAAATGTCCACTTGCAGATTCTAGAATAAGAGGGTTTCAGAGCTGCTCTGTCAAGAGGAAAGTTCAATTCCTGAAGTGGAACACAAACATCACAAAGCAGTTTCTGAGAATGCTTCTGTTTAGTTTTTCTGTGAAGATGAACCCGTTTCCAACGAAATCTTCACAGAGGTCCACATATCCACTTACAGAATCCAAAGAAAGAGAGTTTCAAAACTGCTCCATCAGCAGGATTGTTCACCTCTGTGAGTTGAATGCAGTCATCACGGGAAACATTCTGAGAATGCTTCTGTCTAGGTTTGATGTGAAGATATACCCGTTTCGAAGGAAGGCCACAAAGTGGTCCAAATATCCACTTGCAGATTCTACAAAAAGAGTGTTTGAAAGCTGAACAATGAAAGCAAGGTTCAACTCTGTGAGTTGAATGCAAACATCACAAAGAAGTTTCTCAGAATGCTTGGCCTGTTTAGAGCACAGCAAGAAAGCTTGCATTAAGGGAGTGAAGTAAGTGAGAGGAAGATACCAATGAGACTAGAGTTGATGCTAGAAGCCAATTTGTATAGAATCTGTGGGTCCTGGTAAATTTAGATTCTATTCTAAGGGTGATGAGAAGCTATTAGAAGCTGTTGAGTAAAGAAGTACCATGATCTGACTCATGTGTTAATGGTGTTAATGGAATTACTTACAGACAATTCTTAGTGATCATTGCATTGAACTAACAGAGCTGAACATTCCTTTAGATGGCGCAGTTTCCAAACACACTTTCTGTAGAATCTGCAAGTGGATATTTGGACCTCTCTGAGGATTTCGTTGGAAACGGGATAAACTTCCCAGAACTACACGGA